>NC_000017.11:81799133-82161210 GCF_000001405.40 Homo sapiens | reverse complement strand
ACACTAGCTGTTTTCTGGCTGTGATGCTAGGCATCCTGGTGGGAGTGAAGTGGGGCCTCGCTGTGGTTTTGATTTGCATTTTCCTGATGACTCCTGGTGTCGAGCATCGTCTCATGTGCGTCTTGGTCAGCCATTTGAGCCATTTGTCTTCTTTGGAGAAACATCCGTGTGGATCCCTTGCCCAGTTTTAATTGGGTTGTCTTTTTATTTGAGTTGTAAGAATTCTTTTTATATTCCAGATACAAGTCCCTTATTAGATATATGATTTGCTACATTTTTCTCCCATTCTGTGGTTTGTCTTTTCACTTTCTCTTTTTTTTTTTTTTTTTTTTTTTTTGAGACAGAGTCTTGCTGTGTCGCCCAGGCTGGAGTGCAATGGCGTGATCTCGGCTGACTGCAACCTCCGCCTCCCGGGTTCAAGGAATTCTCCTGCCTCAGCCTCCCAAGTAGCTGGGATTACAGGCATGAGCCACCACGCCTGCTAATTTTTGTATTTTTGGTAGAGATGGGGTTTTACCATGTTGGCCAGGCTGGTATCGAACTCCTCACCTCAGGTGATCTTCCCACCTCTGCCTCCCAAAGTGCTAGGATTACAGGTATGAGCCACTGCACCTGGCCTGTCTGCCTCCCAAAGTGCTGGGATTACAGGTATGAGCCACTGCACCTGGCCTGTCTGCCTCCCAAAGTGCTGGCATTACAGGTATGAGCCACTGCACCTGGCCTGTGTGCCTCCCAAAGTGCTGGGATTACAGGTATGAGCCACTGCACCTGGCCTGTCTGCCTCCCAAAGTGCTGAGATTACAGGTATGAGCCACTGCACCTGGCCTGTCTGCCTCCCAAAGTGCTGGCATTACAGGTATGAGTCACTGCACCTGGCCTGTCTTTTCACTTTCCTGATGGTGTCCTTTGAAGGACACCGAATGTTTCCAGTTTTGATCCAGTCCTGTTGATCATGTCTCCTGTTGCTTGTGCTTCTGAGTCATGCTGTCCTCATCCTGTTGCTTTTATTCCTTGTGAGGCGACATAACAAGGGAACTTCCACATGTCCTCTCGCATTGTAAATACATAAACCACGCCTTCCCTGCAGCCTCTGCTTCTTCTCTAACGCAGAACATCTCTCTAGAAACAAAGTATTCCAGATTTCCCATCTGCCCAGGGAGTGCACAGTGCTCCAGAAATTGGATGCTTTTTTTTTTTAATCTTCCTAAGATGTTTGATGGATTGATTGAAAATGGCAAATATGGCCAGGCGAGGTGGCTCACGCCTGTAATCCCAGCACCTTGGGAGTCCAAGATGGGCAGATCACCAGGTCAGGAGATTGAGACCATCTTGGCCAACATGATGAACTCTGTGTCTACTAAAATACAAAAGATGAGCCGGGTGTGGTGGTGCGTGCCTGTAATCCCAGCTACTCGGGAGGCTGAGGCAAGGCAATTGCTTGAACCCGGGAGGCGGAGGTTGCAGTGAGCTGAGATCGCGCTACTGCACTCCAGCCTGGGCGACAGAGCAAGACTCCGTCTCAAAAAAAAAAAAAAAGAAAATGACAAATATAAATTGTATATCTCTATGGTATGCGACATGATGTTTTGAAACATGCCCACACTGGAAGGGCTAAATGAGGCTAATTAACATGTGCGTTACCCTCATACCTCTCATTTTCTGCTGATGCCTAACGCCTCGCCTTGATTGGAAGTGTGTCCTTGTTGTTGCAATGGAGAGGAACTTGGCCACTTTTCCATTTCTGTCGAGGCAGTTGAAGATCCATGTACACGTGAGGGGCTCCAGTCGAGGGAGTTGAAGATCCATGTGCCCGTGAAGGGGCTCCAGATCCCCGATGCTTTGCAGTTGCTGTTTCCCCCATTTCCCGCACAAATGCTACAGACAAGAAATAAACATTTAAATACAGCTTTTAGGCTGGGCACGGTGGTACACACCTGTAATCTCAACACTTTGGGAGTCTGAGGCAGGAAGATCACTTGAGCCCAGGAGTTTGAGACCAGCCTGGGCAACATAGGGAGACCTTGTCCCTACAAAAACTAAACAAGGCTGGGCACGGTGGTGCATGCCTGTAATCCCCACACTTTGGAATGGTGAGGTGGGAGGATTATTTGAGCTCAGCAGTTTGAAATCAGCCTGGGCAACACAGCAAGACCCCATCTGTAATAAAAACTGAAATAATTAGCCAAGCATGGTGGTGCGTCTGTAGTCCCAGCTACTCAGGAGGCTGAGGATTACTTGAGCCCAGTGGGAGGGTTGCTTGAGCCCAGATGGTTGAGGCTGCGGCGAGCCACGATCGCGCCACTCTGCCCCAGCTTGGGCGAAGAGCAAGACCCTGTCTCTAAAAATAGAAATAGGCTGGATGCGGTGGCTCACACGTGTAATCCCAACACTTTGGGAGGCTGAGGCAGAAGGATCGCTTGAGCCCAGGAGTTTGAGACCAGCCTAAGCAACCAACTAAGATGCCGTCTGAATAAAATAAGTAAATAAATAAAAATTAATACAAGCTTTTTTTTTTTTTTTTTTGAAATGGAGTCTCGCTCTGTCGCCCAGGCTGGAGTACACTGGCGCGATCTTGGCTCACTGCAAGCTCCACCTCCCGGGTTCATGCCATTCTCCTGCCTCAGCCTCCCAAGTAGCTGGGACCACAGGCACCCACCGCCATGCCCGGCTAATTTTTTTTATTTTTTAGTAGAGATGGGGTTTCACCATGTTGGCCAGGATGGTCTCGATCTCCTGACCTCGTGATCCACCCTCCTCGGCCTCCCAAGGCACTGGGATTATAGGCGTGAGCCACCGCACCCAGCCTATCCACCTGCCTTTCAATAGCCTCAGCCCTCCGACTTCCTGGCCTGTTTACCTCTGGCCTCCCCATGTCTGCCCCCTTTGATTAGCAGAAAAGAAAAATCAACACCTCCTACCGGTTACTTGCAATTCTGGAGGCCTTTGTTTCTCCCTGGGAGGAGGCTCAGGAAGGGGTTTCGAGGCGCTCTGCCTCAGTCCATGCACGGATTCTCCCCACCAGCCTAGGAGTCCAGAGCAGGGCACAGGGGAACTGCCAGGGCCAGCTGGGCGGGGCAGGAGGAGCAGTGGCCGTGGTTGGGGGCAGAGGGCTGAGGGCAGTTGCATCCAGCTGGGGAGGAGGCCCTGACCCCGGGCTCCCCGTTCTTTCCCGGCACTCACAGCGCTTCCTGTCAGTGCCCAGGGGCCTGCTCCAGCCCAGCCACTGCCTCATTCCTCACACTGCCTTTGAAATGACCCCTAGGTGCTGCGGGAACCCCTGGAGCCGGCCGCTCTCCAGCGTGAGCTTCCCCGTGAGGTGGACCAGGTACACCTGGAGGTTTTGGAGCTGCGGAAGCAGGTGGCTGAGCTGGGGAAGCATCTCAGGATAGCCCAGCACGGGGGAGCGGAGCCTTCAGGCAGGAAGCAGCCCCCAGCCTCGGACGCCGTGGCCCTTGGGAGAGAGGTGGGTGCCCGCTAGCTCCTCCTGCCACCCGCCGAGGTTCCTGCCACAGAAACCGTCCTTGCCTGTGCTCTGCCAGCGTTGCTGTCTGTATGCCCTGGGAGCTCAGGTGGGACGAGGGCTGCAGTGAAGGCCGTGCCTGGAAGTGGGCCCTGCTCCACCCCCTCTCCCCATTCCTCCGCCTTCTTCCTCCACACGCCTCCTCTTCTCCTGGTCCTTCACCTTGATGCCCCGTTGGTGGGGGGCGGGACGGGCCCATCCCAGTCCTCCCTTCAGCTAACAGCATCTTGTGTTGGAAACGCACACACTGAAGGTGGCTCATGTTTGCTTTAATGCAGGGCCTTGACGGCCTGCTGAGGGGGCGTCTGCGTGCACAGCCATGCCTGCCCCATGCCTAGCGTTGGGCCCTCCCTGCGTGGGGAGGGGCCCACATGGCCCTCACTGCTGCGTTCAGAGCCACACAGCTGCTCCAGGCCATGGCACTCCTATCCTGGTTTTGGTCAGGCCCTTGGCCCCGAGGGAGTGACCCCCAACTCCATGGCTGGGTTTGAGCCACAGCTCTGAGCTGTGGAGACGACCCCAGGTCCTGATTCTGCAGCTTGGCAGAGCCGACCAGCAGGGCCCCCTTCTTCCTACCTAAGGCCAGAGGGAAAGGCTGTGAAGGACAGGCTGCCCGGCCTCCCTGACTTCGTACCCTAGACTGTTGGTAACTGGGATAACTGTAGTGACCTATGACCTGTGGTAACCTATAGTTACCAATAGTGACCTATGAATCCACAGAAGGTTTTGGGGACAGTAGATGATGTCTGGAAAGCACAAAGTGGAAGACAGCGTGGATCCCCAGGGCACCGTGCTTGGGGAGCAGATCCCCAGGGACTCAGGCTGGAATAGAGTGGACTGAGGAAGATGCGGCCGTGGCTGTCTCAGGCTCCAGGACAGTGAGGAGCAGGCCAGAGCTGCCTTGGCATGGGATGGGCAAGACCATAAGGATGCCTCAGGGGTACAACAGGGCAGGTATGGGAAGGCCGAGGGAGCCTGAGGCCCTAGCAGGTGCTCAGCCAGTGCGCACAGGAAGGGCTGAGCTGGTCGGTAAGATATTGAGCTGCACCTGCCCCTGTACCTGTTGGTAAGGAGGTCTTGTCCTCAGGGGTCTCCAGCACCCTAGCCCTCCTGGGCTCCCAGTCCAGCCACTCCAGGGTGGCTCCTGCCCGGTGGGGGCTGTGGCCCTTGGGCCAGCTGGCAGCACAGCCAGGGGTAAGCATGTCTGTACCCCCACACATCTCCCACCCACCTGAGCGCCATGTGTTCCCGGACACGGGCGGGCGCCTCCTTGGGCAGCAAGGGGCCCCAGGAGCTCTCACTGTTGGCCCTTGCGTAGTTCACTGTCTTCCCACTTGTTTAGAATGAAGGGGCAAGAATTTATACAAATAAGCAGAATTTTTTCTTTCTTTTTTTTTTTTGAGACAGAGTCTCACACTGTCGCCCAATCTGGAGTGCACTGGCGCTATCTTGGCTCACTGCAACCTCCTCCTCCCGGGTTCAAGCAATTCTCCCGCCTCAGCCCCCTGAGTAGCTGGGATTACAGGTGCACCACGCCCGGCCAATTTTTGTGTTTTCAGTAGAGACAGGGTTTCACCATGTTGGCCAGGCTGGTCTCAAACTCCTGGTTTCAAGTGATCTGCCTGCCTCAGTCCCCCAAAGTGGTGGGATTACAGGTGGGATTATAGGCACAGTGGCCCACTGTGCCTGGCCCAAATAAGCAGAATTTTAAATTGAGAGATGAAGCCACCTGCAGCCCAATCCCAGTTATTGGAGCTAAGGCACAGGCGGGGCATACACTCCAGGCTCTGTGTCTACATGCATGGAGGCGACAGTCGGGCTCCAGGCTCCTCCTGGGTCTGAGCATCCTGTGGCCGGGCTCTCCACCCAGGCGAGGCCCACCTGGGCTCTGTCCTCTGCCAAGCAGCATGGCTGAGCTCCTGGAGACGAGGGCGGGCCCAGGTCCTTGCTGCTTGCTGCTGGGAAAGGAGCCCAGACGGAGAAGGGGCCATGTTGGGGCTGGACCCTCAGGTAGAGGATCAATGTGTCCGTTATGTTGGGTATAGAGAGAAGTGGGTAGAGCTGCATGTGCATCTGATCCCAGCTCTGTCCTGAGAGGGCCCACAGCCCGGACTCAGCCACAGCAGATGCCAGTTCCACAGTTCCAGGCGCTAGTTCCATGGTTCCTGCCCTGCTCACAGGAGCCCGGGCTCTAGCATGGAGGCAGGTTCGGAAGGCACAGGAAGCAGCTGAAAGGGGTCCCCAAGGACCAGAACTAGGCCAATAGGCAGTGACGTTGAAGACCACAATCCACTGACTCAACCAGGAAATCATGGGTCCAGGCTGATAGCAATGGACAGATCGGTCAGGGGAACGGGGCACTCTTCCACGCGAGAGTGCCAGCCAAGGAACGCGACAGGAACGGCGCGCCGGGCGACCACGGATGGGTGCTGAACCAGAGGGATTCCCATCAGACGGATGCGAAGCAGCATCTCCCCACACGTGACTTCTTATTTCCAAGGGAAATGCTGGCTTTCCAGTGGAGCAGCCTGTTTGACCCCAGCTGACCCGAGTGATCAGAGCTCCCATCGCCAGTGCTGGGATGCGCCCGTGTCACGCGCCTCTGGGCGGGTCGCACTGAGACGGCACAGACTCGCGCTCGGGGTCCCTGCCAAAAATGCAGAACCTGAGCTTATGCATGAGGAGACCTCAGGCAAGCCCAAACAGAGGGACATCTGCAGATGAGCGGGTCTAGATGCTTGGCGAGTGCCCAAACATGGAAGCTGGGGAGCCACTCCAGTTAGGAGACCTGGGAGACCCCATGTAGAAATGCCAGGTGGGACCCTGGACCCTGCACAGGAGAGACAGCGTCAGGGCATCATCTGTAGAAACGCCACGTGGGACCCTGGGCTCTGTACAGGAGAGACGGGCATCAAGTCATCATCCGTAGAAACGCCACGTGGGACCCTGGACCCTGCACAGGAGAGACGGCGTCAGGGCATCATCCGTAGAAACACCACGTGGGACCCTGGACCCTGCACAGGAGAGACGGTGTCAGGGCATCATCTGTAGAAACACCATGTGGGACCATGGACCCTGCACAGGAGAGACAGTGTAGAAATGCCACGTGGGACCCTGGACCCTGCACAGGAGAGATGGCGTCAGGGCGTTATCTGGACGGTTGGTGACATTTGCACACGGGCCACGGACCAGGTCACGTATTGTGTACACCCACCCAAGTACTGAGGTGTGACGCGGCACTGCGTCTCCAGCCTACCTCCTGTAGTGCAGGAAGCCAGTGCAGGGTGGGTGAGGAAGTGCACAGGGGTCCAGGGACTGTCCCACAGCACTCCTGACGAAAGCTGGTCCCCTTCCACGGCCCTAGCCAAGGAGCCAGGTCTGCAAAGCTGGGACCAGGTGTGTGCGGAGGCACGTGTTCCCACTTCTCCCATGGCAGAGGGAGAGCCTGTGGACAACAGTGGGGCACTCTGCTCCCAGGCAGGTCCCACTGGGCTGAGCCGCACAGCCTGGCTTTGGGCTTCCCTGACTGCACCACCCACATCAGCTGCCTCTAGCCCTTAAAATACAAAACTTCCCCCAGTCACTGGCCGCCAGGGCTGAGTTGGGGGATGTGTTACATCCCTGGGTCCACTGGGGGGCAGTGTTGGCCATGGTGTTGGTGCTGGCTCTGCCGAGAGGCGTTGGAGTGGCTGTGTGGGGCGGTGAGCGCCGGCCCAGCCTGATGGAACCCACTGTACCAGGCCCAGGCCTCAGCCTCTGAGAAGGACTTCCCTGTGTCACTCACTCATACATGTCCTCAGGACGTGAAGACATTTCAGCAGACCAAAGTTTCCTTCGAATTTTCTTCGAATCGTCCAGATACTTGGAGACATCTCCTCCTCACCTGTGGGGTGCTGGGGCAGTCCTAGGCGTGGGGGCAGATGGGTGGACAGCTGCTGCTGCCCTGCTGGGGGTGGGCAGCCCTTGGAGCACACAGTGGTGAAGACATTCCTGAATATGTCTCAGGCTGTAGAAATCTTATTTTGTGGAAAGATTTTAGAGAATCATCAAAATAAACTTTTACCAAATAACATTTTACCAGAAACTGAATCCGAGAGAAGTAGAATCGTTCACTCCCTGCCCCCCAGGTCACTGTGTGCAGAATCACGTGACTAGGACATGGGCCCTGTGATCCATGCCCTCCTTCCTTTGCCTGTGGGGTCAACAGCAAGAAGGCCCCTCAGTGCCCCTCAAGCCTGGCACCAGCCGCAGGGCCTGGTGTAACTTTGCAGGGAGAGGGGACTGCTTTTGAAGACGGAATTTTCTCTTAAATCTCTAAGTGTTTTGAGGTTTGCAAAATCTGTTTTCGGGATTGTTCTTTCTTCAGTTAAAATAACAAAATAACCCAGTGTGTTCCTGTAGAGGATCCAGGGTTTTAGAACCGGACTTGCGAGTCTCACCTGCCTGGCCCCTCTCCCCCAGCCCCAGGCCATCTGCAATCTGTTTTACCAGCACAGGCCTCCCTTCCTCTCCCTCTGCCTTGGCCTCTCCCACACCCAAGAGCCCATTCCTGTCTATTCTCCCAGGGTGGTGAGTGAGCCTCTGCACCACACTTGCCAAGGGTGCTCACGGAGCAGGCATGAGGCCCGCTTACTGGAGGAAGCGAGTCTGGACTCGGGCTCAGGCCTGTGGCGAGCCTTCATGGGGGCTGCCCTGCACCCGTCCTCAGCTGGGGCCTGCGGCACCATAGAACTTTCTCTGTCCAAGAGGAAAGCAGACATCTCTCCCCTTCGATGTGTCATCCCCCGCGGCCCCCGAGCGTCCCACATGAACCTGCGGCACATGCCCGGAGGCACTGCATACAGTGGCTGCACCCCAGGCCATCCAAAGAACAGCAGCACCTGGAAGGCAGCAGCACCTGCCAGCCCTGGAAAGGCACACCAGGAAGCTGGCGGGGACAGGGTGTGCTGGCCTGTTCCAGGAACTCGGAGCTCATGTGGCCAGGGCCAGGTGCAGCCTGGCTCCTTACAGGGGCCAGGAGTGGCACGGGAGAAGTAGGTCGTCGGCTCCCGTCTTGCCAGGGCCTGGACACTACTGCTTTTTCCTGTGCCCCCATTTTTGGTCCAGGCATCCCTTTGTGTTGGGATTGCACTCTGTAGCACTGGAATGATGTGGGCTGCAAGTCCAGGTTGGGCTGAGTGAGGACAACACAGTGCTTCCCAGGGGCTCAGATCTAGGGTTGACCCAGGCTTGGGGTGCTAAGGGGGAGCCCAGCCAGCTCCTGCCCCTGTGTCGGCCTCCTCCCTCTCCACTGCCTTTGTGCTCCCCCTGCACCTGCTTCAGGAGGGAAGCCACAGCCGGCCTGCAGGGTGGTTGTGGGGTGTCCAGCTGGCAGGTAGAGAAAGGAGGGACCCCAAGGAGTGGAGGAGGGCCAAGCCACGCTGGCGGGAGCTGTCCTCCTGGGTCCTGGGCACTGCTAGAGGCCACAGCCTTCTCTCTGCTCTCCCTGGGCCGCCTTCCTGGGTCCTGGGCACTGCTGGAGGCCACAGCCTTCTCTCTGCTCTCCCTGGGGAGCTGCTGTGCTGGTTGGGTGTCCTCAGATTCTCCTTGTGTTCACTTGAAAGACACAAAGGCATAGATGACCAGAAGGCAGGGATGGCGGGGAGGAGGCGGAGGGCTGTGAGGGCCTGGGAGATCTGGGGGCCACCCTGGCCTGGGAGATCTGTGGGCCTTTATTCTATTTGTGGAAGAGAAGGAACCCACTGAAGCACTGGGAGCAGCGACTCTTTTTGTCTTTCTTTTGGAAGGATGTCACCCAGTGACAGCCAGCAGTGCCCACCCTGGAAGAGCAGGTGAAGAGGCTCCTTGGGTGGGCACCCCTGGCGTCCTCCCATGAGGGCAGCCTCACAGGGGTGTCTGCCTGTGAGTTTTGTTACAGGGCCTCACCAAGAGAGGGCCTATGGAGGCCGAGGACCAGGGGGAGCTTTTCCTGCACCTCCGGTCAGTGGCACGTGCCCCCCAGACCTTATCTATGCACCGACTCCAGAGAAAGCTGAAGGAGGCAGCCAGAAAAATCATCAGCCTCCGCCTGGAGAAAGAGCAGCTCATCGAGATGGGGAACAGGCTCCGTGCAGAGCTGGGCCGACCCGAAAGTGAGTCCGGGAAGTGGAGGCCATGGCCTGAGTGTGGGTCAGGTTCTGGGTGTGCACCTGGTTCTGGGTGTGCGCCAGGTTCTGGATGTGGGTCAGATTCTGGGGGTGCACCAGGTTCTGGATGTGGGTCAGATTCTGGGGGTGCGCCAGGTTCTGGGTGTGGGTCAGGTTCTGGGTGTGTGCCAGGTTCTGGGTGTGTGCCAGGTTCTGGGTGTGCACCTGGTTCTGGGTGTGCATCTGGTTCTGGGTGCGGGTCAGGTTCTGGGTATGCGCCTGGTTCTGGGTGCGGGTCAGGTTCTGGGTGTGTGCCAGGTTCTGGGTGTGTGCCAGGTTCTGGGTGTGGGTCAGGTTCTGGATGTGCGCCTGGTTCTGGGTGTGCGCCTGGTTCTGGGTGTGCGCCTGGTTCTAGGTGCGGGTCAGGTTCTGGGTGTGCGCCTGGTTCTGGGTGTGGGTCAGGTTCTGGGTGTGCACCAGGTTCTGAGTGTGCGCCTGGTTCTGGGTGCGGGTCAGGTTCTGGGTGTGCGCCAGGTTCTGGGTGTGTGCCAGGTTCTGGGTGTGTGCCTGGTTCTGGGTGTGTGCCTGGTTCTAGGTGCAGGTCAGGTTCTGGGTGTGCGCCTGGTTCTGGGTGTGCGCCTGGTTCTGGGTGCGGGTCAGGTTCTGGGTGTGGGTCAGGTTCTGGGTGTGCACCAGGTTCTGGGTGTGCGCCTGGTTCTGGGTGCGGGTCAGGTTCTGAGTGTGCGCCTGGTTCTGGGTGTGGGTCAGGTTCTGGGTGTGCACCAGGTTCTGAGTGTGCGCCTGGTTCTGGGTGCGGGTCAGGTTCTGGGTGTGTGCCAGGTTCTAGGTGTGCGCCTGGTTCTGAGTGTGTGCCTGGTTCTAGGTGCGGGTCAGGTTCTGGGTGTGCGCCTGGTTCTGGGTGTGCTCCTGGTTCTGGGTGTGCACCAGGTTCTGGGTGTGCGCTTGGTTCTGGGTGCGGGTCAGGTTCTGAGTGTGCGCCTGGTTCTGGGTGTGGGTCAGGTTCTGGATGTGCACCAGGTTCTGAGTGTGCGCCTGGTTCTGGGTGCGGGTCAGGTTCTGGGTGTGTGCCAGGTTCTGGGTGTGCGCCTGGTTCTGGGTGTGTGCCTGGTTCTAGGTGCGGGTCAGGTTCTGGGTGTGCGCCTGGTTCTGGGTGTGCGCCTGGTTCTGGGTGTGCACCAGGTTCTGGGTGTGCGCCTGGTTCTGGGTGCGGGTCAGGTTCTGAGTGTGCACCTGGTTCTGGGTGTGCACCAGGTTCTGGGTGTGCGCCTGGTTCTGGGTGCGGGTCAGGTTCTGAGTGTGCGCCTGGTTCTGGGTGTGCGCCTGGTTCTGGGTGTGCGCCTGGTTCTAGGTGCGGGTCAGGTTCTGGGTGTGCACCTGGTTCTGGGTGTGGGTCAGGTTCTGGGTGTGCGCCTGGTTCTGGGTGTGCGCCTGGTTCTGGGTGTGGGTCAGGTTCTGGGTGTGCACCAGGTTCTGAGTGTGTGCCTGGTTCTGGGTGGGGGTCACATTCTGGGTGTGTGCCAGGTTCTGGGTGTGCGCCTGGTTCTGGGTGTGCGCCTGGTTCTGGGTGCGGGTCAGGTTCTGAGTGTGCACCTGGTTCTGGATGTGCGCCAGGTTCTGGGTGTGGGCCTTGTTCTGGGTGTGTGCCTGGTTCTGGGTGTGCGCCAGGTTCTGGGTGTGCTCCTGGTTCCGGGTGTGCGCCAGGTTCTGGGTGTGCGCCTGGTTCTGGGTGTGGGTCAGGTTCCGGGTGTGCGCCTGGTTCTGGGTGCGGGCCAGGTTCTGGGTGTGCGCCTGGTTCTGGGTGCGGGTCAGGTTCTGGGTGTGCGCCTGGGGTCAGTGGGAGGGCTCTGGACGCAGCCTTCTCAGGAAGGCCCGAAGGAGCACAGAAGCCCCTCTTGTGAGCGGGGCCTGGTCGGAGGCCACTGCACAGAGCAGGACCTCATCTTAGCTGCGGGCGCTCTGGGGACCCACTTCGCTGGCAGCATTTGTGAGAACAACACCGCAGGTTAGCAAAGCAGCCGGCATTTCTGTGCGGCTCTGTGGTGAGCAGCGAAGATGGCCGCAGACTTCTCCAGGTAAAGGCAGCAGTGTCTCCTGACTGAGGTGGAGGCTGGGCATCTTGGACACAGACACCGGAGCTGACTTCCTAAGAAAGGCAAGGGGCACTGGCTTTATGACTGAGTGTTTCAGTGAGTCATCCATCTGTTCCTCCATGCATCCACCCACCTACCTATCCATCCATCTATCCAACCACCCATCCATCTATCCATCCATTCACCCACCCCCCCCATCCATCCATCCATCCATCTACCCATCTACCCACCCACCCATCCATTCATCCACCCACTCATCCATCCGCCATCCACCCACCCATCCATCCACCCACCTATTTATTCATCCACCCATCCATCCATCCATCCATCCATGCAACCACTTATCCCATCTACCCATCCATCCATCTACCCACCCACCCATCCATCCATCCACCCACCCAACCATCCGTCCACCCACCCATCCATCCATCTACCATCCATCCACCACCCATCCATTCATCCATCTACCCATCTACCCACCCACCCATACATCCATCCATCTACCATCCACCCACCCACCCATCCATCCACCCACCTATCTGTTCATCCATCCATCCATCCAACCATCCAACCACTTATCCCACCCACCCATCCATCTGTCCATCCACCCATCTACCCACCCACCCATCCATCCACCCACCCACCCATCCATCCATCTACCATCTATCCACCCACCTATCTTTCCATCCATCCATCCACCCACCCATTCACCCACCCACCCATCCATGTATCCATCCACCCATCCGTCTGCCCACCCACCCAACCATCCATCCATCTACCCATCCACCCACTCATTCATCTATTCACCCACCCACCCATCCATCTATCCATCTACTCACCCACCCATCCATCTATCCATCTACCATCCACCCACCCATCCATCCACCCACCTATCTATCCATCCATCCATCCACCCACCCATTCATCCATTCACCCACCCACCCATCCATGTATCCACCCACCCATCCATCCACCCACCCACCCACCCAACCATCCATCCATCTACCCATCCACTCACCCATCCATCCACCCACCTATCCATCCATCCATCCACCCACCCATTCATCCATTCACCCACCCACCCATCCACCCATCCATCCACCCACCTATCCATCCATCCATCCATCCACCCACCCATTTATCCATTCACCCACCCATCCATGTATCCATCCACCCATCCATCCATCTACCATCCATCCATCCATCCATCTACCCATCTACCCACCCACCCATCCATCCATCCATCTACCATCCACGCACCCATCTATCCACCCACCTATCTATTCATCCATCCATCCATCCATCCATCCATCCATCCATCCATCCATCTAACCATCCAACCACTTATCCCACCCACCCATCCATCCATCCACCCATCTACCCACCCATCCATCCATCCACCCACCCACCCATCCATCTACCATCCATCCACCCACCTATCTATCCATCCATCCATCCACCCACCCATTCATCCATTCACCCACCCATCCAACCATCCATCCATCTACCCATCCACCCACCCACCCATCCATCTACCATCCATCCACCCACCTATCTATCCATCCATCCATCCACCCACCCATTCATCCATTCACCCACCCATCCAACCATCCATCCATCTACCCATCCACCCACCCATTCATCTATTCACCCACCCACCCACCCATCCATCTATCCATCTACGCACCAACCCATCCATCCATCCATCTACCATCCACCCACCCATCCATCCACCCACCTATCTATCCATCCATCCATCCACCCACCCATTCATCCATTCACCCACCCACCCTTCCATGTATCCATCCACCCATCCATCCACCCACCCGCCCAATCATCCATCCATCTATCCATCCACCCACCCATCCATCCATCCATTCGTACACCCACCCACCCATCCATCTATTAATGTATCCATCCATCCGTCCACCCACCCATCTATCCATCCACCTACCCACACACTCACCTGTCCATCCGTCCATACACCTATCCATCTATCCATCCAACCACTTATCCCACTTATCTATCCATCCATTCACCCACCCATCCATCTGTTCATCTATCCACCCATGTATCCAATTAGCCACTCTCACTCATCCACCAACCCACCCATCCATCTATCCATCCGCCCATCCATCCACCCACCCACCCACCCATTCATCCATCCATTCATCTATCTTTGCATCCACCCATCCATTCATCCATCTATCCATTCATCCATCCATCCATCCACCTACCCATGCACCCACCTATCCATCCATTTATCCAACCACTTATCCCACCCACCTATCCATCCTTTCACTCACCCATCCACCCATCCATCCAATCATCCAGTCACTCATCCACCTACCATCCATATATCCATCCACCCATCCAGTAGAGGAGCCCCTGCTGAGTGCCAGATACTTTCTGCCTTCTTCAGTTCCTATGTCGCCAGGCCCAAATCTGGCTAAAGAGATGTTTCCTCGGCTGTGTGTGGTGGCTCACGCCTGTAATCCTAGCACTTCCCGAGACGAGACTGTGTGTGTGCACGTGCATTTGTATGTGAGACTGTGTGTGTGCACACACGTTTGTTTGCGAGACTGCACAAGCGTTTGTGTGCAAGACTGTGCATGTGCGTTTGTATGTGAGACTGTGTGCACACACGTTTGTGTGTGAGACTGTGCACATACATTTGTATGTGAGACTGTGTGCACACATGCATTTGTATGTTAGACCGTGTGTGTGCATGCATGCACACATCCATAGGGAGGACTCAATGGAAGTTTGTCGATTTATTGGCAATTTAGAGAAGAAAGTAGAGTGAGAAGAGAAGAATGGGGACTTTTGGTTTGGCTTTGATTATACCAAACATACCCCATTTGTTTCTTTTTGGGAAGGCCGTCCTCCCCACCTAAACATTGAGTTCTTAGCTGGGCATGGTGTTGTGTGTCTGAAGTTCCAGCTACTTGGGAGACTGAGGTGGGAGGATTGCTTGAGCGCAGGAGGTCGGGGCTGCAGTGGGTATGATCCTGCCTGTGAATAATCACTGCACTCCAGCCTGGGCAGCACAGGAGATCCAGTCTCTAAAAACATTTAAAAAAATAAAAAAGATGAGTCCTGATTGCAAAGGTTTAGGCAAGACTGACTGGTCTATCTGCATTTTTTTCCTAAGATCACTTATCCGGTTCATAAATGATGTGGCTGCAATCATTAAGTAGTACAGAATGGCCAGCTGTGACAAACATATCATCATTATTCAACGTGGGACAGCCGTCCAGCCAGGGGGCTGAGCAGGACCTGCTCTGCCTGTGGCTGTTTCTAGATGCTTCTCTAGTCCACTTCACAACAGCTACTCTGCCCCAGCACCGGTGGCCCAGGGGTCACCTGCAGCTGCCTCAGTGCATGTCCTCACCTGTCCGCCTCTGGGAAGGGGCCGCATCCCGCAGGGAGCAAGCTGACCGCCACTTCACTGGCTCTCGGCTGCTTTCAGGCATAGAGCCTGTCTCATGCTGCCGGTGCCCATATAGATGGCTGTGGGGGGAGGTGCCGGGGCGTCCCCTGTGCTCTGGTGACACTGGTTCCTGCCAACACCCCATTCAGACTGTGGAGCCAACTCCAGCAGGTGACATGGTGGGCCCCCTCTGAGATAAGGAGCTTCACCTGCCTGCTACAGGGTTCCGGCCGAGACCAGGGCGGGGAGTGAGAACAGCCCCACTCAGGGGCCTGCAGGGGGAAGCAGGAGGCAGGTGCTGTGGGACCCTGCCTGCAGGCCCCTCTGCCCACAGAGTGGGCAGTGCCTGGAGCTCACCCTCCCTCTGCGCCTTCCAGAAATCAGCTGCACATGGCATTTCCTTGATCCTGTAGAAAGCTGGGATTCCTTAAAATGTTGTTTCTAGTAAACTTCTTTATGATAGCTAACTTTTTTTTTTTGAGACAGAATCTCTGTTGCCAAGGCTGGAGTGCAGTGGTGCGATCTCGGCTCACTGCAGCCTCCGCCTCCCGGGTTCCAGCGATTCTATTGCCTCAGCCTCCCAAGTAGCTGGTATTACAGGCGCCCGCCACCATGCCCAGCTAATTTTTGTATTTTTAGTAGAAACGGGGTTTCACCATGTTGGCCAGGCTGGTCTCATACTCATGACCTCAAGTGATCTGCCCACCTCAGCCTCCCAAAGTGCTGGGATTACAGGTGTGAGCCACCGCCTGATCACCTGAGGTCAAGAGTTTGAGACCAGCCTGGCCAACATGATGAAACCCCGTCTCTACTAAAAATACAAAAAAAAAAAAATTAGCCAAGTGTTGGGGCACGTGCCTGTAATCCCAGCTACTCGGGCGGCTGAGGCAGGAGAATCTCGAACCCGAGAGGTGGAGTTTGCTGTGAGCCAAGATCAAGCCACTGCACTCCAGCCTGGGTGACAGAGCGAGACTCTGTCTCAAAAAAAAAAAAAAGAAAAAAAAAAAGAAAAGAAATAAAATTGATTTGGAGGGCCAATCTAAATAGGTAAAAGGATTTCCTGTTTTAAATTTGTGCTTCTTTAATTTTGTGTGTATGTAGGGGGCTTACTGTGGGGCCACTTGTATTTTATCGTCATGTCATTTTCCTGCTGAGTCTTTAATGCATCGGGAAATGATCTAGTGAAAAAGAACAAATTAGGGATCTCGCTTTGTTGTTTCCCAATAGTTGGCAGCTGACTCAATACTCTTTATTAGGCATATGTGCATAAATAGTAAAGTATCTATTTACATTTAATTTATTAGTTAAATGACACGTACGTATTTAAAATCTTATAACAATATATTGAGTTGGAAGTAATAACTTTTGCTCACATTTTATGAAACAGTTGATTGAAGCTCTTCCCAGGCCTGCTCCTTGACCTCGGTTCCCTGTTTACCACAGTGGGGTCTTCCAGGAGCCTGGAGAGCAGTTGATCGGACACAAGGCTTTATACTCAGACTCAGGTACAAGGCAGCCCCATCTTTTCTAGGAAAGAGAAAAGGGAAATGGACTTTTATTCAGGGATCTCTGCCCTTTGCTTTGTCAGTTCCTTCAGCAAGAGTCTGTGGGGAGTACATGCTATGTATCTGTAGATGACTTTCTAGAATGATGGTTTAGCTGGAAATAGAATTTTCTGTATGTTGACATTTTTCTACTACTTTTTTTTTTAAAAGAGATGGGGTCTCGCTCTGACACCCAGGCTGGCATGGTGGTGCCATCGTAGCTCACTATAGTCTCTATTTCTTGGGCTAAAGCAATCTTCCTGCCTTAGCCTCCCAAGTAGCTGGGACTACAGATGCATGCCATCATGCCCGGCTCAACTTCTTTTCAAGATAATATTCTTATGTCTTCAGAGAGGTCAGCCATCAGTCTGATCTCAGTGCCTTTGGGGAAGCTGTTTTTTGTTTTGTTTTGTTTTGTTTTTGAGATGGAATCTTGCTGTCTGTTGCCCAGGCTGGAGTGCAGTGACATGATCATGGCCCAGTGCAAACTCCACCTCCCGGGTTCAGCCTAGCTAATTTTTTTTTTTTTTTTTTGTATTTTTAGTAGAGACAGGTTTCACCATGTTGGCCAGGCTGGTCTCGAACTCCTGAGCTCAAGCAATCCACCCGCCTTGGCCTCCTGAAGTTCTGGGATTACAGGTGTGAGCCACTGCGCCCGGCCTGGGGAAGCTGTTTTTAGACTTTTCTCCCAATCTGTTAGGTGCTCCTGTTTTACCATTGTTGTGTCTAAGTGTGGATTTGTTTCCCTGAATCCTGCTCAGGAATCTGTATGTTTTTTAAATTTTAGGACCAAATTTTAGGTTGGTTGGCTGGTTGTTTTTCTATTCTTTAAAATTCTCAGTCATTGTTTTTCAAACACTGCTTTCTTCCATTTCTGTCTAATCTCTTCTGGAGATCTTACGGGGCATGTCAGACGTGCTCCCTGACACGTGTGTGTGCGTGTGGGGTGTGTGCGCGTGTGGGGTGTGTGCACGTGTGGGGTGTGTGTGTGTGCCTGTGTGTGTGTAAGAGCACCCCTCCCCCTTTCCAGGGGTTTCCTCAAAGGTCGCTGTCTGGAACCACTGGATGGTTTCAGTATCTTGACCAGAAGTAATTCCCATTCCATCTTTTCTCTTTTTGTTCTTGTGTTTATTTTATTGTTCTTCTCCTGATTTCTTAGATTGAATGTTTCACATTTATTTTTATTCTTTCTTGCTTAGTAATTGCATTTCTTAAGGTGAGAGTTTTCATGAGTATCACTTTGGCCAAGCCCCAGAGGTTTTGAGGGATAGTACTGTCAGTGTAATCATTGTCTCTATAGCCTGCCATTGTGGGCTTTTTTTTTTTTGACGGAGTTTCACTCTTGTTGCCATTGTAGAGTGCAATGGCGCGATCTACAACCTCCGCCTCATGGGATCAAGCAATTCTCCTGCCTCGGCCTTGAGTAGCTGAGACTACAGGCATGTGCCACCACGCCCGGCTAGTTTTGTATTTTTAGTAGAGACGGGGTTTCTCCATGTTGGTCAGGTTGATCTCGAACTCCTGACCTCAGGTGATCCACCCACCTCGGCCTCCCAAAGTGCTGGGATTACAGGCGTGAGCCACGTACCCGGCCAGTGTGGGCTGTTTTTCTATTTCACGAGCTACTTGTTAGGGGGAATTTCAGAATTCCTTTGGTTATTTATTAAACCAAATGTGCGGAATACTACTTTTTATTTTATTCTATTTAACAACCATATTAAATATACGTATTGATATTCTTTATAAATTTATTTATGCTCCTCAATTTGAACTGCCAAAAGCCACAAAGTGTTAAAATCCTCCATTGCTCCTGTGATTTTGTCCATTTCTCCTTCTCACCATCATGTTTTATAAATTTCAGTGCTAGGCCGGGCATAGCGGCTCACGCCTATAATCCCAGCACTTTGGGAGGCTGAGGCAGGCAGATCACGAGGTCAGGAGTTCAAGACCAACCTGGCCAACACAGTGAAATCCCCATCTCTACTAAAAATATAAAAATTAGCCGGGCTTGGTGTTGCGCGCCTATAGTCCCAGCTACTCGGGAGGCTGAGGCAGAAGAATCGCTTGATCCTGGGAGGCAGAGGTTGCAGTGAGCTGAGATCACGCCACTGCACTCCAGCCTGGGCGACAAAGCAAGACTCCGTCTCAAGAAAAAAAAAAAACAAACACAACTTCAGTGCTGTGTTACTTAGAGCAGAAATGTTCAGGACAGCTATGGCTCATCCTGGTTCATAATACAGTGTCCTTACTGAGGTTTAACTGTGTCCAGCAATACTTATTTAACTATGCGTTAAAAGATAATTTTCAGAAAGAAGTAAAATGTGGCTCCCAAATATGAAAAATGAGCATTTGTTTAGGATTGTATTCTGTTCATTAAACAATGAGGAAACTGGACAGATGCTGTAACCAGTTCCAAGGAAAGGTCAAAAAAGCACAAATCTACATGGAGTAAAAGAATCGAGTTTCAGATGGAGGCAGAACTGGTTCTGGTAGAGGGGAGAGGCAGGCAGGGCAGAATCCGCATGCCTATCAGTGGTAAAATCGCAAAGCAGCTCAAATCGCAAAGACAATGAGGGGCTGGACGCAGATAACCCAGTGGAAGTGCAGTAGACAAAGCAGTTTCTACGGAAGCTCATTTTTTTTCCCTACAGTTTCTCTGCTTTTGATGGAAAGTAATCTCAAAGAAAGGTGTTTTTTCCCCGGGCATCAGACAGGTAATGTGCGGATGTCGGATGTTGTAACAAGGCTTGAGGGAGGCACAGCTCACACGTCTGCATGAAAACCCAATCATCAGGCGGATGAACCACAAAAGGATCAGAAAGGTTGTTCCTGATCTCACAAAATGGAGCTGGTTTGTAGATGGCTTGGTTATTTCCATAGGTGCAGCGAGAGTGCTAATTCACCATCTCTGCATTCTTAAGTTTGCTTTCTTAGAAGTTTCCGTAAAGAATTTCAGATTGACTTTTAAAAGCCTCTTTAAAAAATAATTTTAGGGCAGTCGCGGTGGCTCACGCCTGTAATCCCAACACTTTGGGAGGCCTAGGCAGGTGGACCACGAGGTCCATCAGGAGATCAAGACCAGCCTTGCCAACATGGCAAAACCCTGTCTCTACTAAAAATACAAAAATTAGCCAGCCATGGTGGCAGGTGCCTGTAGTCCCAGCTACTCAGGAGGCTGAGGCAGAAGAATCGCTTGAACCAGGGTGGCAGAGGTTGCAGTGAGCCGAGATCATGCCATTGCACTCCAGCCTGGCAACAAGAGCAAGACTCTGTCTCACAAAAAAAAAAAAAAAAAAAAAATTAGCCGGGCGTGGTGGCACGTGCCTGTCATCCCAGCTACTCAAGAGGCTGAGGCAGGAGAATAGCTTGAACCTGGGAGGCGGAGGTTGCAGTGAGTGGAGATCACACCACTGCACTCCAGCCTGGGTGACAGATCGAGACTCCATCTCAAAAAAAAGAATAAATAAATAAATAATAATAAATAATTTAAAATAAAATAAATAAAAGCCTCTTGCTTGCTGTCCTGAGGCTAGAAAACCAAGCCAAGAACCCGCCAGATTTCACCTGCCCTATAAATTTGAGCAAATTCCTTTCTTAAGGTTTCCAAACTAGCCCAGGTTCCTGGGCCTGCCAGGCAATGCCCTCCAGATGCACCTGCCATCCTACAAGCCAGGCGCTGTGCCGGGTTCTCCTTGGAGGGCTTCGTGGATGTGGGCTCTGTAACATCGCTGTGGTTCCTTACAAGTGGCTGCTGGTGACTGACTAAATGGGCGTCTTCTCAGATTTGGCCTTCCATGCAGGGCCTTGGTTACACAAGAAGTATTTCCAATTCCAGTCCTGGTAAAAAACAAAGATTCTCATTGAAACTATGCAAATAACTATATTACTTTGAAAGTAAGAGTACTCAACAAGTTTCTGAATTCTGGAGGACTCAGGCCGGGAGAGTAAGATATCCCTGGCCGGGCACGGTGGCTCACACCTGTAATCCCGGCACTTTGGGAGGCTGAGGCCGATGGATCAGCTGAGGTCAGGAGTTTGAGACCAGCCTGACCAGCATGGTGAAACTCCATCTCTACTAAAAATACAAAAATTGGTCAGGCGTGGTGGCTCACGCCTGTAATCCCAGCACTTTGGGAGGCCGAGGCAGGCAGATCATGAGGTCAGGACATTGAGACCACCATGGCTAACATGGTGAAACCCCGTCTCTACTAAGAATACAAAAAAATTAGCTGGGCGTGGTGGCGGGCATCTGTAGTCCCAGCTACTCGGGAGGCTGATGGAGGAGAATGGCGTGAACTGGGGAGGCGGAGCTTGCAGTGAGCCGAGATTGCGCTGCTGCACTCCAGCCTGGACAACAGAGCGTGACTCTGTCTCAAAAAAAACAAACAAAAAAAACAAGGTATCACTTACAAATGTTCTGTTTTGATTCACAAAAGCAGAGACTACAAAATTTGTGTGGACTGTACATAGCTTCAGAGGAAAGAGGAAGAGTTCTCTATATATCCAGAAAGTAGAACATTAAAAAAACATCAGCCGTATTCTTAACAAAAGCTGTCATCCTCCACCATCGGTTCATCCCCTCCTGTGAGGTCCGTTCTTGTTCCACTCCATCTTGGTTCTTGGTCTCAACAATCCATCTGCTTCTCGACTAGAGACTGAGTCCTGGGATGGGCTCAGTGTCATCTAAATGCCGCCATCAGAAGCCTGTGCCCATGGTGCCTGCCCAGTCCTTTTCCCAGGCTCTGAGACAGTCCCTGTTCAAGATGAAGAAGCACTCTGAGCTTTCTGGGGAGCATCAGAGTAACACAAAAATCGTGGATGGGGCTGGGCGTGGTGGCTTACGCCTGTAATCCCAGCACTTTGGGAGAATGAGGGAGGTGGATCACCTGAGGTCAGGAATTCCAGATCAGCCTGGTCAACATGGCAAAGCACCATCTCTACTAAAAACACAAAAATTAGCTGGGTGTGGTGGTGGGCACCTGTAATCCCAGCTACTCGAAAGGCTGAGGCACGAGAATTGCTTGAACCCAGGAGGCGGAGGTTGCAGTGAGCCGAGATCCCACCACTGCACTCCAGCCTGGGTCAGGAGTCTTCTTTGAGACTTCGTCTCAAAAAATAAAAATAAAAAAACTGTGGATGACAAAAGACTGCACATGGCCATGGTGAATTTACCACTGCCACTTTTCAAAGTGAAAGGTCTGTTCATAGCAAGAATAATGCAACTGAGAAGGAACATTTGCTTGTCCTGTAGACATCTGGAAACAGAGTCCAAAAAAGAGTTCTAGACAAAGTTAATCCAAGACGTTGACGCTGTTTTCAAAGATGCCAGAAACAGAATATCTGATTTCTAAAACTGGATGAGCATGATTTTTACAGAGGAAATTATTTACAGATAAGTGTGAAGCTGACTATTCCATGACTATACCAAGAATATCCAGTGGAGAGGCAAAAAGTGTGGGGCAGGCGGTGGCCGTCTGCCTAGTAACACAGCCCCAGAGTGAGTGACGGTCGCCCTGCTACAAACTCTGGGCATCAGAGATGCACAGCTCACGTTAAAGTAAGGTGACACCTAAGTTAACGTAACGGCAGTGACGGGGTTTATGCCTGCTAGCTCTGGACTGCTGCCGGCTGACAGCATCTGGCAAATGGCTTCGGGACTCTAATGAAGAGAAGCGCCGTGGGCACCCGGGACGTCTCCGTGCAGCACAGCACACAGTTCCTCAGTGCCTCAGACGAACAAGTTACCTGACACACACAGCCCGGGGCAGGCCACGCGTCTCTTCCGACCCGGGGCAGGCCACGCGTCTCTTCCGACCCGGGGCAGGCCATGCGTCTCTTCCGACTCGGCAGTCTTCCCGTGGCACTCATCAATCCTAACACATCAAAGAAACCTAATCATTTCCTTAACATCTTTTTTCTTTTTACTTTTTTTTTTCGATAGAGACCTCTGTCATGCAGGCTGGAGGGCAGTGGTGTGATCACAGCTCACTGCAGCCTTGACCTCCTTGGCTCAAGAGATCCTCCCGTCTCAGCCAGGTGCGGTGGCTCATGCCTGTAATCCCAGCACTTTGGGAGGCTGAGGCAGGTAGATCACGAGGTCAGGAGATCGAGACCATCCTGGCTAACAGGGTGAAACCCTGTCTCTACTAAAAATACAAAAAATTAGCCAGGCGTGGTGGTGGGCACCTGTAGTCCCAGCTACTCGGGAGGCTGAGGCAGGAGAGTGGCGTGAACCCGGGAGGCGGAGCTTGCAGTGAGCCGAGATTGTACCACTGCACTCTAGCCTGGGCAACAGAGCGAGACTCCGTCTCAAAAAAAAAAAAAAAAAAAGAGATCCTCCTGCCTCAGCCTCCCAAGTAGCTGGGACCACAAGCGCATGCCACCACACCCCACCTTGTACCTAATTATTTCAAATACCTCTCTTTTTATAAGAAAAAAATTTTGTGATTTTCCAGGGAACTTCTAGGACATCTCATAGATCATTTTAAATATAAAAGGTCTCCTGGGGCTGGGCACAGTGGCTCACACCTGTAATCCCAGCACTTTGGGAGGCCGAGGCAGGTGGATCACGAGGTCAAGAGATCAAGACCATCCTGGCCAACAAGGTGAAACCCCGCGTCTACTAAAAATACAAAAATTAGCCAGGCATGGTGGCGGGTGCCTGTAATCCCAGCTACCCGGGAGGCTGAGGAAGGAGAACCGCTTGAACCAAGAAGTCAGAGGTTGCAGTGAGCCGAGATTGCGCCACTGCACTCCAGCCTGGCGACACAGCGAGACTCCATCTCAAAAAAAAAAAAAAGAAAAGTCTCCTGAAAGCTTTATTTTATTTGACATTTAGAATTCAATTTTGAGAAGGAAAAAAAAATGTCAGGAGATTTGAACATTAAGACTCATGGGTACCTGAGAAATAATATTTAGCTACCCACGTGAAAGTGACAAAAAGCTTAAACATAGGAGAGAACAGTTATAGAGAAACTTAGCTCTTTCATAAGCATGGGAAGCTTTGTTTTCTGAAACCATCAAGACATAATAAGTCAACAAAAGCACGGAAAATTACCCTGGTAAGACAGCACCTTTGCTGTCTGAACAGATTACATAGAAAGTAAAGAATAACCCTTCATAGTTTAGGGGAAGTCAATAAATAGTAAACGAAGGAAGGCTGGGTGCAGTGGCTCACGCCGGTAATCCCAGCACTTCGGGAGGCCGAGGTGGGCGGATCATAGGATGCTTGCAGGAGTTCAAGACCAGCCTGGCCAACACGGTGAAACCCCTTGTCTACTAAAAATACAAAAATTAGCCGGGCATGGTGGCAGGTGCCTGTAATCCAAGCTACTGAAGAGGCTGAGGCGGGAGAATTGCTTGAACCTGGGAAGTGGAGGTTGCAGTGAGCCAACATCACACCACTGCACTCCATCCAGCCTGGATGACAGAGCAAGACTCTGTCTCAAAAAAAAAAAAAAAAAAGTAGTACACCAAGGAAACAAACCCATCAAAATTGGGCTAACTTTGCTAAGATTTTAACACATTTCATGGCTTTTTAAAAAACTAGCTTTCTTTCAACCAAGTAAGGATTGAGAAAACAAGACCTAGCTTTCAGCTGGGTGCAGTGGCTCATGCCTCTAATCCCAGCCCTTTGGGAGGCCAAGGGAGGAGGATCACTTGAGGCTAGGAGTTTGAGACTAACCTGGGCAGAATAGTGACACCCTGTCTCTACTAAAAAACAAAAAACTTGGCTGGGTGTGGTCCCAGCTACTTGGGAGGCTGAGGTGGGAGGATCGCTTGAGCCCAGGAGGTGGAGGCTGCAGTGAGCCGCGATTGCACCACTGCACTCCAGCCTGGGTGACAGAGCAAGACTCTGTCTCAAAAAAACTAGTTTTCTTTTTTTTTTTTTTTTTTTGGTACTATACATATAAAATGTACTGTTGAAAGCTCATGAAGTATACAAAGTATACAGTTCAGTGCATTAAGCACGTCAAGAATGTTGTGCGAGCATCATCATTTGTTCCAGAATTCCTTTCACTTCAGAGGAAACCCCACACTCATTCGCAGTTGC
Organism: Homo sapiens; assembly: GCF_000001405.40. Lineage (NCBI taxonomy): Eukaryota > Metazoa > Chordata > Mammalia > Primates > Hominidae > Homo > Homo sapiens. The sequence goes on along the minus strand of NC_000017.11, from coordinate 82,136,424 downwards.
TTCCTGTCCCCCGCCCAGCACCCACATTCTGCCTCCATGCCTTTGCCTGTTCTGGACGTTTCACTTCAGCAGGATCCCACAGGATGTGTCCCTTTGTGCCTGGCTTCTTTCCCTCTGTGTCCTGTTTGAGGGTCCCTCGTGCTGGGGCGTCTGCACTTAATTCCTTTCCATGGGAAGAGCTCTTTGCTGGGGGACAGGCCACTGTAGGCATTTGTCCATCAGTTTGATGGACATTTGGATGGTTTCCGCCTTTGGGCTATTGTGAATAATATTGCTGTGAACATTCAGTTCTCTTGGATGCCTCCCTAGAAGTGGCCTTGCTGGGTCATGTGGGAATTCTGTGTCTAACCTGGTAAGGAGCCACCAAACCGCCTCCCATGCCCACCAGCTGCGCACGAAGGTTCTGATTTCTCCACATCTGCACCAGCACTTGCTATTTTCTGTCGGGGTTTTTTTTAATTAAGAATACTTTTATTGCATATCTTTAAAAACTTTATTTTTTTTATATTTAAAAAAATTTCTTTTAAAAATAGAGGTGGGATCTCACTGTGTTGCCCACGCCAGTATCCAACACCTGACATCAAGGATCCCCCCCACCCGGCCTCCCAGTGTGCTGGGGTTACAGGTGTGAGCCACCGCACCCAGCTGTTTTCTATCCTGTTGATCCCAGCCAACCTAGTGGGTGTGAGGCGGGATCCCATAGTGGGCTTGATTTTACATTCTCCTGGTGACCAATGGTGTTGAGTGTCTTCAGGAGGTTTTTGCCCACACGTGCATCTTCTGACTTCATGGCTTTTAAATTCAGGTGTTTATAAACCAAGGGAAACACGTTCATTTCCAAGTGTCATCTTTGGGTTCTTTTATTGCGTAGAAGAAACTGATGCTTTACTTGAGGGCCCATCTCGGGATGTCCACAGGGCAGAGCTAATCCTGCGATGCTCCTCAGATGTTGATCATAAGCAATATGTTCATCATGGCTAACTTCAAGTTAATTGATAAAAAAGCTTTAAAATTTTTCTGTTTTGACCAGGCACATGGCTCACACCTGTATTCCCAGCACTTTGGGAGGCCAAGGCGGGCAGATCACCTGAGGTCGGGAATTCGAGACCAGCCTGACCAACATGGAGAAACCCCGTCTCTACTAAAAATACAAAATTAGCCGGGCGTGGTGGCGCATGCCTGTAATCCCAGCTACTTGGGAGGCTGAGGCAGGAGAATTGCTTGAACCCAGGAGGTGGATGTTCTGGGGGTGTCGAGATCGCGCCACTGCACTCCAGCCTGGGGGACAAGAGCGAAACTCCATCTCAAAAAAAAAAATGTCTGTTTCAATTTCCAATATGTGAAATGTCAACAGTTATAAACACCCTCCAAAAACCTTGTTGGAATCCTCAGTGAGTTTAACGAAACTGATTTGTAATCCTGGGAAATGTTATTTCAGTAATTATGTCTTCTGATGTGTCTGCTTAGAGAAGGAGCAGATCTTTACATAACATAACATGAATGGAATTGATGAAAGGATCTCGTTTGATGTGGGGTCATTTCTAAGTAAGCTAGCATGCCGAAGCTTTGAGTAGAACCATCATTTTTAAGTTGTTATACTTAAGCTTTTGCTTCTTTTGTTTGTTTGTTTGCTTGCTTTTTGAGATGGAGTTACCCAGGATGGAGTGCAGTGGCATGATCTCGGCTCGCTGCAACCTCTGCCTCCCGGGTTCAAGCAATTCTTCTGCCTCAGCCTCCCGAGTAGCTGGGATTACAGGTGCCCACCACCACGCCCAGCTAATTTTTGTATTTTTAGTAGAGACGGAGTTTCACCATGTTGGCCAGGCTGATCTCGAACTCCTGGCCTCAAGTGAGCAACCTGCCTCAGCCTCCCAAAGTGCTGGGATTACAGACGTGAGCCTCCGCACCTGGCAAGTTTTTGCTTCTTCTTTGTGCCTGCCACAGAAAGGGCGTCTGGGTGCTTCTGTTAGCGAATGTGCTTGCTGCCCCCGCTGTGAGGACAGCAAGGGCTGTGTGTGGCAGGGGCGTGGCATTGTGTGTGCAAGAGCTCTACCGAAATGCTGTGTGTCACAGTTCACTGTTGTCCGGCCCTCCCCAAGTTCTCGATGTAATGGAAGTTACTTTGGTTTTGAAAAGGAACATGCTGTTCTTTCTGAGTGTTTGCATTCAACACAAGAGGAATCCAGAAGTGATGCACAGAGAACAAACTCTGTCCCCATCCCATTCCCAGGGTGGCTGTTGCACCACGCCCTCCCTCCTGCCCCTGAGGCCCGGAAGCCAGGCGAGGAGCCCAGGAGGCCTTTGGATCGCAGCCCACCTTTGGGACAGGTGCAGCCCCATTTTACATCTCAGGTAACACCCCTTCATCTAAGACATGCATTTTTAAAAATATTTCCCTAATTGTGTCGTTTTCATTACAGAAACTTCAGATTACAATAAACACAATATAAAAAGCCTCCAATTTTCAGGATCCAGATATAGTTATTAGTAACATTTCAATGTGTTTTCTGCTGGGTTTTTGTTTTGTTTTGGTTTGGTTTTGGTTCTCATTTGTTTGTTTGTTTTTTGAGACAGTCTTGCTCTGTTGCCCAGGCTTGAGTGCAGTGGTGCAATCTCGGCTCACTACAACCTCCCCCTCCCGGTTCAAGCAATTCTCCTGAGTCAGCCTTCCGAGTTGCTGGGATTACAGGCATGCACCAACACGCCTGACTAATTTTTGTATTTTTAGTAGAGATGGGGTTTTACCATATTGGCCAGGCTGGTTTCAAACTCCTGACCTCAGGTGATCCACCCGCCTCTGCCTCCCAAAGTGCTGGGATTACAGGCATGAACCACCGCGCCCAGCCCCCATTTTTTTTTATTTTTTCATTACAAATTGTATCATGTATATGTTTTACTATAGCTTTACATATCTGGGTACTATTTTTTTAATCTGGTATGATAAGTGAAAAAAAAACCAAAAACTTCTATTTTTTTTTTTTTTTTTTTTTTTTGAGACAGGGCCTGGCTCTGTCACCCAGAACCCAAAAACTTCTTTTTTTTTTGTCCTTTGAGACAGGGCCTGGCTCTGTCACCCAGGCTGGAGTGCAGTGGTGCAATCACAGCTCACTGCAGCCTCGGCTTCCTAGGCTCAAGTGATCCTCCCACCTCAGCCTTCCAAGTAGCTGGGACCACAGGTGTGTACCACCATGCCTAATGGCTAATTTTTATATTTTTTGTTTAAATGGAGTTTTGCCATGTTGCCCAGGCTGGTCTTGAACTCCTGGGCTCAAGCGATCTGCCCACCATGGCCTCTCAAAGTACTGGGATTATGGGCATGAGTCAGTGCACCCAGCCACAACTTGTATCTTTAAAAAGATAGCAAGATGGCCAGGTGCGGTGGCTCACGCCTATAATCCCAGCACTTTGGGAGGCCGAGGCGGGTGGATCATGAGGTCAAAAGTTTGAGACCAGCCTGACCAACATGGTGAAACCCCGTCTCTACTAAAAATACAAAAATTAGCCGGGCATGGTGGCACTCGCCTGTAATCCCAGCTGCTGGGGAGGCTGAGGCAGGAGAATTGCTTGAACCCAGGAGGCAGAGGCTGCAGTGAGCCGAGATGGCACCACTACACTCCAGCCTGGGCGACAGAGCAAGACTCCGTCTCAAAAAAAAAAAAAAAAAAGCAAGGTTGTCTCTACAGAAAGATAAAAATAAAAATAAATTACCCATTTGTGGTAGTCCACACCTTGTAATCCCAGACTCAGGAGGTTGAGGTGAGAGGACTGCTTGAGCCCAGGAGTTCAAGACCCGCCAGAGCAACACAGCGAGACCCCGTCTCTACCAAAAAACAAAGAAGGAAGGAAATTTCTTATATCCTTAGTGGCATTAAATGCTTTAATCTATTTATTGGCCATTTATAGTTCTTCTTCTGTGGGTGATTTATGTGTGTTCCTTGCTAATTTTCCGTAACCTCAGAGCCAGTCCCGAATTCCCACTGCATCTGGCTCTTGTGTTTTCATCCTTTAACCCAGAACACTCCCTCCGCCTTTCCGTGTCTTTTTGAAAAGTCAGGCAGTGTTTTGTAGACTGTGGATCTGTCTCATGTTGCAGCCTTGAGAAGTTCAGCTTCTGCATTGATTTTGGGGTTTTCTACACAGTTCCAATGAGTTGTCTGTTCCTGAAATGGTACTATACCGCTTTAAATACTGTGGCTTTGTGACCTATTTTAATATCTGTTAGAGCAAGCTTGACCTTATTTCTGTTCCTTTACAAAATTTTCTTGGCTATCCTTTCTTATTTATTCTTTTTTTTTTTTTTTTTTTTGAGACAGAGTCTCGCTCTGTCACCCAAGGCTGGAGTGCAGTGGCGTAATTTGGGCTCACTGCAACCTCCGCCTCCCGAGTTCACGCCATTCTCCTGCCTCAGCCTCCCAAGTAGCTAGGATTACAGGCGCCCGCCAGCATGCCTGGCCTTATTTTTTGTATTTTTTGTAGAGATAGGGTTTCGCCATGTTGCCCAGGCTGGCCTTGGATTCCTGAACTCAAGTGATCCTCCTGCCTCAGCCTCCCAAAGTGCTGGGATTACAGGCATAAGAAATAACTCTTAAAACTGAGAAAAGAAAACTCTATGGAGCCAAGACTGCTTTGTGTTTCCTTTTTTATTTCTTTTTAAAATGTATTTATTTATATTTGAGACAGGGTCTTGCTCTGTCGCCCAGGCTGGAGTGCAGTGGCACAGTCTCGGCTTATTGCAACGTCTGTCTCCCAGGCTCAAGTGATCTTTCCACCTCAGCCTCCCAAGTAGCTGGGACTACAGGCATGCACCACCACGCCTGGCTAATTTTTGTTTGTTTGTTTGTTTTTTAATAGAGACAGGGTTTCACCGTGTCACTCAGGCTGGTCTCAAACTCCTGGACTGAAGCAATTTGCCCACCTCTGCCTCCCAAATGCTGGGATTACAGGCGTGAGCCACCAGGCCCGGCATGTATTTATTTTATTTATTTATTCATTATGAGATGGAGTCTCACTTTGTCGCCCAGGCTAGACTGCAGTGGTGTGGTCTTGACTCACTGCAACCTCTGCCTCCCAGGTTCAAGCGATTCTCCTGCCTCAGCCTTCTGAGCAGCTGGGATTACAGGCACACACCACCAGACACAGTTAATTTTTGTATTTTTGATAGAGACGAGGTTTTGCCATGTTGCCCAGGCTGGTCTCGAACTCCTGACCTCAAGTAATCCACCTGTCTCAGCCTCCCAAAGTGCTGGGATTACAGGTGTGAGCTAACACACCTGGCCTACATTTATTTTTCTTTTAAAAAAAATGTGGCCAGTATTTGGGCCCAGTGGCTCATGCCTGTAATCCCAGCACTTTGGGAGGCCGAGACGGGTGGATCACCTGAGGTCAGGAGTTCAAGACCAGCCTGGGCAACATGGCAAAACCTCGTCTCTACCAAAAATATAAAAAATTAGCCAGGCATGGTGGCAGGCACCTGTAATCCCAGCTACTCGGGAGGCTGAGCCAGGAGAATCACTTGAACCTAGGAGGCAGAGGTTGCAGTGAGCTGAGATAGTGCCATTGTGCTCCAGCCTGGGTGACAGAGTGAGACTCCGTCCCCCACCCCCACCCCCCCAAAAAAAAGGAGCTGGGCGTGGTGGCTCACACCAGTGATCCCAGCCACTTTGGGAGGCTGAGGCGGGCAGATCATCTGAGGTCAGGAGTTCGAGACCAGCCTGGCCAACATGATGAAACCCCATCTCTACTAAAAATACAAAAATTAGCCAGTTGTGGTGGCAGGCACCTATAATCCCAGCTACTCGGGAGGCTGAGGCAGGAGAATCGCTTGAACCCAGGAGGTGGAGGTTGCAGTGAGCCAAGATTGTACCACTGCACTCCAGCCTAGGTGATAAAGCAAGACTCCATCTCAAAAAAAAAAAAAAAAAAAAAGTTTTGTCTGGGTGTGGTGGCTCACGCCTGTAATCCCAGCACTTTTTGGGGCCAAGGCGAGCAGATTACTTGAGGTCAGGAGTTCGAGACCAGCCTGGCCAATTTGGCAAAACTCCATCTCTACTGAAAAATACAAAACTTAGTCGGGCATGGGGGTGGGCATCTGTAATCCCAGCTACTCGGAAGGCTGAGGCAGGAGAATCACTTGAACCCAGGAGGCGGAGGTTGCAGTGAGCTGAGATCACGCCACTGCACTCCAGCCTGGGCAACAGAGCAAGACTGTGTCTCAAAAAAAAATGTTTTGAGACAGGGTCTCTGCTCCCCAGGCTGGAGTGCCATGATGACATCACAGCTCACTGCAGCCTGGTCCTCCCAGGCTCACATTATCTTCCCACCTCAGCCTCCGTAGTAGCTGAGACCACAGGTGTGTGCCATCACACCTGTCTAATTTTTAATTTTTTTTTGTACAGATAGGGGGTCTCAATATGTTACCCAGGCTGATCTTAAACTCCTGGAGTCAAGGGATTCTTCCACCTCGGCCTCCCAAAGTGCTAGGGTTACAGGTGTGAGCTACCGCGCCCAGCCTAATTTTTTATTTATTTATTTTTTGAGACAGAGTTTCGCTCTGTTGCCCAGGCTGGAGTACAGTGGTGTGATCCAGGCTCACTGGAACCTAGAACTCTGGGCTCCAGTGATCCTCCTGCCTCAGCCTCCCAAGGGGTTCCTCTGTATTTTTAATAGTAAATGGTGCCATATGAGAAGAAATAAGATACAAATACAGAAAAGAACTCCTACAGATCAATAAGAAAAAGACAAATCACCCTGTGACAAACAGGCAAAGGGTCTGATCAGAAGGTACTGGGGACGAAGCCCGGGGGGCAGTGAGCATCAGGCTGTGCCCGTGATCACTGGCATCAGGGACCTTACATCAGACCTCATGCATGTGCATTCCTCGGGTGAACAGGCAAACGTTGGTAAACATGGGCCAAGTACACTCTGCATCCACTGTTGTGGGCACACTCATGGTGTGCCTGGGAAGGGGCAGGGCTGGGCTCGTTCCACAGCCTCCTTGCAGGCCATCTATTGTCCATGGCTCTGTACAGGTCCCACTGCTTTGAATTTCCCTTTCTGTTTTCCTCCATGTTTCCTTTCCATGTTCTTAGGGTTTGCTCCCTAGTGCCCCCTTTTGGCTTCCTTTCCACAGTCTTCCCTCCAGAAGGGGGGAGACATCAGGCATGGGGCGGGCAGAGGCACCAGTGATGGGTTCAAGAAGCAGGATCAGGTCAGGCGTGGTGGCTCACACCTGTGATCCCAGCACTTTGGGAGGCCAAGGCAGGCGGATCACCTGAGGTCAGGTGTTCAAGACCAGCCTGGCTAATATGGTGAAACCCTGTCTCTACTAAAAATATAAAAACTAGCCGGGCATGGTGGTGGGTGCCTGTCATCCCAGCTACTTGGGAGGCTGAGACAGGAGAATCACTTGAACCCAGGAGGCGGAGGTTGCAGTGAGCCGAGATCACGCCACTGTACTCCAGCCTGGGAGACAGAGCAAGACTCCGTCTCAAAAAAAAAAAAAACAAAAAAGCAGGATCGGCCAGGTGGTGTCACTGGGGGCCACTCGTGTCCATCTTGGGCCGGGGGGCTCTCACCCCAGGCAGGCCATGCATAGGCTGCCCTGGCCTTGCAGAGAAGGCTCCTGGGAATGAATGACTGGGGAAGCCTGCTCCATTCCTCCTGTCTGGGAAACAGGTCCCTTCAGTCCGGGCTGTCACCAAATGGTGTGAGTCTTTAATACCAGAAATGTGGGAAGGCATTTCTTCCCAATCTTGTGGGAAAACTCACTGACATGCACCATCAGTACATGTGAATACCAGAGTCCTCTCATTTAAATCCCCACGGCAGGACGCCAAGAGTGCCGAGGATGAGGCTCCTTCCAGACACTTGGGAAAGCACCAGCCCCGCTCAGCACAGGTGGGCAGCAGACTTGACGCCCTGCAAGGCCCGAAGGTGAGAGTGGCGGCGCCCGAGCAAGTGCAGCTGTGTGGGGTGTGGCCAGCAGGGAAGCCGGGGCCTGGGTGCTCTGGGCCTCTCGGAGGGGCCTTCGCTCTGCATGCCTGCCTTTGTGCCGTCATCAGGGACTGCTCACAATGGCAGGGTGAGCTGCAGAGCGTTTGCCGGGTGGTCCCACAAGGGTGGTAAGAGTGTTAGGAGGGCCCCGGGACCCCTAAAGCACATGGGGCCCACGCTGGCCTTTCCTTTCTGTGCCCCTCAGGGTATCTGCCCTGCATTTCAGCTCATTCCCCATCGAAACGAAACAGCCTCTGCCCTAGACATGTTTTGTCATTTAAGTGTTGAGACGAGCACTGAGATTCAGGCCCTGCCCACACTCAGCGTTCCCAGCGCTGAGACTCGCTCCCCGGATGCATCCCTGTCTGCAGCTGCCTCTCCTGGGTGATCCTGGGAGCATCTGCCTGGGCCTTTAAGCCAGGCCCACTGTCGCCTTACTGCTCCGAGGGGAGTGGTTGGGGGGAGTCCTGTGGCTTCCTCTGGGTTGGAGAGGGTGGCTTTCAAGACGATGATGTCTTTTCTAGACACAACACAGCATCCACACGGTGACCTGTAAATCACCTCGGCAGAAAGAAGACAGGTCCCCAAAGCCACCCCAGGCTCCCCAGCACCCTGAGGAGCATGGTCGCCAATCCCACAGCTCCTCCTCCTTTGCCAGTGGCACCCTCCAGGACATGTGGAGGTTGCTAGACCTGGGATCCAGCCCTTCTGGTGTCACCTCCCAGGGTGACTCAACTCCAGGTAGGAGACTGCCCTCCCCAGGAGCTGCCCACAGCTGGCAGCTGGCGAGGGCCACCCTCTCCGAGGGGCATGTGGAGAGTCAGCACCCTGCGTGCCTCCTGCACCCTGAAATCCCTGCACTTTGGTTGAGTAATGCATGGAGTCTCTTTACCTCTCATTTGGCACCTGAGTGTTTCCCGGGTTATGGTGCAAAGCCCTGAAGGGCAGAAACCATGCCATTTCCTAGTGCAGCACCGTACACCCGGGCGCACACTGACTTAGAATGCAGCACCGTACACCCGGGCGCAGGCTGACTTAGAATGGAGCACTGTACACCCGGGCGCAGGCTGACTTAGAATGGAGCCCAGGTGAGACGCGTGGGCATTGGTGCACTTTAGACGGCCCTGCTCCTGGGGAAGAGCCAGGTCGACCCCAGCGATGCTCCCGGGGAAGAGCCAGGCCGACCCCAGTGATGCTCAGCCTCACGGGCCAGACAAGTGTCAGCCGCATCCTCATCCTCGTCCTGCTTTGCTGCGCGGACGTTGCCGCCCTGAGACTCTTCTCTGCACCTAAGTCATAGGCCTGGTAAACTCAGCAGGTCACAGTGCCAGCTCCTGCTACTGGTCTCAGGAAGTTTTCAGAAAAGTCTGTTTGAAGGGTGCACCTTGTGAGGACTGCATGGGTCTGTGATGTAGCGAGAAGGGGGGAGGGAAACAGATGCTGCTTCGAGGCAGCTGGAGTTGCGGGACGTGTGATGTGGTTGGGGCGGGAGCGTGCGTCCTTCCTGTGTGCCTGCATGGAGGGCGTCCCCTTCTTACCTTACAGCTTCTGTCTTCCGTCATGAGGGTGTGCCTCATTCATTTAATCATTCTCTCCTTCATGCGCATTTTAGGCTATTTCCAGTCCTTTACCGTCACAGATACTGTTAGAATAGTAACCTTACAGGCTGCAGTGTGTGTGAAAACACACGTGTACGTGCCCCAGGGGCTTGCGTAGTCAAGGCTGCCCGCGTGCCACGTGTGGTGGACAGCATCGCCTCAGCCTCCGCCACCCACCCAGAGGCTGCTCCCAGCAGCAGTGTCTGAGAGTCCTGTAGCCACACGGAACTTTTGCCGGTGGCAGCAGGATTGGCATCAGCGCCTCTGCTGGGAGGTCGTGCATCTTCGTGTGTGTTTAGGAGCCACTTCCTTTCCCTGTTCTTCAGTTACCTGCCCATTTGTGTATTAGATTGTGGTCTTTCTTATTGATTTGTAGCAGCTCATTATATGTGATAGAAATTAGGCCTTTTCGGTGACAACAATTTAAATGTTTTCTCCCAGTTCTTCATGTTTTTAAATGTTTATTATGGTGTTTTTTTATGTTCATATTTTTTATTTTTATGTAATTTAATGTCCTTGTTTTTTATCTTGTCTGTTTTTTTTTTTTTTCCTTTGAGATGGAGTTTTGCTCTTGTTGCTCGGGCTGGAGTGCAATGGCGCAATCTCAGCTCACTGCAAGCTCCTCCTCCCGGGTTCAAATGATTCTCCTGCCTCAGCCTCCCCAGTAGCTGGAGCTACAGGCACCCGCCACCACTCCAGGCTAATTTTGTATTTTTAGTAGAGACGGGGTTTCACAATGCTGGGCTGGCTCGTCTCGAACTCCTGACCTCAGTTGATCCGCCCACCTCGGCCTCCCAGAGTGCTGGGATTACAGGGGTGAGCCACCGTGCCTGGCCAGAACCACTTCTTATTAACCCCCAAAGTGGCAACGGCTCCCAGTTTTCCATCGCTCACACTTCCCGCATATTCGGACTCCCACCTTTGTCATGGTGCTAAATGTTCCATGTGCTTTTGGAGCTATATCCGGACGGTTCGTTCGGCCACTCTCAGTCTGTTCACAGGCAGTTCCATTGGGTCAGAATCAGTGTCACTTCCTGGTCCTTTTACATGTCTGGCTGATGTAGGATCTCCTCTTTATCCTTCTCTCTCAGGGTTTTCTTGGTTATTTGCATGTATTTGTTTTTTCTTTTTTCTTTCTTTTTAAATTTAGTAGAGAGAGGACTGGAGGCAGTGGCTCGTGCCTATAATCTCAGCACTTTGGGAGGCTAAGGCAGGTGGATCAGTTGAGGTCAGGAGTTCAAGACCAGCCTGGCCAACATGGTGAAACCCCGTCTCTACTAAAAATACAAAAATTCACTGGGCCTGGTGGCGCATGCCTGTAATCCCAGCTACTTGGGAGGCTGAGGCATGAGAATCACTTGAACCTGGGAGGTGGAGGTTGTAGGGAGCTGAGATTGTACCACTGCACTCCAGTCTGGGTGACGGAATGAGACTCTGCCTCAAAAAAAAAAAAAAATTTAGTAGAGATGGTGTCTCCCTATGTTGCCCAGGCTGATCTCAAATTCCTGGGCTCAAGCGATCCTCCCGCTTCAGCCTCCCAAAGTGCTGAGACTGCAGGCGTGAGTCACCATGCCCGGCCTTTTTTGTATATAATTTTTAGACTTGGCTTGTCTGAGTCTGGTTCCCCCAGCCCCTCCCCACAAACACTATTGTAAGTGTTCTTAGGATTGACGCAGCTTCCCTTCTGCCTTAGGAAGGAATGGGGTTGTGTGGCTTCCGTTCCCCGTGTGCTCCAGTGCTGGCATCACGAATGTGGCGCGTTTCTCTCTGTCTTCCACGCAGCCGCGTCCCACTCCGTCTTCCTGACCCTCCCACCTGCACTCCATGGCTCTCCTCTGTGCTCAGGATTCTTAGGGGCACCGCCTCCTTGCATTTTTAATTCACCACAAAACATTTTGTCCAAATTTTCATCAACTCAATGGAAAGTTCTTCTGGAGACGTTCGTGTTCATTCGTTTGCTTGTTTCCTTTCTCCTTTTCTCTTGGAGCACTTTCGTTTCTTGGCTCCCCCCTCATTTTTTTTTTCTTTTTCTCTTTTTAGAGACAGTGTCCCATTCTGTCACCGAGGCTGGAGTGCAGTGCGGCAATCTCAGCTCACTGCAGCCTTGACCTCTTGGGCTCAAGTGATTCTCCCACCTCAGCCTCCCAAGTAGCTGGGACCACAGGGACACGCCACCACGCTCAGCTAAGATTGTTTTAGTTTTTTGTAGGTACAAGGTGTCGCTCTGTTGCCCAGGCTGGTCTCGAACTCCTGGGCTCAAGTGATCCTCCCACCTTACGCTCTCAAAGTGCTGGGATTACGGGCATGAGCCACCGTGCCTGGCCTCATCTTTAGAACAGGTAAATTTTTACTTGACTAGCTATTTGAAAAAGTTTGTATGGAAAATGAAGCCAGAACCATCTTCCAGCCCAGCAGAGTCGTGTCGTTGATTTTAGCTTTAAATACAAGTCTCCACCTATCAGGCTTTTAACAGCTGATACAGCTTCTCTCTTCCCTTTCCCCACAGATACTGCACTTTGCAGATAGGGCCTGTTCTGTTCCTGGTTCACTCTCCCTCCTCTCTTCCAGGAACGGAACAAGGTCAGGGAAGCACTTGCTGCCAGCCCATGTTCCTACTCCTGAAACAAGGAATTAGGTCCTACCCTCAGGGTGTACCCTTGCCTTAGAGAAATGCCCTCTGCTCTTTCTGGGGTCTGTAACGAGGCATCTGTATGTCTTTGACACAGCCCTTGCCGAGTTCCTGCAGCCTTTGGTAGCCCCCGCCACCACCACCAATTCTAGCTCTTAGTTTTAATGAAAATGAAGTTTGCATTTTTGCTTTTCATTATCTTTTTTTTTTTTTTTTTTTTTTTGCTTTTGGATGATTTACAAGGATAGTGGAGGAGTGCTAGCTTCATGATGCCTTCTTCAAGTCTGAAATCTGTCTTGTTTTCTGACCAATGCAGCCAAAGAAATGCATATTCCTCCAAGCGTTGCTTTGCTTTAACCATGTCTCATAAATCTCAACATCCTCATGTTTCCCTTGTCTTTCCCTTGTAGGACTTATAACTCAACTCATTTTGCTTTAACTTAAATGGAATTTTTCCTTAAGTTTCTAGATTTGTGGAATTTTATTTTTTTGTCTGTTACTGATTTCTAATATTTTTACATTCTGGTCAGAGAATTAAATTACTATGATGTTAACTCTTCTGAGAGGGAAATATTAGTTCTTAAACTACAATTATCAATCTATCTGTTTTTGTCAATTGTTGCTTTATGTGTTTTGAGGTTCGCTGTTAGGTGCATACATGTTTAGGTTTTTTGCCTTCTTGATCTTTTCCTCCCTTTACCAGTATGTAACATCCCTCATAACCCCTCATGTTGTATTTCACCAAAAAACCTATTTTGTCTGACATGAAAATTGCTATAGGCCGGGCGGTGGCTCACTCCTGTAATTGCAGCATTTGGGGAGGCTAAAGTGGGAGGATCGCTTGAACTCAGAGGTTCCACACCAGCCTGGACAATGTAGTGAGACATCATCTCAAAAAAAAAAAAAAAAAAAGGGCCGGGCACACTGGTTCATGCCTGTAATCCCAGCACTTTGGGAGACAGAGGCAGGAGGATCACTTGAGCCCAGGAGTTCTAGGCCGCAGTGAGCTGTGATTACACACTGCACTCCAGCCTGGGTGAGAGAGCAAGACCCTGTCTCTACAAAAAAAAAAAAAAAAAAAAAGTTATTAGGAGGGAAGGAGTGGTTAAACTGTGCAGTGGAACGCTACAGGTAGGTCCAGTTAGGTCAGGACAGAGAAGCAGCCCCTGCTTTTTTGCAAGGTGAAGGTCACTGGTGGTCTTAAGTGTGGTCTCAGGGGGGTAGTAGAATTTTCATTCAATCCTTCCCGGCTTGGGGAGAGGATGGGAGATGGGATGGACAACATATCCAAGAAACTTTGCTCTGAAAATCAGCAGTGAAAAGAGGCCGTATTTATGAAGATGTGGAGTCAAGAGGGGAGGCTCACAAGCTGTCATGTAAAGCCTGCCGGTAGGCAGTGGGAAATGGGATGACTCAGGAGAGAAGTCCTGGAGGAGGCAGGGGAAGGGGCTCGGTGCCCGTGTGCAGGGCTGGCCTTTAATAGGACAGAGGCAGAGGTGGGCACCGAAGCCAGAAGGTTGATTGCAGCCAGTGCTGTGCACTTGCCCAGCCTGCAAGCTGACAAGCAAGCCTGGCGGGAGACAGGAGGCTCCTGGGTCAGAGACCAAGGGCTCTGTCCACATAGCAGGCAGCTGGGCAGGCAGTGGCTGCAGGTGCAGTGGGTATGCATCTCAGCTGAGGAACCCAGGCCTGGGGACCGAGTCCTAGAGCGACCACAAGCACCTGCCCTCCGAGTCCTAGAGCAACCACGAGCACCTGCCCTCCGAGTCCTAGAGCGCCACAAGCACCTGCCCTGGGCCTGAGGGAGATGCTTGCTCCGACTTCTGAGCTGCTTGCTGGACAGACGCCCTTGCAAAGGGTCTGCAGCAGTGGCCAGGGCAGCCTCCACCGTGCGGGAGTGCACAGGCCCCAGGGAGGCTGTCCCTGGTCCCAGCAGCTGGCCTGGTGGTGGGAAACGGTTCTGGCAGATTCCTTTCATTTCCTCTTACATGCTCAGCATCCAGGCTGAGAGCCCGAGGCCGGCCACAGGCTCTGAAGGAGGAAGGAGCGGTGTAGGAGGCTTGAGAAAGTGGGTTGTAAAATGGTGGGTTGGCGCCTCAGGAAGCAGATCCGGGAGAGAGTGAAGAGGGCCACCAAGCTCTCTGTGAGACCAGGGAGCTGGTGACCACAGGAGTCACCTGGGGCCGAGGCCGTGCTGCAGGAAGGAGCGTTCCTGACACAGCAGCACACGTCCACCGAGGCTGAGAGTGTGGGTGGCCTGGGAGGGAAGGCGGGCTGGTGTGGATCAGTTAAGATGCTTTTAGCTACAAGTCACAGGACAGGATATGAAAGTGACGTGAACCAGAGCTTCCCGGCCTTTATCTCCTCGTGGTAACTGTGGAAAATGACACGCCTCACTAAAATAAGGAGAGAACTGAGGGGTCCATATCCTGAGTGCCCAAAATGGTCTCAGCAGGCGGCATGCACGGCCCCATGGCAGGACGCGCTGACTGAGGCCCAGGAGCTCATCGGAGCCCTCAGTCCCAGGTCAACGGGCCTCAGGTGGCCCCTCTGGGATTCTCTTTTCTCCTAATGGCTCCGCAATGGCTGCAGACACTCCCACCATCCCCTGAGAAGGCCAAAAGGTGAAGGGCCTCTCTCTCCTGAATCTTTTTCTTTTAATCAGGGAGGGAGAAGCTGCCCAGAGCCCTCAGCAGACCTGCTGTCCATCTCCTGGCTGTGGGGGTCATGTTGCCTCCCTATGACCCGGCTCCAGGCGCCTGTCTTAACAGAGTCTTAGACCCTGAGCCCTGTGAGTGAGGTCATGTCCTCGAGAGCCTGCTGCCTGCAGCTCAGTAGCACTGGGGCCTCTTGGCAGGAAAGCTGGGGAAGCACTGGGGGCCTCAGCAGGTGGAGGAGGTGGCCAGATGCAGGCCCTGCCATGTCCCTGCCTCCCTAGGCTGAGACAGGGTGGCTGGTATTTATTTTTTCTTTATTATTTATTTTAGAAACACGGTCTCACTGTGTTGCACAGACTGGGCTAGAACTCCTGGCCTCAAGCAATCCTCCTGTCCCAGCCTCCTGAGTAGCTGGGATTACAGGCGGGAGCCACCATGCCTGGCAACGGCTGGTATTTCTTAGCATCGGTGTTGCAATTAAAAAGCAAGCAAGAGGCCGGGCGCGGTAGCTCACCCCTGTAATCCCAGCACTTTGGGAGGCCGAGGTGGGTGGATCACTAGGTCAGGAGATCGAGACCATCCTGGCTAACACGGTGAAACCCTGTCTCTACTAAAAATACAAAAAATTAGCCGGGCGTGGTGGCGGACGCCTGTAGTCCTAGCTACTTGGGAGGCTGAGGCAGGAGAGTGCTGTGAACCCGAGAGGCGGAGCTTGCAGTGAGCCGAGGTTGCACCACTGCACTCCAGCCTGGGCGACAGAGTGAGACTCCATCTCAAAAAAAAAAGCAAGCAAGAAAGATACGTTTCAGCATAAGTCCATGGGGCTTTTGATTCACCCTGTGAAGGATTTAGGAAAAGACTAAAGTGGTTCATGCAGTTGAGTTGTTTAATGATCTGCGAAGTATCTTGATGCTTTCCTTGTGTTTTGAATATTTGAGCATGCTTAACTGAATTATCTGTGTGATATTTTTACTTCATGTAAGAATACTTTCCTTAAAACCTTGGAAACTGCGTTGGTGAAGTAAGGGGTGCCACTTAAGGGCACCGGGTTTCTGGTTAAGATGCGACACTGCGCCCTCCAGTGCACCGACACTAGGACAGAGCGCAGCTCGGCAGTCGCTCGCCAGACAAGCAGTCTGAAAGCTCCATTCTAGAAACGGAGAGGAAGTTTCCTCCTCTTTTTTAAACGTGTTCCATGCATTGTGGGTAACAGAGTATGCACACTACACAGTCATGATTGGAGTTTAAAGTAATAATGTTGCCAGGCACAGTGACTCAGCCTGTAAACCCAGCACTTTGGGAGGCTGAGGTGGGCGGATCACTTGAGCCCAGGAGTTCAAGACCAGCCTGGGCAACATCTCTGCAAAAAAAAAATAATAATAATAATAATGAAATGATACTGAAATAGTTAACAATTTAGTGGCATCTAAATTAATGACATGAACGACTATTGTAGGATATGGTGTTTAGTCACGACGTCACACAGCTGTGTTGAACAGCCATACTCCTCTTGGACCTGGGATAGGCCCCGAACCACCCTCCTGCTCATGTCCTCAGCCCTGCTTTGCCAACCTATCCAGACCCAGCAGTCACCCCGTCCCAGGGCACGGCCAACCTCTGAGGCTGGAACAGCTGGCTGGAGTCGGGGCTCCCCCATACACCCTGGATGCGGCTCTTTGGAGGACCCACCTCCAAGCCTAGCCTCCTCTCTCACCTGCGTTTTTATGACAGCCTCAGATAGATAGGTCTCCCACACAGACTGCTGGGGCCCAGCACGTCCAGCCTCATCTCCCTCCCTTCTTCCCCCAGCTACCTGCACTCCAGCTCCAGCCTGTCTGCACCTGTGGGTGCCCCCCAACCCCTGTGCACCTGTGGGTACCCCACCTGCAGACCTTGCAGCACCTGCAGGCACCCTCCTTGTTTGCCCAGCACCTGCCTCCTCCAAAGGCTGCCCAAGAGACCTGTCCCCCATCCAGCTTCCTTCCTTCCTGCACCAGCCCCAGGCCATGCCATTTTTCTTCCTAAACTTGATTCTATCGGTCTGCTTCAGAATGTCTCGGAGGGCAGGGGCATGGTCTGCAGGTGGGGTACCCGTAGGTGCACAGGGGTGGGGGGGCACCCACAGGTGCAGGGGCATGATCCTTGATTCCTGTCTGCTCCACGTACAGGGAGATAACTGTGAGGGATGGGAGCATGGGAGGCCCCGAGTCTACAAAACCCAGGAGTCTCAGAAGATGTTAGTCTCAGATAATGCTAGAGAAACTACCAAGCATTATCCAAAAAAATGTTTGAGGCTTAAAAAAATGACACTTCCTGGATGGAAGCATTAAATATACAAAGGCAGCAGTTTTCTCCAAAGTAAAGTAATCTGTAGTGTCATTCTAATCAAAATACGACTAATTTCTCACCACCCCCACCCCCACCCCTGCCCCCACTCCCACCCCCACCCCCGCCCCCACCTCCCGCCCGCTCAGTGGAGCCTGGTAGATAAGAATGTAGTTGTTCTCCAGGAGCCAAGGAAAGAAAGAACCATTCAGCAATTGGCAGGGTGGGAACACAGCTTACTCTGATCTCCGCTTCCTCTCACGGGGACCACACACTACCAGGCATTCCAGGGCGAGGGAGGGACTCCAAGGCAAACCACGAAAATACGCAGAAGTAGAATGGAGTATTTACAAATGGCCGGAAGAGGGTTAACCTTAGATACGGGTGAAGAAATCACAGATTTCTAAGGTAGTGTTTTTACCTGAAAAATCATCAAACTGGAAAGATATTCTTCAGCAGCACAACAAAAGTCAGCGTACATAAAAAGCGCGGCAGACTGAGTGGCACCCAGTGCGGACGGAAGCTCTCCCTAAGGCAGTTCCAGAGAAGCACCCAGGCAGATGTCTGACCTCACCCCAAAGAAATACCTGCTTCTGAAGCCGACCCCCTGCAGCAGGCCTGCCTCCACCTCCCTAGAGTGCACCTTATGGGTGTGTATCAAGTGCCCAAATGTCCTTTCAGGAGCCGGTACAGGGACCAGCCACCCAACAGTCTGTCCCACGTGTGTGGGCAGCTAAGCCCCGCAAGTTCCGGAGCACCTCGCACCTCGCTGGGGCAAAGGATGTTCCAAACCCCATCTCCGGATGCGTGGGGCATCCTGCGCTAATGAATAACACATCAGGTTTCAGTCCTGCGCTAATGGATAACACCCACATCGGGTTTCAGTCCTGCGCTAATGGATAACACCACACTGGGTTTCAGTGGACTGTGTTCCTTCTCCCTCTTCTCTTACTCCCTCCCAGTCCCTACCCACCAGGCCACAACTGCCCAGTCCCCCTGCACCCCTCCAGACTCCCCAGCCACCCTCAGAACAGAAGTGGTTTTTTAAATATATGTGTATATCCTCTTTTCTTGTCAATTGCATATCGTGGGGGCAGCTTGCTTTTTTATTTATGTCTGCAGTATTTTTTATGTCAGTACACACAGAGCCGACAGATCTTTCTGGTAGTTTTGTGAGCCGCCGCATCGGCTCACCTCCCTTTGTTTTGGTGTCTGATGTTTGTGGACACTTGGACGGCCTGTCGTTTTTAGCTCTTAAGAGAGTGAACCTCCTGTGCGTGTGCCCTGCGTGCTCACAGAGGCTGCTGTTAGATCAGAAGGGAAATAGCTGGTCAAAGGTAGGGTCAGTTTGAGTTCTGAGCGCTGTTACCCAATTGCCCCCAGGACGTTGGCCCCCTGCTCCTGGTTGCAGGCGTGAGGCACCTTTCCTCACTCAGTATTGGTGGATTTAGCAAATGGTTTGTTTGTTTGTTTGTTTGTTGGCCAATCTGATAAGTCAAAACTGATACTTCATTATTGGTTTTAATTTGCCTTTTTTTTCTAGTCCATTTTATTTTATGTATGTATTTTGAGATGGAGTCTCACTCCGTCGCCCAGGCTGGAGTGTAGTGCCGCAGCCATGGCTCACTAAAGCCTCAACCTCCCAGGCTTCTCAACCTCCCGGGCTCAAGCATTCCTCCTTCCTCAGCATTCCAAGTAGCTGGGACCACAGGCACGTACCACCACACCTGGCTAATTTTTTACATTTTGTAGACAGGATCTTGCCATGTTGCCCAGGCTGGTCTCGAACTCCTGGGCTCAAACAGTCCTCCCACCTTGGCCTCCCAAAGTGCTGGATTACAGGCATGAGCACCTGGCCTAATTTGCCTGGTTGTTGTTTGAGTCAGGATCTCCCTCTGTCGCCCAGTACAGTGGTGCAATCTCAGCTCACTGCAAACTCCACCTCCTGGGCTCAAGTGATCCTCCCACCTCAGCCCCTGGAGTAGTTGGGGTTATGGCGTGCGCCACCATGCCTCGCTAATTTTTTTATTTTTTTTGTAGAGATGGGTTTTCCCCATGTTAGCCCAGGCTGGTCTCGAACTCCTGGGCTCAAGTGATCTACCTCGGCCTCCCAAAGTCCTGGGATTACAGGCGTGAGCCATCGCACCTGGCCCAATTCGCCATTTTTAAATGATGAGGTTGGTCATTTTTCCTATCAATTGGCCATCTTATATGTGGTTTATGTGTTGTCGACATTTTTGTCCTTTTCAAAGGGGACTAGGAAAGCTAGCAACAGAAAAATGGGCGTTTGTTGTGACTTCTGAAAGTCAGGGACTCGAAGGGAGACAGGAGCTTTCCGGAGAGGGCCCTGCTGTGGGGGGACCTAGACTGGAGACCAGAGGGAGGGCTGCAAGCCTGGTTTACAGATACACATAATGGGAATGGTTCTGTGTGTTTTCCTCGAGTATTTGTTGAGTGCCTACTAAGTGCCAGACACCATACCTGGTGTCTCACCTGTGCTCAGGTCTTTAGGCTAAGGCTGTACAGCTACTACCATCCCATTGTCAAATGCAGAAATGAGGCCCAACGCTACATGGCCACAGATCCCATAGCTGAGGGTCCCAAGGCCCAGCCCTTGTTCTGCACCCTGGAGTTCTGGAAGGGACTTGTCTGATTAGAGCAGGGGGAGGGCCAAGCATGTCCTGGGGTCAGAGGAGATGCTTGGCCAGAGCTTCTGAGGAATTCGGCTGTGCTGTGGGGGTGGGGAAGACTGCATAGGAGAAGTGGGTAGGGCCGCCATGTAGAGCCTCATCAAGATTGGGGCCAGGGCTCAGTGGGCCGCCCCTGGGCCGCTCCCTGGGGGTGGGATTTGGAGGCGGTCCCTGCCATGCACCCTGTGGGTGGGTCGGAGGTGAGTGATTTTGTTTTCTTCTAGGTGGAGGCCCCCCTGCCTCCCACCCTCACTCCCCACCCCACTCTCCAGCTGCAGAGGATGGTTTAGGAGCAAAAATGGTCACAACTTTAAAGGGTGTCCCATGTTAATGCTGGCTTTTTTTTTCTTTAAAAAATTTGTTCTTTTGAAATTTATATTTGTTTCTCCACAGATTTTGAGATGTTTACTTTAAAAAAAAAAAAAAAAAAAGGTTGTGGCCGGGCGCGGTGGCTCACGCCTGTAATCCCAGCACTTTGGGAGGCTGAGGCGGGTGGATCATGAGGTCAGGAGTTCAAGACCAGCCTGGCCAAGATGGTGAAACCCCATCTCTACTAAAAATAAGAAAAATTAGCCTGGCACGGTTGCAGGCACCTGTAAACCCAGCTACTCCAGAGGCTGAGGCAGGAGAATCGCTTGAACTCGGAGGGTGGAGGTTACAGTGAGTCAAGATCTTACCACTGCACTCCAGCCTGGGCGACAGAGTGAGACTCCATCTCAAAAAAAAAAAAAAAAAAAAAAAGGTTGCATAAATTTTTTGTATTTTTGAGACAGAGTCTCCCTCTGTCGCCCCGGCTGGAGTGCAGTGGTGCGATCTCAGCTCACTCCACCTCCCAGGTTCAAGTGATTCTCCTGCCTCATCCTCCTGAGTAGCTGGGACCAGAGATGTAAGCCACCATGCCCAGCTAATTTTTAAAAACTTTTTTTGTACAGACAGGGTCTTACTATGTTGCCCAATATGGTCTTGAACTCCTGGGTTCAAGCAATGCTCCCATGTCAGCCTCCCTAAGCGCTGGGATTACAGGCGTAAGCCACCATGCCTGGCCCATAAAATGTATCCTAAGGTCGCATAATTCTGTTAACTGGCTGCTAACTCGGTTAATTTTTTTAAACTGTTTGTAGAATTAGAGCATTTCTGGGCAGTTTTGTGTGTTGAAGACACCTTGTAGCCAGGCTTTTCTCATCTAAAGATCCAAAGGGAAAGAAGGACAAAAGCCGCCCCCTCTTGCCCCCTCTTGCCCCCTCTTGCCCCCTCTTGCCCCCTCTTCCCGGACAGCCCGAATGCTGGTGGAGCCTCCGCTGGAGATCACACAGGGCTCCAGTGACTGCCCTGCTCGGCCCCAGTGGTTGCCGCAGGCTGGGGCTCTTTGCTCAGATGAAGGCCAAGTCCAAAGTCACACAGCCCCAGCTGGTGGAATCAGGATCTGAATCCAAGCCCTGGATCCAGTCCAGGCCAGAGCCTCCTCTGCAGAGAAGGTACTAGGTGCCCATGCACAGGGTGACTGCCAGCCTCGTGGAGTGGGGGCAGTGGTGTCCCTGCGGGCGGGCTTGGTCTTCTGAGGCCATGTCAGTGCCACCCCAGGGCCGCCCTCCATGGCAGTGTGGGGCCAACAAGCCTGTCTTCCCATTTTTCTGAGAGAGGCTGGAAATCCTGTTCTTTTTATATATAAAGTGTTTCCTTTTCAAAATATTGGCAACTAAGTAAATCCAAACAAAGTATGGGCCAAATCATGGCACACTCCTGCCCCACAGGTGGCCCTCCAGCTAAGAGTCATGTTTACAATTTTAGAGGTTTGGTGGGCTCCAGTGGGACCACGCCTGGGGGTGGAGTGGCTGTGGGTGAGCGTGTCTCCACTCCCACACCTCGCCACTGAGAAGACAGAGCACGGGATCGTGACAGCCGAGCTCCAGCCGCCCTCCACCTAGTCACTGTGGCCCTGCAGGGGCTGCCAGCCTCTGCATTCAGGAGCCAGTGGGCGCCGAGGACACACTCCCTCCCTCCCCTGCCTGGGGTCCTGTGCTTTTGAGCTGAGACTGTTCTGGGCCTTTCCTGAAAGGATGGTAGAACGCCAGAGTGGCATTTCAGTGTGATTGGCCTCTGCAGGACCAGCTGGGCTCCCAAGACATAAAAACATGCCCTGAGCATTTGGCCTCAGCACCAGCTCATCCTCACGCCCCCGTCCCTCCCCCCTCACCCAGCCAGAAGTCCCCATGCTGCCTCTGGCCCCCACCTCCGCAGGCACTTTTGTGCTTCTTATGACACCCAGGGCTTTCGTTCATTTCGTTCAGGAGAGCAGGTCGGGATGGCCCCGCCATGGATGGGTGAGGAGCCGGCTGTGACATGTTAAGAAACGGGGACAGTGAAGAACAGTCTGTACCTCCTCTGTAAACGCGCAGGGAACGTTACAGTCCACTCTTCCATCTGTGGCGTCACTCTGTGTACTGACGAGGGAACCCCCTCAGGGCCCAGGTAACCTGCACTAGAAGGTGCACGTCAGGCTCCTGATGGCCAAGGTGAGATGGACAGCCCAACATAGCTGCAAGACCAAGCTGCAGGGCAGGCAAGGGGGCCTTGGGGCTCTTATTTATTTACTTTATTCTCGCTCTGTTGCCCAGGCCAGAGTGCAGTGGCACAATCTTGGTTCACTGTGGCCTCAACTTTCCAGGCTCAAGTGATCCTCCTGCCTTTGTCTCCTGAGTAGCTGAGACTACAGGTGCACATCACCATAGCTGGCTAATCTTTTTACATGTTATTTTATTTTTTTGTAGAAATGGGGTCTCACTATGTCACCCAGGCTGGTCTCGAACTCCTGGGCTCAAGCAGTCCTGCCGCCTTGGCCTCCCAAAGTGCTGAGATGACAGGTGTGGGCCCCACGCCCAGCCTGGCGTGGAGTGGAGCCCTTCACCCAAACATGAACCAGGAGGCGAGCTTGGTAAGGAGCACGTGGGCTCCAGGAATGCGAGGGGGAATGAATGGAGGCAGCTCCTCAGTGTGCAAAAACATGCAGCGCGGGCCTCACTGGTCACCATCACAGCAGCCTTGCAGTGGGATCAGGACAGTCCTGCTGTCCAGGAAGGAGAGGACCCTGCTCTCTTGTTTCTCACTACCTGCTCCTGTCGTTCTAGTCCCATTGCTGCTCTCAGGACAAGCTGTGACTGAGAGAGCAGGTCACGCTGGTGACATTTTATGAGGCTGGATGCACAGCCCCACAGCACCTTGTCACTGAAGCTACAGGAATCCAAGAACCAGTGCTCTGGCCAAGAAGGGAGCACTGGGGTGCCCTGAATGGCACGGACAACCCCAGCCCCCCGCCTTCACTGATTATCATGACCTGTGGCTTCTGAAAGGACAGGGCAGTCTTGGAACTTTCTGAGAAACAGATGGTCAAGTAGATGTCTGTTAGCTCTTTTCTTGAAATTGTAGTGACGAAACCATGACTGCCACTTAGGAAAGTAACTTGTGTTGAAATAACTTTTAGAACAAAGTAAATACATTAAGAAATAACCAAATCGGCTTACTTTCTGATAATATTTATTCTATGCCCACACAACGGCTGGCACTCACTTCTGCTTCTGGCCAGGCCGTAGTTACAAGGACCAGACTTTAATGTTCCTCCATGAACAACTAGAAAACTGGACAAAGTATATGAAACAACTGTTTGCAGACATTGGACAACTGGTCAAACAAGACCGAGATCCCCAACAAGACCGAGACCCTGGACGAGTCCGAGATCCCGGACAAGACCGCCACCCTTGTTGGAAGGGAGACAGGCAAGGTGAACCCTGGGGCCCTGGCCTTCTGCCTGAAGGCCGTTTCTGGGCTGCCGGCACAGGGAGGGAAGCAGGGCCTGAGCAAAGCTGAGCACCCTTACGGAGCTGAGACTGCACTAGGGTCTGGGGACACAGAAGGAGCCGGCATTTCAGGGCAGAATCCCGCAAGGAGGAAACTGCAGAAAAGAGCTCCAGAAATCTGCACAGGGTTCTCTTGAGTCTGTACTGAGGACCAGCCTGTACATGTATAGAAGAAAACTCCACAAAGCCAGGCAAAGAGGAGAAAGGAGCATGTAAGGTGAACAACTTCCAGACCTCGCACACGGTCATGACATACTGAAGCTCCAGCCAGGGGGATGGGTCCCCAGTGATCACTGTGGACATTCAGTGGAGACTCAGGAGGAGCCACACCGTGGGAACAGGGCTGATGCTGTCTGCAGTGAAGGCTCGTCTAGAACCTGCCTGAGAAACTGCAGCTACAGAAATCCAAGGCCTGGCATGGCGGCTCACGCCTGTAATCCCAGAACTTTGGGAAGCCGAGGTGGGCAGATCACCTGAGGCCAGGAGTTCACAACCAGCCTGGTCAACTTGGTAAAACCCCGTCTCTACTAAAAATACAAAAATTAGTCAGGTGTGGTGGTGCATGCCTGTAATCCCAACTACTCAGGAGGCTGAGGCATGAGAATCACTTGAACCTGGGAAGCAGAGGTTGCAGTGAGCCGAGATCGCGCCACTGCACTCTAGCCTGAGTGACAGAGCAGACTCCTGTCTCAAAAAACAAAACAAAACAAAAGAAAAAACACCACATAACCCAACTTTCACCCAAAACAAGGCCCAACACTCTTTAAAAGACAAGAAGGCGAGCACCATGGCTCACGCCTGTAATCCCAGCACTTTGGCAGGCCAAGGTAGATGGATCACTTGAGGTCAGGAGTTCACAACCAGCCTGGCCAACTTGGTAAAACCCCGTCTCTACTGAAAATACAAAAATTAGCTGGGCATGGTGGCAGGTGCCTGTAATTTCAACTACTTGGGAGGCTGAGGCACGAGAATCACTTGAACCTTGGAGCTAGAGGTTGCAGTGAGCCGAGATCGCACCACTGCACTCCAGCCTGGGTGAAAGAGCAGACTCTGTCTCAAAAAACAAAAACAAAAAACAAGAAAACATATAACCTAACTTTATTTCAAAACAAGGCCCAACATGCTTTAAAAGATAAGAAGACTGGATGTGGTGGCACATGTCTGTGGTCCCAGCTGCTTGGGAGGCTGGGGCAGGAGTATCGTTTGAGCCCGGGAGGTTGAAGCTGCAGTGAGCCACGATCACGCCACTGCGCTCCAACCTGAGCGACAGAGCAAGACAGCCTCTCAAAAAAAAAAAAAAAAAAAGGGCCCTAGGCACTTTGAGAGGCCAAGGTGGGTGGATCACGAGGGTCAGGAGATCGAGACCATCCTGGCTAACACAGTGAAACCCCGTCTCTACTAAAAAAAATACAAAAAAAATTAGCTTGGGCATGGTGGCGGGCACCTGTAGTCCCAGCTACTCGGGAGGCTGAGGCAGGAGAATGGCGTGAACCCAGGAGGCAGAGCTTGCAGTGAGCCGAGATCGCGCCACTGCACTCCAGCCTGGGCAACAGAGCAAGACTCCGTCCCAAAACAAAACAAAAACAAAAAACAAACAAACAAAGTCTGTCTTTGATTCTGTTTTTGTGCTGAGGAGATGATGAGGCTGTCTTCTGTCTATTTCTACTCCTGCACATATGCTCTTTTTTCTTTTCTTTTTTTTTTTCTTTGGCTCACCGCAACCTCCACCTCCAGGGTTCAAGCGATTCTCCTGCCTCAGCCTCCCGAGTAGCTGGGATTACAGGCATGTGCCACCATGCCCAGATAATGTTTGTATTATTAATAGAAACAGGGTTTCTCCATGTTGGTCAGGCTGGTCTCCAACTCCTGACCTCAGGTGATCCGCCCGCCTCGGCCTCCCAAAGTACTGGGATTACAGGCGCGAGCCACCGTGCCCGGCATAAATAATTCATTTTATGATTTTCTCTATAACCAAAAATTATTCAGTAGTAGGTTTTACAATTTTGAAGCAGAAGCAGGATGAGAGGTTTTGATGTTGGTTTCAAATTTTATTGTGTTACATTTGAAATGAATTGAGACTTGCTCTGTGGCCTGGTATGATGAGATTCTAGGCATGGTCTGTTTGCCGAAAGAGAAAGTGAATCATCTACCTGTAAGGTTAGACCTCCTGTGCCTCATGACTCAAGCCAACCAGTCCCCGTTGATGAATGAGTTTTTGCCAGGAGGACATGGGTTTGTTTGTTTTTGAGGAACATGGGTGAGTTAACAGCTTCATCTACTCTCAGTTACCTCTTTCCTGCAGCTCTGTCCGTCAGTACTTGACATGTTTTGAAGTTGTACCTTTTTATTTATTTTTTTCTTTTTTCTGCATCTGAAGTCTTACCTTTTAAAATACAGAGTTCTGGCCAGGTATGGCAGCTCACGCCTGTAATCTCAGCATTTTGGAGGCCGAGGAGGGTGGATCACTTGAGGTCAGGAGTTCAAGACCAGCCTGGCCAACATGGTGAAATCCCATCTCTACAAAAAATACAAAAATTATCTGGCCGTGGTGGCAGGCACCTGTAATCCCTGCTACTCGGGAGGCTGAGGCAGTAGAATTGCTTGAACCCGGGAGGTGGACATTGCAGTGAGCTGAGATCACACCATTGCACTCCAGCCTGGGTGACAGAGTGAGACTCTGTCTCAAAAAAAAAAAAAACAGACTTCTTTGCCTCTTATGACGTTTTCTGCCTAATTCTATTTTATTTTTTAATTTTTACTTTTTCTGTCTTTTTAACTGGATCTTTTATTGTTGGATCTTTTGTTTTTTTCATTTTTTATTTTTTTGAGACAGAGTCTCACTCTGTCGCCCAGGCTGGAGTGCGGTGGCGCGATCTCAGCTCACTGCAAGCTCCGCCTCCCAGGTTCACACCATTCTCCTGCCTCAGCCTCCCGAGTAAGTGGGACTACAGGTGCCCGCCACCACGCCCGGCTAATTTTTTGTATTTTTAGTAGAGACGGAGTTTCACCTTGTTAGCCAGGATGGTCTCTATCTCCTGACCTCGTGATCCACCTGCCTCAGCCTCCCAAAGTGCTGGGATCACAGGTGTGAGCCACCGCGCCTGGCCGGATCTTTATTTTTAAAAAGTTCAATCTAAGAATTCTTTTTCATTAGTCAGTTTACTCATCTATAAATATCCATTGAACTATTGTCTACTGGAACTTAATCTCCATATTATTTATTTTCCATTTGTTTCATTTTCCTACATTCTTGTTTTACATGGGAGAAATCAAGTTTTTCTCTGCTGTTTTACAAGTTACACATTCTAATTTTGTCCTGTGGTAACATCTGCCAGCTCACACCGGGCTCACAGAACCTTATGCCTCGCAGCCGCCTCGTAGGCCCCTCGCAGGCATGCGCTCCACACGCCCCGCTCTGCGCCACCCCAGCCCTGGAGTCTGAGCTCTCCTGCGGGGCGCTGGGGCCACTTGGTTTCCTGTCCATGTCTTGCTCTCTTATGGCTTCTTCTGAGCTCTTTCTCCTCCTTCCTTCAGTGACTCCCCCAACACTTTCTGTGTGGGCCTGGGATAGAACGAGGCTGCATATCCCGCCTGTTTAGGAAGCCCTGTGCTTGTATCCCTGTAGGTATTTGGAGGTTTATGTTTAACATGTTTTGATATGAAGATGTAGAAGGATTTTGTGTAGGTTTGGCCTTATCCATATTCTGTCTTCATCGGCCTCCTCGAAGAACTTCATTCTGTCCTAAAGGAAGCAGTCGCAGCTTAAAGAGTGTGAGCACGCGCCCACTCCCCACAGACACACCCGGCCTGCCCCGCCCCACGCTGCCCCTGCCCTGGAGAAAGCGAGGCTCCTTCCTTTCCTGGAGACGCCGGCCACAGTTCTTCAGTGAAACGCTTCACTCTCTGGTCATAGAGGTAGGAAACTATAGCTGTCCCAACTAAATGTCAGGACGAATTAGCCCAGCTGGTCACGCTCACAGTCACCGCCTCCACCAGAACTGATGCGGACCCCTGGGAACTGAGGTGTTTGCTCTGTGACTTGGGAAGGACAGCGGAAGGTATTTCCGTTTAGCTCTTGTGGTCAGATTTTTTTGTGAATGAAAATCTGCTGTGCGTCTTGGACACCGTCACATGCACTACCCTGTGTATTTCCCTTTAAAACTCAGAGCCAGCGATAACATGACACCAATGCAACACAAGCAAGAGAGATCCTGCCCTGAAACTCACTGTTGTTTTAGGCTTTCGGCGGACCCTGCTATAAATATGCAGATTTTATGCCCAGTCTGTGACCAGGGCCGAACCTCTTTCCTGAGGGGCTGGGGGACTCCTTCGAGGAGCAAGAACAGCCCGGCTGTCCACAGAGGAGCCCGTTTTCAGGGGTGGGATCACAGGTCAGGTGCTCTCTCAGCACAACTCCAGGACCCGGGCAAGCCATGACACTCATCTCACTAGGAGGCAGAGCGCCAGAGCGGCCGCAGGTCACTCGTCTCTGCCACTTGCTCTCCGAGTGCTCCAGAGTCAAGGACTGCGGCCTGGCCAAGGGGACAGTGGCCTGTGGCCTCTGACTCTGAGCTTGGAGAAGGCTTGCTGCTCCAACATCACGTGGACAGAGGCAAGGAGGCACGTGGGATTGGGAATGGGGATAGAGACCAGCCTGCCCCAGGAGCAGGTGGGTCCACCAGAAATGCTCATGCATTTGCTGACCAGGACTTCCATCCTGAGGTGTGTGCAGAGTGATCCAAAGCCCCCTCGTCCGTGCCGTGACTCTGGGCCCTGGAGCCCACCCCCTTTCTTTAGAAAAGCCTGTTCTGTAGGCATCTGTCCTGAGAGCACCCGATGGCACTGTAGGATGCTGAGAGCAGCTGAGGCAGGAGGGCCGGCGGCTGTTCCCTCCCAGAGTCCCATCTCAGGTGGACGCCGGTCCACGACTTCCAGCCCAAGGGCTAATGTGTCTTCTCCAGTCCACGTGGCAGGTGTTGCCAGGGGAGCGGGCAGTGCAGCTGTTGGACAGCAGGGGGTGTTTCTTCAACCCAGGCTGCCCTCCTTCTCCTGTCACAACAGGGCCCCATTCATTCTGGAACCTGCAGACCAACTCCATCCGCCCATCCTCACAGTGTGCCGAGCGCCAGGTCCAGAAGCACGCACCTACCTGGGGGCCTCTTCCTCCTTTCTGGCGGGGGTCCGCTTTGGCCCCTGATGCTAACCTCGCCCCGTGTGCCGTGCAGCTGGAGTCAAACGGAGGCGCAGAGACGCCATGGAGGGTGACAAGCCACACAGCAGGGTTCGAGGCAGCCACTCCCCACTCCCCACTCCCGCGGCATCTGTGCCCCACCCGGGTGCCAAGCCACTGTGCCATGCATCCCCCCACCCCCAACCTGCTGCAGGTGTGTGGGCCTTTGCCTCTTTTCCCAGGGGAACCAAAAACCCTGGGATCCAGAGGGTCATTGCCCAGATCTCTGGAGAGCAACTCCAGGGGCCTGGTCTCCAGGGGAGAAGAGGGAGTGGGGAGAGGCCTTTGGCCAGGCATGTGGCCCTCAGTGTCCTGAGCAGGTCGGGCAGCTGATAAGTGTGTGGCTGGCGTAGCTCCTGCAGAGCCAGGCTCCCTGGAGGAGCGTGTGGCCTCCTTCCCAGCTGTCCGCCCTCCTGCCAAGACATGCAGGGAGCAGCCCTGAGACACGGGTCTCAGGCAAAGTGAGTGGCAGGCAGTGCTGTTCCCCGGGGACATGGCGGTGACCTGCTGGTCTATGGCCCTGAGATGCTAGGGTGCCCACCTGGAGCTGTAAGCTGGCCTGGCAGACCTGGGAAGGCCCCATGGGCCCCTTTTGAAAGTTCCCTTTTCATGAATTTTACCCAGAATCTCCCCTGCACACTGGCCCCTGCTGCTTTTTGCTGTCCCCAGACAGTGCCAACAGAGACCACGAGTCGTCTAAACACCAGCCCAGGCACTCAGCACTCAGTGCAGAGTCCTGGCCCAAGGGGCATGAGGCCAGCATTCCTCACTTTAGGACCAGGAAACAGTTCCCATGCCTCCGAAACAGCGGAGACAGCTGCCACTTCCTGTCGCCCCAGCTCAGCCGCTGCCTGTCACTTTCCTTCCGGGGCCTCAGGGCGTTCTCCTGCGTTTACTCTTCTGAAAGGCAGGAGAAGGGTGGGGTGTGGAGATACCCAGAGGCTGTCCAGCTCTCAGGCCACTGCCTGGCCCTGGCTCTCACCGTCTCAGCCTCCTAGTGGCCTCCTCGGCACCCACCAGCCTGCAGCCACCTGTGCTTGGGGTTCTTGGCACCTCCCCTTCCTGTGGGCTGAGCTCAGATGGGCTCTGGTCGGGAGCCGGCCCAGGAGGAAGGCCATGCGTCTCTGGGTCTCTTCTCGCCCAAGTGAGGCCTGTGTGCCCGCCTTCCGTGATGCAGCCTCCGGTAGGGACAGACCCACGTCTCTCAAAGCCTTATGCCCACGATGTGTTTCCCTTGAATTCCCTTCCTTGGGGCTCCAGCTTGCACCCCACTACTAGGTGACTCCTCTCAAGGGCTGGGATGGGGCCCACATTGGGCAACACTGACAGGCTGTAGCAGACAGGCCTGGGCAGGCTCAGCAGCAGCAGGGGACCTGCCAGTGCCGTTGGGGGAGTAGCCACAGGCGCCCAGAGGAGGTGCTGGCATGAAACAAGGGGTCAGCCTGTGGTCGGCGCCCAGGCCCCCGAGGGCCCACCTCTCCTCTGCTCCAAAGGCCAGCAGGCGGGGCCTGAAGGATCTGGGGTTTCCTGCTGGCCCTGCCTCACCAGGCTGAGTGATGGGTGGCAGGACTGCCCAGAGCCCTGGAGCATGCAATGTCCAGTACCCTCCCCTCTTGTGCATCTGCCCAGTGGGGGCTCCAGGCTCCATGTGCCAGTGAGGTGGGGAAGGCAGCTGGACATAGCAGGCCCGGAGTGTCCCCCTGTGGAGGGACCGTGGGAACCAGATCACGTGGGCCTCCCTCCCCCTGTACCCCATTGCTCTCCTGTTGTCACACTCAGTCCCACAAAGGCAGCCCCGGGGCCACGGTGACCCCCCAGGGCTGAGCTCCAGGAGCTCAGGGGTGGGGGTGTCCATTAGGAGACTTTAGCAGGTGAGGGTTGACGCAGGCTGGGGAGACACGGGTGGGCGTGGCCTGTGAGCCTCCCAGGCGTGGGGACCCTGGAAAGGTGCACGCAGCTTCTGGAGATTCGGGGTGGGGGGAGTCAAGTCACATTCACTGTCACCGTCTGCACTAAAGGCCTGGGTGCCGTGCTGACAGTGGTGGGAAAAGCCTTGTTCCCAAGAGACTTGGAAATAACTAGATGCATTTGAGAAGGGTTGATCTTGGGTGCGTGAGGACCCCTGTGGCAGCCAGAGGGGGTTCAGCAGAACAAGGGCCCTTGACACAGCAGGGGTGAACCACACAGAGCAGCGGAGGCCACAGGGAGACGGAAGGGCCTCTGTGCCACAGAATGGACTTGAGGCCTGAGCTGCCATCAGGGCCAGGCCCTCCCCAGCCCCAAGGCAGGCTCTGGAGAACCAGGGAAGGCGTGGGCTCACCGTCTGGCCCTTCCCAAAGCCCTAGGAAGCCACGTAGGTGTGCCCAGGGGCACCCAGAGAGCCCGGAGCAGCCTGGAGAATGAGCCACCAGAGGCCAACTTGGTCAAGAGCTGAGCTGAGGCTCAGGTGCAGGAGAAGAAACTCACAGGGTGGCCAGAAAGCTGGGGACCAGCTCCGTCCTCTTTGTGCTCAGAGTTCTCATGCCCCCAGGCTGAGACGGGAGTGAGGGCCGCACCTTCCCTGCAATAGGACAGGCTATGTCCTCCCTGAGATTCCACCAGCTTCAAACCTCCAAGCCGGGCTTGGTGGCCCACACCTGTAATCCCAGCACTTTGGGAGGCCGAGGTGGGTGGATCACGAGGTCAGGAGATCGAGACCATCCTGGTTAACATGGTGAAACCCCGTCTCTATTAAAAATACAAAAAACTTAGCGGGGCGTGGTGGCGGGCGCCTGTAGTCCCATCTACTCGGGAGGCTGAGGCAGGAGAATGGCGTGAACCCGGGAGGCGGAGCTTGCAGTGAGCTGAGATCACGCCACTGCACTCCAGCCTGGGCGACAGAGTGAGACTCCGTCTCAAAAAT
This sequence comes from Homo sapiens, assembly GCF_000001405.40. Classification (NCBI taxonomy): domain Eukaryota; kingdom Metazoa; phylum Chordata; class Mammalia; order Primates; family Hominidae; genus Homo; species Homo sapiens. The sequence goes on along the minus strand of NC_000017.11, from coordinate 82,104,550 downwards.
AAAAATAAAAATTTAAAAAACCCTCCAAGTATGGTGCAGCCGCCTGAGGGGACGGAGCCCAGCCTGGGTGGCCCTGCCTCAGCACACACCAGGACCTGGGAGGGGTTAAGCCTGGGAGGGGCAAGCAGGCCCCAGTCCCCCTCCCCTGGTTAATCACTGCAAGGCCTTGGATGTTTCAGGAACTTTCCAGAAGCTCAGTTCGGGGCCAGAGCACAAGCAGCCCGTGGGGGAGGGGTGCAGGACCCAAGAGGCGCGTTCCTCACGCTGTGCCCGGCAAACTGTGTGTCCACATGGTTTCCCTGCGGCCCAGTCAGCCCAACGCAGAAAGAGAAATCCCGGCCAGGCTCGGCAAAACAGGTCAGGCGAGAAGGCGGGGCAGAGAGTGGTGGAGGCCAAGAGCGTTTTTACACACCAGTTACTGGGTTGACCTCAGATTAGCATCAGGTAGAAGAATCCGGGGTCACAGGGAGTCACGCCTGGGGCAGCCGCCTTGACACATCCAGCTCCGTGCCTCTGACCTAGGACTGGCTGGGCTGGGGCTGTCCGCTGCCCTGGGGTCCTGGGCTCATGGCCAGTTCCCTGCCACCATCACTGAGGAGGGCTCCGCAGGAAAAGGACCAGTGAAGAAACCAGAGCCTGTAAAGTGGATATTCTGAGCTAGGGGCCGGCCTGCCCTGGGGAGGGGGCCAGCTCACCCTCCCTGCCCCTCCCTGCCCCTCCCTGCCCCGGGGACTGTGACCCACTCACACCTCCCTGCTTCGCCCCGGGATACAGCCAGGGTCCTCCCAGCAGGGCCAGCTCAGGCCTCCCAGGCAAAGGGGCAGGCCCTTCACCCCCCTCCCTCAGCTCACTTTTTCTGAAAATCCCCACAGGCTTTGTCTGAGGAGGATCAAGCCGGGCAAAGCCCCCAGAATCCCTGAGCATTACAGAGGGACAACCAAGGCCTCTGGGTTTGAGGAGATGCCTCAGGGTCACAGTGGAGCACTAGGGCCTGGTCAGAGGACCAGCTTCCCCGCAGGAAGCCCTTTCCACGGGATACCCCACCCTCTGCCAGCCAGTGTGGGGGGTGGGGGGAGGGAGTGGGGATGGGGGCGTTGGCCGGGACCAGGAGGTCAGGCAGGCTTATTGTTGAGAGATAAAGGGTGGTAGCCTTTGTGTGAAGAGGAGGAATTCCTCTGGGGGTTGGAAACAAAGGGAGCAGGCAGCGTCCAGGGCCCCCCAGGACCCCAGCAGGGGGCCAGGGACTGTGTGACCCCAACGGGGCTGCAGGAAAAGGAAGACTGGTTCCGGGTGTCTTGAGACCCCAAGAGTGGATCGGAGTGGAAGAAGCTGAGATGGGAAGAGGGGCCCAGGGCCAGGGCTGGGAGTGTGTGGCTGCCCCCATGGGCACTGCGCAGCCCAGCTGAGAGTGCGTCATTGCCGGTGTCCCCAAAGCACAGACGCTTCCCAGTCACCCAGGCTGCACGCAGACCACACAGGCTGGGCTCCAGCAGGAGGCGTTGGCCGCCCGCTGACCTGCCTGGGTCAGCCTGTCCAGACTGCCCACTGGGCCACATTCAGCCACGTGCTGGAGTCCTCTAGACCTCACCCCAGCCACAGTGTGGCCACGCAGTGGACGCTGAGCTCACATCTTACTGTGGGGTTTTTTTTGTTTTTTTTTTTTTTGAGATAGAGTTTGCCCTTGTCCGCCCAGGCTGGAGTGCAGTGGCGCAATCTCGGCTCACTGCAACCTCTGCCTCCCGGGTTCAAGCGACTCCGCTGCCTCAGCCTCCTAAGTAGCTGGGATTACAGGTGCCCGCCACCGTGCCCGGCTAATTTTTTGTATTTTTAGTAGAGACGGCGTTTCACCATTGTTGGCCAGGCTAGTCTTGAACTCCTGACATGAGGTGATCCACCCACCTCGGCCTCCCAAAGTGCTGGGATTACAGACGTGAGCCACCAAGCCCAGCCCTTGCATGGATTTTTAGTAACATTTTGCTGTTGTTTTACCAAAAAAAACCCCCACATTCTTAATTGAAAAAATGAAAAATAGAGAAAAACTGGCCAGATAAAGAAGATCACCTACAACACCCCTCTGCGAAGATGGTTTTAGCCGATGTTTAGGAAGGGCTATCTGGCATTTAGGCCCCAGCCTCTGTGTGTAGCGCACTCCTGGGCCCTTGGCCTGTGCCTGGCCACGTGGTGCCCACCAGCACGGCCTTTCCTTTGGCCTCAAAAGCCTGGCACTGCTGGCCCATCGGGGAGGCGGGGGCAGGCAATGTGTCTCAGATGGTAGGGACACCCGGGGCAGCCTGGGGGGAGGAGCTTTGAGTCAACCATTTACCCCAGCACCCCTGCCCCCTCCTGGGACCCATTACCACACAGCACCCCTGCCCCCTCCTGGGACCCATTACGAAATGGTCACAACAGGACCATTTTCAGAGCCACATGTCCAGGTGCCCAGTGGAGGGGCAGGCCCAGTCCCTGCCAAGCAGGACCCACTGAGCAAGGCGAGGCCACAGCTCTCTGGTCACTCCAGGATCCTTTGGCCTTCACGGACTCCTGGAGGAAAGCCAGGCCAAGGGTCACAGGGCCCCCGCTGGCCGGGAACACGGAAGTGCTGCACCTGTGCAGTGCCTGTGAGCACAGCCTCCTGCTCCCCCTGCCATCCTGATGCATGCTGTTTTTTCCTCTTTACCTGACAGAGCTCCCAGCTCCTCCAGCAGCCGACAGGAGGCCCGTCAAGATGCAGGCAGGCATTGCCACCCCAGGGATGAAGACAGCAGCCCAGGCAAAGGCCAAGACCACAGGAGCCTCCCGGTCTCATCCTGCAAAAGCTAAAGGCTGCCAGAGGCCCCCCAAGATCCGTAACTACAACATTATGGACTGACTTCCTCCCCCCACCCCGCCCCACTAAGGGGTGCTCGGGGCCTCCGCATGGTGCCTGTGCTTTCACCTACGTGTTGTGGGGGGGTGTGGGCACAGCGTGCAGGGTGGAGGCAGGGAGCTGCAGGGCAGGCTCCCAAATGCTGCTGAGGCGACCCTGCTGACTGAAGGCCTCCCTGAGCACAGGGCCCATTAAAACCAGGTTCCTCCCTGGGGCGTCTGCTTGGCCTTAGCGTTGTTTATCTGTCCTACTTGGGAAATGCAGTATCAAGTGCCTGTGCCAGAGCCTGGCCTGCCCGTGTCACCACCCACAGCCATCTGCACACCAGTGGTGTTGGGGACAGTGTGGCCTTCCTCAGAGCCTGGTAGCAGGTAGGGGGCAGATCAGAAAGCCCACCCACAAAGCAGGCGTCTCCTGAGAGTACCATGGGAGGGGCCCTCCCAGAAGGAGTGAGAGCCTTGGATCCCAGTGAACCGGGCCAAGGTGACCCCTGGAAGCCAGGTGGGCACCTGGGCCTCATGCAGGTTGGGGTGTGCATGTCAGGTGCTGGCAGGGTGGGGGCCAACCGGGGACAGCGGTCACTGCTGGGCCTTCCACGTCCACCCCCACGAAGGATAACAGCAAAATGTCCCTGCCACCTGAGTGCCCGGGGCCAGGTACCTGCAAGGATGAGAAACGCACACGTAAACTGACGCCCGTCCGCCCGGAACACACTGCACTACCCCGCCAAAAAGCACTTCCAAGAGTCCTCGCGTGTCCTCCACACGAACACAATGCTCTGCGACCGGCAGGAGGGTGACTGGGGGTGGTTCATCACACGGACGCAGTGCTCTGCAACCGACAGGACGGTGACTGGGGTGGGGGTTCATCACACGGACGCAGTGCTCTGCGACCGGCAGGATGGTGACTGGGGGGGGTTCATATCCCACCCCCACTCCTCAGGAGCCCAGTCTCTGTCCCCCGCACCCCCCAGGCCTGGTCACACTCTGCCCACAGCAGAGTGCAGGGGTGGAGGCAGCCGGTACCCAGCTGGGTGAATTGACGGGCCTTGCCATATACCCTCGGGCCACCTTTCTGAACTGGGCAGACAGCTTCTCTGGGAACACGATGGGAGAACGCTGCTCCCAGCCCTAACCTGCCGTGCCACCTTGGCAAATCGTGGGACCTTTGCAGCTTTGGTTTGCACCCCCAGTGTAAAATATAGACAGTGCCATCGGCTGGCCTAGCTCACAGGTGTGCGGGCCGGATAACCGTGACAAGCAGAGACCACACCACACAGACAAAGGCTGTGGCCCCAGGGCAGGGGCGTTTGAGGTTAGCCTCCGTCACTTGCTCCATGGGAATCCAGACGGAGTTGGGGATGGGCTGGAGGCTCTCAGTGCTCTGTGGTCTCCCACACATGTCCCCTGGAATCGAGTCACGGCCCTGTGAGGTTTTTTTGTTTGTTTCTTTTTTTGAGACAGAGTCTTGCTCTGTCGCCCAGGCTGGAATGCAGTGGTGCAATCTCGGCTCACTGCAACCTCTGCCTCCTGGGTTCAAGCTATTCTCCAGCCTCAGCCTCCCGAGTAGCTGGGACTAGAGGCACGCGCCACCACACCCGGCTAATGTTTGTATTTTTAGTAGAGACGGAGTTTCCCTGTTTCCCAGGCTTGTCTACAACTCTTGACCTCGTGATTTGCCCGCCTTGGCCTCCCAAAGTGCTGGGATTACAGGCGTGAGCCACCAAGCCCGGCCGCTGCCGCTCACTTTCTGTGGAAGCCCTCAGGGTGCTGGACGAGTCTCCAACCTCCTTGGGAGCCAGCCAGGGCTCCCCTGTAGCTGGCCCAGCCCTCGACAGGCTGCAGAGAGCAGGGCCCCGCTGGCCGCTGATCACCAGCACTGGCAGCCAGGGCCACCTGGGAGGTTTGGAGCATGGAGAGCCGGAGCTGCGTGCCCGCACGCCTGAGGCTGACACAGGGCCTCACCCTGAATCAGAAGAACCCCCGCAGTGGGGACAGCAGTGCGGGGCCAGCCCCGGCCCTGTCTTCCCTTGTCCTTCCTTGACCCTCGGTCCCACCGTGCGTCAACCACAGCCCCAGAAGGGAAAAGACGCGGAGTGGCCGCCTGACCCTCAGGCCTGCTCTCAGGAGAGGAAGGAAGCGGGACACCTGCAGAGGGGCCGGGGGCCCCAGTCTCCGGTTCCCCTTCAGCGGCCCGGGCTTGCTGAGCCCTCAAAGTAGGACACGCAGCCAGAGACACCTGTGGCCTCACAAGGCCCGCTTGCCCCCCATGGGGTGCCTGGCCCCGCAAGCGCGAAGCGGTCAGAAAAGGGAGGCCGCGCTTCAGGGCTCAGGCCGCCCAAGGGGCCACGATTCGAGGAATCACTCGGGAGGGAGGGAGCGCGCGAGGGCCGGGCTGAGCCCCCGCCCGTGGGTGCGCGCCTGGAAAACTCGCAGCCTCCGCCCTGGGAAGTGGGGCAGCGGCTCCCTTTGTCCGCACCACACCAGGTGGGTGTCCCGGCCGACTCCGCTCGCCACGTGGCCGCGCCCCTCCCCTCCGCCGAGCTCCAGCGGCCTGGAGTGCGCTCGCCCGTTCGGCCCTGCGCCTCGTCCGGGTCCCCGGGAAGCTGCTAAGGAGGGGCCGTCGGGTGGGTGGACGTCCGTCTCGGGTCTGGGTTCCCCGCCGCACCCGCGAGGAAAACCGGGGATGCGCTGCGATGACCGGCAGTAACCCCGGCCGGGGCGCCCGCGGCCGGGGTCAACGCCCGCACTTGCGCCGCGGCCCGCGAGGCATCCGGGACCGCCCCGCCGCCCGCCCATCACCCTATCGCCTAGCAACGCCCACCCGCGCGCCGCCATTGGGCCGGTGCGAACACCCCTGGCGCCCGATTGGTTGCTGCTGCCGCCGCGCCGCGCAACGCCGCGCCCTCAGCCAGCTCCGCGCGGGCAGCGACGGCGGCGTGGAGTCGGCGGCCGAAGTGCGGGCACGCGGGTCCGTCCGTCCTTCCGCGCGCCTGTGGGTCCGAGCGCCCCGCCGCAGCCGGCTGGACCCCCGGTGTGGCCACGGGGTAGTCCCCAGTGTGGCCCAAGCATTCCCATCCCGCACACGTGGCCCCGGCGGACACGGGGGTCGGGGATGGCTCGGGAGGCGCGCCGCGGGCTCGGTCGCAGCCGCGTGCGCGTCGGGGCCCGCGGGGCGGGAGGCGGAAGTCGGGGGGCGGTGGTTTCCCGCCCGCCCCGCCCCCGGCGCTCCTCAGTCCCAGCCCCACCCCCCCAGGCGCGTTCCCGCGCAGGGTCCCGGCTCGGGCGGCGGCGCGCACGAGCATCACCCCACCGGCGGCGGCGCGCCGGGTCCCGGGGCGCAGCCCCGACGCTCATTGGCCTGGGCGGCGCAGCCAAGCTGTCAGCCCATGTGGCGTGGCCGCCCGGGGATGGCCGCGGTTTAAATAGCGTCGGCGCCGGCCTAGAGGGAGCCAGAGAGACGGCAGCGGCCCCGGCCTCCCTCTCCGCCGCGCTTCAGCCTCCCGCTCCGCCGCGCTCCAGCCTCGCTCTCCGCCGCCCGCACCGCCGCCCGCGCCCTCACCAGGTACGAGCAGCCGGCGCTGGGGCCGGGGCGCGGGTCGTGGTCGGGGCTGGGCCCGGGGTTCCCGGGGTGGCCCGGCTCCTCATCCTCCGCTCTCGGGGCGCGCGTGGCCCGGCCCCGTATCCAGGGGTCGCCTGGGCGGCCTGTCCGGGTCTCGGTGTTCGTGCCCCTTCGGAGGCGCCCGGGGCCCCGCGGAGTAGGTGGGCGGATGGCGGGGGAAGGACGCCGGGGAAAGCCACCAACAGCCGCCTTCGCTTCCCGTGGGGGAGGCCGCGGACCCTGAAGGGCCTGGAGGAGCCCCCGGCTCGGCCTCCCCGCGCCCACAAAGGCGCCGCCGCATCCTCCTCCCGGAGCCGCCCCGGAGCCGAGGCCCAGCCCGAAGGGGACGCCGCGAGGGAGGAACGGGGGGGCGCAGGGGCCGCGCCGGGACCGGCCTCCCCATCACGTGGCGCAGCCCGGCCGAAGCGCAGGGGTCCCGAGCAGCCCCCGCCCGGGGCGAAGGGAGGCCGGGCGCGCCGCGGTGTTCCCACCCCCTGCCTGGCCGTCGACCCCGCGTGAATAGCAAGCGGCGAGGACCCAGCGTGCGGGCCTGGAGCTGGCCCGGGGCAGCCAAGCCTCTGTGAATCGCAGCGGGTGGGAAGGCGGCCGCCTCCCTGCCGGGACGGCCCAAGGGAGGCCGCACTGCCGAGGGGCGGCGCGCGTATCAGGCCCTGGGGCCTCGTGCAAGTGGCCAGACCAGCGCTGGCCTCCGCCCCCTCCCCCCAGGGCCGCACCAGCCCTCATGCTGGAGGAGGAGCCGGCGGCCTGGGCACCCGTTCCGGGTCTTAGGGACCTGGGCTCCAGGGAGGGCCTCCTGTGGTGTGTGGGTTGGTATGGGGAGGCAAGCGTCTGTGGGTTCACCCGCGCAGGTGAAGGGTGCCAGGCAACACCTGCGTGTCCTGGCCAGGAGTGGTTCTCCAGGTTGGACCCTGCTGGAGGGGTTGGACTGGCTGGGTCGGTCCACAGTGGGGCAGGGGCCACCTTTCCCCCAGAGCATAGGCTATCCCCATTTCGTCCCTCCCCAGCCCTGGTGGCTCTTGGGCTGGCCTGGACAGCGGGCCCCCACCCCAACACGGGTGAGCATGGGTGCTGAGTACCCCCCTCTAGGGCTCCCAGCCACCTCCATGCCCCGGCTTTGGGACCCTGCCTCTCCATTTCTTTGATGGCCCTTAGCAGGCTGGCCACCTGAGGCCTTGTCCCCATCTCAGGTGACCCTGCCTGCTCCTCACTGTGAGCCCCCTGGTGCCCTAGGGATGGCCTGGGACAAGCTCCAGGAGCCTTGGAAGGCTGAGACTCAGGCGAGTGGAAGCCGACACAGGCGCAGAAACCAGTAACTGCTGGGGAGGCCAGGGCTGCAGGGCTCCAGTGGGGTACCCCAGCCAATACCCTGAACTGAATGGGTCAGGGCCCAGAGGCGGGCCTGTTCCCAGAGCACGCAGCCCCTCCCAGCGAGAGCGGGGTCAGGGCCCAGGAACTGGCCACATGAGGAAGGGAGCCGCAGGAGCCAGGGCCCGCACGGACCCTCAGGGTGGTGCTTGGCCCCATGGGTGTCCACCTGTTCTGGGTGCCGAGGCTGTTGACGGGGGTGTCGTGGCCGGGATGTGTGGGGCACTCACACCGCCCGCCCTGCAGAGCAGCCATGGAGGAGGTGGTGATTGCCGGCATGTCCGGGAAGCTGCCAGAGTCGGAGAACTTGCAGGAGTTCTGGGACAACCTCATCGGCGGTGTGGACATGGTCACGGACGATGACCGTCGCTGGAAGGCGGGTATGTGGCTGCGGGGCTCCCCGTGCCTGGGGTGTGAAGCTCCATCTCCACCTTTGTCCTCACAGCAGCCTCCCTGCTGTGCTGTGTCCTCACCACCCAGGCACTGGCCTGAGGCCGGTCCCAGCTGCAGAGCCACTGGTCACCCATGGGCGAGGCCTAGCTGCAGCCTCCTTCCTGGACATTGCACCAGAGTGGCCTAGAAAATGCGCCCAGCCTGCCAGGAGGTTCCCTCAACGGCTGCAAGGCCAACAGGAGGCTCCCCCAATGGCTGCAAGGCCGAGGGCTGGCCCAGGCAGGGCCCATCTGCTTGTTACGGAGGAGCCAAGCTCAGAGGATGGGTGACGGGCTGGGGTCTCTCACCCATGCAGGGGGTGCGGGGGGCCAGAGCCCTTCCGGCCAGGCTGCCCCTGCCTGTGTCTGTCCTGAGCTGGGAGGTTGCATACCAGATGTGCTCCGGGAGGCTGGAGCAACTGCCCCACACCCAGTAGGCTCTTCCACAGAGCAGCTCTACCTGACAGGCAAGCTGTGAGTCAGCATGGTAGAGCCGAGGCACCAGCCCGGCAGATGGTCCCCCAGCCTCACTCCCGCCGAGCTCTCTGCTCTGCGGCCCATCTCAGGATTGGGGCTTGGGGCTTGGGGCTTGTGCAGCAGATCTGGTCGTACCAGTCCCCGCTTTGGGGCCATGGTCTTCCCCTCCTGGGGAGCCTGCTCCATTGTTTGGGCCTCCCAGGCATAGCAGAGAGTCCTCAGTTCCACCATGGCCCCTCCAGGGGCCTGCAGCACCCCACAGGGCCCCCACCTCTGGGCAGCTTCCGTCAGAGATTTAAACACCCGCCTGTCCCACAGGGCTCTACGGCCTGCCCCGGCGGTCCGGCAAGCTGAAGGACCTGTCTAGGTTTGATGCCTCCTTCTTCGGAGTCCACCCCAAGCAGGCACACACGATGGACCCTCAGCTGCGGCTGCTGCTGGAAGTCACCTATGAAGCCATCGTGGACGGAGGTGGGTCGGGCATTCGCGACTGCTGCGCCGAGGGCTCCTGCTGCTCACGTGGAATAGGCAGTGTTTTCTCTTCTTGGTTCTGGTAGAACCAGGTGCTGGCACCACCTACCCTCCCCGGCTGTGCCCCTGGCCTGGCCAACGGGCTCAGGGAGGTGTGGGCCACGGGGTAGGCCGCAGTTTCCCAACTGCACCCCAGAGGTGTCGCGGGTGTGCCCTGACCTGAGCGTACCAGTCTCCTCGCTTCTGATGTCTGGCTGGTGCTGGGGCCGGGGCCGGGGCTGGAGTGACGAGAGGCAAAGCAGGAGGTTCTTGAGGGGCCCTCCAGGCCCCCACCCCCACCAGCCAAGCAGCGGACAGCACCGGCCCTGCTGTCTCTCCCCTCCCACCCTCCCCACTACCCTTGCCCACGTCCCCCCACCCCAGGCATTTCAACCCTCTCCCGCCAGCCTGGCCCTCGCTCTGACTGGCATTTGACCTCGGACAAGCGCCACGCCGTTTTTTTATTTTTATTTTTATTTATTTATTTATTTTTAAGACGGAGTCTCACTCTGTCACCAGGTTGGAGTGCAGTGGCGCGATCTCAGCTCACTGCAAGCTCTGCCTCCTGGGTTCACACCATTCTCCTGCCTCAGTCTCCTGAGTGGCCGGGACTACAGGCGCCCACCACCACGCCCGGCTAATTTTTGTATTTTTAGTAGAGATGGGGTTTCACCATGTTTGCCAGGATGGTCTCGATCTCTTGACCTCGTGATCCATCCATCTCAGCTTCCCAAAGTGCTGGGATTACAGGCATGAGCCACCACGCCCAGCCATGCCATTTCTTAAGATCCAGGTGCTCCCTCCCCGGGCGGAGAAGGACCTCCTGAGGGGGAGGCTGAGCCCTGGGCTGCCCTTGGGTGTGAGCGGTTCACACACCCACCCACCCTAGGGCAGAGCCAGCCCACCAGGGGCGAGGAGGGGCCCTGCTGGCCGAGAGGTGGAAGCCCTTCTCCTGCGCCCTTCCTGCTGCCAGACCCCACCCCAAGACTAAGGTTATGCTCCCCGGGGGTGACCGGTGTCCCTCTCTCCTTCCCGAGCCTGGACACTTGGCCTTTGTCTCCTCGGTTCCTTATCACGGCCTGTTCTGGTGCAGGCTGCCCTTGGCGCTGGAGAGGCCACTGGCCGACGGGCTCATCAGAGCTGCCGGTGACACCAGGGGCCAAAGGCGTCGCCTGGGGACAATGCTGCCCTCTGTCCTTCCTGGAGCCACTCTGGCCGTGCCTGGTGCCCTCCCCTGGGCCCGCCTGCCCCCTCCGCCTCGTTCCCTCTGTGACCTGGTTCCTGTTCCAGGCCTCACCTGGGCTGGCTGCTGGCCACAGGCTCTGTTCTGGCCCCTCTGCAGGACACCTCACCCTCCTTAGGCCCCTTCCAGGGTCCCACTGGGATGGACCCCCCCTCACCCCAAGCCAGTGAGGCCAAGATGGGACCTTCGCCCCAGAGCCGGGTGGGTGGGTGGGCTGGCTGCGCTGTGGGGCCCGGCCGTGGCACCTTGACCACTGTTTGTGGCAGGCATCAACCCAGATTCACTCCGAGGAACACACACTGGCGTCTGGGTGGGCGTGAGCGGCTCTGAGACCTCGGAGGCCCTGAGCCGAGACCCCGAGACACTCGTGGGCTACAGCATGGTGGGCTGCCAGCGAGCGATGATGGCCAACCGGCTCTCCTTCTTCTTCGACTTCAGAGGTGGGTCCTGCCCAGCCTCCTGCGGAGGTGGGTGGCCTTCAGGTCCCCACATGCTGAGCAGAAACCACGTGGCGTGGGCTCACTCCGTGCAGTGTGTGTCCAGCCTGGTGGCAGGAGGTGTGCTCAGGGGTCTCGTGTGCTCACAGCCCCACCTGAGCCGCAGCACCCTTCCTTGCAGGGCCCAGCATCGCACTGGACACAGCCTGCTCCTCCAGCCTGATGGCCCTGCAGAACGCCTACCAGGCCATCCACAGCGGGCAGTGCCCTGCCGCCATCGTGGGGGGCATCAATGTCCTGCTGAAGCCCAACACCTCCGTGCAGTTCTTGAGGCTGGGGATGCTCAGCCCCGAGGGCACCTGCAAGGCCTTCGACACAGCGGGTGAGTGTGCGGCTGCGCGGCCAGGGCAGGCGGGACAGTGGCACAGGACGGCCCCCCGCACAGTCCCCACGCTGAGCAGGATCCTGCCAGCTCCGGGGATCCCCCACCCAAGCACCCACCCCACACCCCAGAGCTCCTCCTGGTGGGGTGGGGGCCGGCGTGGGGCTGAGCCCCGGGCCTGAGGTGCTGCTCTACCCAGGGAATGGGTACTGCCGCTCGGAGGGTGTGGTGGCCGTCCTGCTGACCAAGAAGTCCCTGGCCCGGCGGGTGTACGCCACCATCCTGAACGCCGGCACCAATACAGATGGCTTCAAGGAGCAAGGTGGGCTCTGCCGGGGTTCCGGGGTGCTGGGGGGCAGGTGGGAGCCGGGGCTGGGGCTGCAGCACTGAGCCGAGCCCTCCGCAGGCGTGACCTTCCCCTCAGGGGATATCCAGGAGCAGCTCATCCGCTCGTTGTACCAGTCGGCCGGAGTGGCCCCTGAGTCATTTGAATACATCGAAGCCCACGGCACAGGCACCAAGGTGATGCCCCCCCCCCCCGCCCCACTCACCACCCCATGAGCCTAACCTACGCCCATGCCTGGAGAGGTGACCTGGCCAGAGCCCCTCACCCCCCATGTTTCCCACAGGTGGGCGACCCCCAGGAGCTGAATGGCATCACCCGAGCCCTGTGCGCCACCCGCCAGGAGCCGCTGCTCATCGGCTCCACCAAGTCCAACATGGGGCACCCGGAGCCAGCCTCGGGGCTGGCAGCCCTGGCCAAGGTAGGTGGGGCTGGGCTTGGGGGTCCCTCAGGCTCCTGCTCCCTGGGACTGGGTTGCGCCATGGCTGGGCACTGCTGCTTTCTCTTTGCCAAGTGGAGGCGGGGGCTTCCCCACCAGGAGCCTCTGTCCCCCGGGCTATGCTGCAGGTCTGAGCAGAGGCACTGAGGCTGACAGCAGGGAGAGCTCGTAGCCAGGCTCGCTGGGCCTTCCCTGGAGGCCTGATGCCCTGCAGAGCGTCTGCCGGACACGGAGCCGAGCTGGAGGAGCCGCTTGGGTGGGAAGAGCGAGGCAGGAGCAGGCCTGGGGGGGTCCACGGCACCATCAGGGTCTCCCGTGTCGCCCACCCGTCCCTACAGCTTCCTGACCCACTAGCAGAGGCCTGGGGACCTTTAGAGAGACCAGGCACAGGAGCCCCAACACCCATGATCACTCACGCCCTCTGCCCCCCAACTTCTGCAGCCTCTGAGATGCAACATCTGGGCCAAGGGGGCCTTAGTGTTCAGGCCACAGCCAGGCTTTGGTGGGTCCACATCAGGCTGGGAGGCAGCAAGGCCGGAAGGGGAGGTCTTGGACCAAGCTGAGGGCAGGGCCATGGCGGCTCAGTCCTCGGACCCCTGTGCCATGGCAGAATTAGGTTGGGGACAGGAAGTGCATCGGAGAGGGCCCTGGAACCCTGGCCCCACATGAGAGTCTCGGGGAGGTGCCTGCCCCCAGCTCAGGCAGTGGTAGAGGGAGTGGGGCGGCTGCCCATCCACCACGTACCCCCGCAGGTGCTGCTGTCCCTGGAGCACGGGCTCTGGGCCCCCAACCTGCACTTCCATAGCCCCAACCCTGAGATCCCAGCGCTGTTGGATGGGCGGCTGCAGGTGGTGGACCAGCCCCTGCCCGTCCGTGGCGGCAACGTGGGCATCAACTCCTTTGGCTTCGGGGGCTCCAACGTGCACATCATCCTGAGGCCCAACACGCAGCCGCCCCCCGCACCCGCCCCACATGCCACCCTGCCCCGTCTGCTGCGGGCCAGCGGACGCACCCCTGAGGCCGTGCAGAAGCTGCTGGAGCAGGGCCTCCGGCACAGCCAGGACCTGGCTTTCCTGAGCATGCTGAACGACATCGCGGCTGTCCCCGCCACCGCCATGCCCTTCCGTGGCTACGCTGTGCTGGGTGGTGAGCGCGGTGGCCCAGAGGTGCAGCAGGTGCCCGCTGGCGAGCGCCCGCTCTGGTTCATCTGCTCTGGTGAGCCCACACTCTGCCCCCAAGGTGGTCCCTTCCCTGGGGAAAGGCAGGCGAACTGGAGCTGGTGGTCCCCTGAGGTGCTCTCTGGGACGGGGATGGGCACACAGTGGCACGGGATGGGGCTGAGCCTCGTGACGTGCTCTCTGGGACAGGGATGGGCACACAGTGGCGCGGGATGGGGCTGAGCCTCATGCGCCTGGACCGCTTCCGAGATTCCATCCTACGCTCCGATGAGGCTGTGAAGCCATTCGGCCTGAAGGTGTCACAGCTGCTGCTGAGCACAGACGAGAGCACCTTTGATGACATCGTCCATTCGTTTGTGAGCCTGACTGCCATCCAGGTAGGGCCCAGCCTGCCAGCGTGTGAGCAACGCCAGCCCCAGGGCTCTGGCTTTCCCTGGAGCCCAGGAGCTGCAGTGTTGAGTCCGGGGCCCCTGACAGCCCCTTTGCTAGGCAGAGCCTTGTGCTGGGGGCAGGACGGGAGGGGAGGAGGGGTCTCAGTGGGGCTGTGTGGGGGCCATAGGGGCTTCTTTCCTATCAGGAGACCTGGGAGGGTCGATGGGGCGCGGGGGTGGAGATGGCCTAGTGGGGCCGGGGGCCGCCCCCAACAGCTGCACCTGCTGGAGGTTGCAACCTGAGTGTCCTGTTCCCACCCCAGATAGGCCTCATAGACCTGCTGAGCTGCATGGGGCTGAGGCCAGATGGCATCGTCGGCCACTCCCTGGGGGAGGTGGCCTGTGGCTACGCCGACGGCTGCCTGTCCCAGGAGGAGGCCGTCCTCGCTGCCTACTGGAGGGGACAGTGCATCAAAGAAGCCCATCTCCCGCCGGGCGCCATGGCAGCCGTGGGTAGGTCTCCCGGAGGGGCCCCCAGCACCTCCAAGAAAGGAGGCTGCCTTCTCGCTGTGGGGTCCTCACCTGCAGCCCTGGCCTGGCCCCCGTAGGATAGAGTGGCCCCCGCTGGCCCGGGGACACCCAGCTCGGACACAGCCGTGCGCGAGTCCCCTGCAGCTGCCCCACTGGCCCCACACCTGGCAGCCTTGGGCCTAGGCACGTGTCCATGGGCATCAGGCCTGCGTGGAGCCCCCGTGTGATGAGCACACAGCTGCAGCATAGCAAGAACCCAGGGGCTCTGGTGAAGCCAACACACGGGTCATCAGGGTTCCCTCAGACTGGTGCCCTCTGTTGGCACCCATCTCTGAGCCCCATGGGCCACATGTGGGCAGGACCTGGAAAGAACCTTGGCTGCAGAGGACTGAGGGGGCCACCATCTGGGGACTGGGCTCCCAGGAGCTGCCCCTGGAGTGGCAGCTCTGTAATGACACCTCCACCCACGGGTCAAACACAGCAGGGGGCGAACCTTTCTCATGAAGGCTCCAAGGCTGCCATTACCACACTTGTCATTACTGCCCCCAGCTGCAGGCAGTGTCTGGGTGGGTGGGTGGCTGGGAGCGGCTCGGTGTCCACGCTAAGCCTCTGAGGCTGGCTCTGCCATAGGCTTGTCCTGGGAGGAGTGTAAACAGCGCTGCCCCCCGGGCGTGGTGCCCGCCTGCCACAACTCCAAGGACACAGTCACCATCTCGGGACCTCAGGTGGGTGCTGCGGCCTGGGCGGGCTCCTCTGTCCCCTGCGCCTGCCATTGCAAGTCTGGCAGGGACACGCGGCCACGGTCTACGCCCCACCAAGCTCTGACGGGCCTGGGGCATGGGGCAGGTTTGTCCTCAGGTCCCTTGCCCATTCCCTCTCGGTTCCCTTGGGGTGAGGTGGGTGCGCCCTACCTCTCCGAGCCTGAGGTGGGTGCCCAGCCAGGATGCTTATCCAGGCTCCCACGATGTCCAGGCCCCGGTGTTTGAGTTCGTGGAGCAGCTGAGGAAGGAGGGTGTGTTTGCCAAGGAGGTGCGGACCGGCGGTATGGCCTTCCACTCCTACTTCATGGAGGCCATCGCACCCCCACTGCTGCAGGAGCTCAAGAAGGTGGACTAATACGGCCTGGGGGGTGCGGGGCGGGCCAGGGGACCCACAACCCAGCACTGACCTGGCCCCTCATGCAGGTGATCCGGGAGCCGAAGCCACGTTCAGCCCGCTGGCTCAGCACCTCTATCCCCGAGGCCCAGTGGCACAGCAGCCTGGCACGCACGTCCTCCGCCGAGTACAATGTCAACAACCTGGTGAGCCCTGTGCTGTTCCAGGAGGCCCTGTGGCACGTGCCTGAGCACGCGGTGGTGCTGGAGATCGCGCCCCACGCCCTGCTGCAGGTAGGCCCAGCCTGGGGGCAGCAGGCGCCGGGAGCCTGGGATGGGCGCCTCAGCTGAGCACCAAGAGAGCCCACCTGCCCTGCCGCCCCCAGGCTGTCCTGAAGCGTGGCCTGAAGCCGAGCTGCACCATCATCCCCCTGATGAAGAAGGATCACAGGGACAACCTGGAGTTCTTCCTGGCCGGCATCGGCAGGCTGCACCTCTCAGGGTGGGTCCCTTCCCAGCCCGGGTCTCGTCTCCCGGAGTCGGGGACGGCGTGGGGTGGGTGAGCGGGGCTGCGGGCCCCTCACTGACCCAGGCCGGTGGCAGCAGCCCTGGATGGTCCACCGCAGGCAGTGGGTGGGCTGAACCCAGAGCCCCTGGACCCCGGTGACGGGTGTGCTACCCATGCCTCCCTTCTCCGTAGCATCGACGCCAACCCCAATGCCTTGTTCCCACCTGTGGAGTTCCCAGCTCCCCGAGGAACTCCCCTCATCTCCCCACTCATCAAGTGGGACCACAGCCTGGCCTGGGACGTGCCGGCCGCCGAGGACTTCCCCAACGGTTCAGGTTCCCCCTCAGCCGCCATCTACAACATCGGTGAGCAGGGGCCCGGCGGGTGGGCAGACTCTTCCCTCCCCACAGACGCCCGCTCTGTGCTGAGGCCTGTGCCCTCCCGCAGACACCAGCTCCGAGTCTCCTGACCACTACCTGGTGGACCACACCCTCGACGGTCGCGTCCTCTTCCCCGCCACTGGCTACCTGAGCATAGTGTGGAAGACGCTGGCCCGCGCCCTGGGCCTGGGCGTCGAGCAGCTGCCTGTGGTGTTTGAGGATGTGGTGCTGCACCAGGCCACCATCCTGCCCAAGACTGGTGAGGGGTACCCCAGGACCAAGGCGGGGGTAGCTGGGGGGCGGGTGCTGCCCTCTGATCTCCAACTCTCCCGCTCTGCAGGGACAGTGTCCCTGGAGGTACGGCTCCTGGAGGCCTCCCGTGCCTTCGAGGTGTCAGAGAACGGCAACCTGGTAGTGAGTGGTAAGCAGGGCCGGTGGCACGGGAGCTGCGGAGGCTGTGCCCGCTGGCCATGCCGCCCGTCCTCAGGCCCTTCCGCACCTCCCTTTCCACAGGGAAGGTGTACCAGTGGGATGACCCTGACCCCAGGCTCTTCGACCACCCGGAAAGCCCCACCCCCAACCCCACGGAGCCCCTCTTCCTGGCCCAGGCTGAAGTTTACAAGGAGCTGCGTCTGCGTGGCTACGACTACGGCCCTCATTTCCAGGGCATCCTGGAGGCCAGCCTGGAAGGTGGGTACTGACTACACTGCTGCCCAAGCCACCGGGGAGGGCGGTCGTCATTGTGGGGACCACAGAGGGCACCCACAGCTAGGCATGCAGCTTGGGAGGGAGCAGAGGGGCCCGGTGGGCTCTGGGAGGTGGCCCCAGGGACCTGGGAGTTCCACAGCACCAACCAGGCCCTGTGTGCAGGTGACTCGGGGAGGCTGCTGTGGAAGGATAACTGGGTGAGCTTCATGGACACCATGCTGCAGATGTCCATCCTGGGCTCGGCCAAGCACGGCCTGTACCTGCCCACCCGTGTCACCGCCATCCACATCGACCCTGCCACCCACAGGCAGAAGCTGTACACACTGCAGGACAAGGCCCAAGGTAGCCCCGCCCCAGCCCCAGCCCAGTGCCCCCACCCAAGTATGCCGCACTCACCCAGCCTGTCCCCACAGTGGCTGACGTGGTGGTGAGCAGGTGGCTGAGGGTCACAGTGGCCGGAGGCGTCCACATCTCCGGGCTCCACACTGAGTCGGCCCCGCGGCGGCAGCAGGAGCAGCAGGTGCCCATCCTGGAGAAGTTTTGCTTCACTCCCCACACGGAGGAGGGGTGCCTGTCTGAGCGCGCTGCCCTGCAGGAGGAGCTGCAACTGTGCAAGGGTGAGGTCCCAGCCCTGCTGGCTTCGGACACCTCTGGCGATGAGGAGCGATCGCCTCCCCTCACGTTGACCCCAGACTTGCTTCTCCACGGGGCCCCCTTTGGGGTCAGCAACCCTAGCCCAACCCTCCGGCCGGAGCTCACGATGGCGGCCTCCCTCCCTCCCCCAGCCCCCAGCCTTCCTCGTCCCTGGTCACTGTTCCTCAGTCTTGAAAGGGTACTTGGGGGCAAAGATGACAGATTCAGCCTAAGGTCACACCTTGGCTAGGCACAGAGTAGCCCCTGCAGCTGAATGCGGCCCCTCACTGCGTCCACAGTGGGCAGGAGTCAGCCTCCCAGTGGTGGGCAGCCCCTTCCTCAACCCTCAGCTATTTCTCATCCTGTGGGCAGAGCGGGGTGGTGGCCCCAGAAGGACAGAGTGGGTCTGAGAGCCCATGCCAGGCAGATGCCCTGGGGCTTTGGGAACACCAGGCCTGCCTCCCTCCCTCCCCAGGGCTGGTGCAGGCACTGCAGACCAAGGTGACCCAGCAGGGGCTGAAGATGGTGGTGCCCGGACTGGATGGGGCCCAGATCCCCCGGGACCCCTCACAGCAGGAACTGCCCCGGCTGTTGTCGGCTGCCTGCAGGCTTCAGCTCAACGGGAACCTGCAGCTGGAGCTGGCGCAGGTGCTGGCCCAGGAGAGGCCCAAGCTGCCAGAGGACCCTCTGCTCAGCGGCCTCCTGGACTCCCCGGCACTCAAGGCCTGCCTGGACACTGCCGTGGAGAACATGCCCAGCCTGAAGATGAAGGTGGTGGAGGTGGGTGCCTCCTGGGCAGCCAGGCCTCTGCCCCGGACATGGTAGGACCCACCCTGACATCAGTTGCAGGAGACAGCACAGACACGGGGCGGGCCCTGGGCGGTGGGTGGGGCCGGCCAGTTCCCTGTGTGGTTCTGTGCACGTGTCCTGTGCGGTCCACACAGCCACCGTGGAGGGTCCGCCCGTGGGCTCCAAGAGGTGCAGCCTAGGCAGGACCCCAGGGACAAGACCAGTGGCATCCATGCGTGCCCATGGCTGGCACCGTCATCAGGTTGACGGGGAAGCCTTTCTGCCAGACTGAGGCCTCATGGACATTTTGCCCAGCCCCAGGTCAGGGGCACCTGCCTGGTGTGGGGCTGATTCCAGAATTCACCCCCTACAGGTGCTGGCTGGCCACGGTCACCTGTATTCCCGCATCCCAGGCCTGCTCAGCCCCCATCCCCTGCTGCAGCTGAGCTACACGGCCACCGACCGCCACCCCCAGGCCCTGGAGGCTGCCCAGGCCGAGCTGCAGCAGCACGACGTTGCCCAGGGCCAGTGGGATCCCGCAGACCCTGCCCCCAGCGCCCTGGGCAGCGCCGACCTCCTGGTGTGCAACTGTGCTGTGGCTGCCCTCGGGGACCCGGCCTCAGCTCTCAGCAACATGGTGGCTGCCCTGAGAGAAGGGGGCTTTCTGCTCCTGCACACACTGCTCCGGGGGCACCCCCTCGGGGACATCGTGGCCTTCCTCACCTCCACTGAGCCGCAGTATGGCCAGGGCATCCTGAGCCAGGTGCGGCCGCCGGGCAGGGGGACAGGGTGGGGGCCGGGTGAGGGCCAGGCGGGCAGGGTGCTGACCACCGCCCCCACAGGACGCGTGGGAGAGCCTCTTCTCCAGGGTGTCGCTGCGCCTGGTGGGCCTGAAGAAGTCCTTCTACGGCTCCACGCTCTTCCTGTGCCGCCGGCCCACCCCGCAGGACAGCCCCATCTTCCTGCCGGTGGACGATACCAGCTTCCGCTGGGTGGAGTCTCTGAAGGTCAGGCCCTGCCCCACCTCCAGGCCCCACCCCACCTCCCAACTTGCCGAGTGTGGCCTGACCCTCCCCGACCCGCTGTAGGGCATCCTGGCTGACGAAGACTCTTCCCGGCCTGTGTGGCTGAAGGCCATCAACTGTGCCACCTCGGGCGTGGTGGGCTTGGTGAACTGTCTCCGCCGAGAGCCCGGCGGGAACCGCCTCCGGTAGGAGCACGGCCCCTCACCACTTCCCCTTCCCCACCAGCCTCCCCATCCCCAGCCTGAGCTCCCCGCCTCTGCCCCCAGGTGTGTGCTGCTCTCCAACCTCAGCAGCACCTCCCACGTCCCGGAGGTGGACCCGGGCTCCGCAGAACTGCAGAAGGTGTTGCAGGGAGACCTGGTGATGAACGTCTACCGCGACGGGGCCTGGGGGGCTTTCCGCCACTTCCTGCTGGAGGAGGGTGAGCCCCCGACACTGCCCTGCCCCTCCCGGGAGACTGCACCCGAAGGCCCCGCAGCAGCCCCACCTCCCTGTTTCCCTAGACAAGCCTGAGGAGCCGACGGCACATGCCTTTGTGAGCACCCTCACCCGGGGGGACCTGTCCTCCATCCGCTGGGTCTGCTCCTCGCTGCGCCATGCCCAGCCCACCTGCCCTGGCGCCCAGCTCTGCACGGTCTACTACGCCTCCCTCAACTTCCGCGACATCATGCTGGCCACTGGCAAGCTGTCCCCTGATGCCATCCCAGGTATGGGTGGCATGGGGCCGTGGGAGTGGACTGGGCCGGGGAGCAGAGACCCCAGCAGCTAGGACCTGCCTGGGAGCCCCTCGGGAGGGAAGGGCAGGCGGTGAGGGGCTCAGTGCCGTCTCCCCCAGGGAAGTGGACCTCCCAGGACAGCCTGCTAGGTATGGAGTTCTCGGGCCGAGACGCCAGCGGCAAGCGTGTGATGGGACTGGTGCCTGCCAAGGGCCTGGCCACCTCTGTCCTGCTGTCACCGGACTTCCTCTGGGATGTGCCTTCCAACTGGTGAGTGTGTCGAGGGTGTGAGCCTGGGCCCCACGTGGATGGCGGCCAGGCCTGTGCTGACCCACCTGCTGCATCCCCAGGACGCTGGAGGAGGCGGCCTCGGTGCCTGTCGTCTACAGCACGGCCTACTACGCGCTGGTGGTGCGTGGGCGGGTGCGCCCCGGGGAGACGCTGCTCATCCACTCGGGCTCGGGCGGCGTGGGCCAGGCCGCCATCGCCATCGCCCTCAGTCTGGGCTGCCGCGTCTTCACCACCGTGGGTAAGGCCCCGCCCCCGGTGCCTCCCGCTGCCCTCCTGGCCCCGCCGCCCTGGCTCACCAGCCGCGCTTCCTCTCTTCACCAGGGTCGGCTGAGAAGCGGGCGTACCTCCAGGCCAGGTTCCCCCAGCTCGACAGCACCAGCTTCGCCAACTCCCGGGACACATCCTTCGAGCAGCATGTGCTGTGGCACACGGGCGGGAAGGGTGAGTGGCCCCCACAGCCCCCACCTGCCTCCTGCCTAGCCTCCGGCCCAGGGAGAAGCAGGGTCTGGCCCTCTGGACTGTGGTGGCTGGGCTTGCAGTGGGTGTGATTGTCTGGCCCCTCTGGCCCCCTAGGCGTTGACCTGGTCTTGAACTCCTTGGCGGAAGAGAAGCTGCAGGCCAGCGTGAGGTGCTTGGCTACGCACGGTCGCTTCCTGGAAATTGGCAAATTCGACCTTTCTCAGAACCACCCGCTCGGTGAGGCCGGCAGCGCCTGGGCGGGGGTGGGCATGGATGGGTGTGGGTGGACCTGTGGAAGGCCCTGGGTGAGCACGGCCCCTGCCCGCAGGCATGGCTATCTTCCTGAAGAACGTGACATTCCACGGGGTCCTACTGGATGCGTTCTTCAACGAGAGCAGTGCTGACTGGCGGGAGGTGTGGGCGCTTGTGCAGGCCGGCATCCGGGATGGGGTGGTACGGCCCCTCAAGTGCACGGTGTTCCATGGGGCCCAGGTGGAGGACGCCTTCCGCTACATGGCCCAAGGGAAGCACATTGGCAAAGTCGTCGTGCAGGTGAGGGGAGGAGTCCCGGCGCCTCGGGCACCCCAGGCTCTGGTCCCCAGGCAGTGCCTGAGCCGGTGGGTGCTGCTTGGACGCAGGTGCTTGCGGAGGAGCCGGAGGCAGTGCTGAAGGGGGCCAAACCCAAGCTGATGTCGGCCATCTCCAAGACCTTCTGCCCGGCCCACAAGAGCTACATCATCGCTGGTGGTCTGGGTGGCTTCGGCCTGGAGTTGGCGCAGTGGCTGATACAGCGTGGGGTGCAGAAGCTCGTGTTGACTTCTCGCTCCGGGATCCGGACAGGTGAGTCGGCAGGGGTGCTTGTGGACCAGCCTGGGCCAGGCACAGCCCCGGGCCCCTGAGCCCTTCTCTGCAGCCCACCATTGTGGGCTGTCACGGTGCCTGGGGTCTGTCCCCCTCCATCTTGTGGGGGGCTTGCTGGATGGGGCTCTGCGGCTGCTCCCCACTTCCCCAGCCCGGCGTGTAGGGAAGAGACCGTACCCTGGCCCAGTCCAGCCCACAGTCCTGTGTCCCGCAGGCTACCAGGCCAAGCAGGTCCGCCGGTGGAGGCGCCAGGGCGTACAGGTGCAGGTGTCCACCAGCAACATCAGCTCACTGGAGGGGGCCCGGGGCCTCATTGCCGAGGCGGCGCAGCTTGGGCCCGTGGGCGGCGTCTTCAACCTGGCCGTGGTGAGGGAAGGCCCCAAATGGGGCCCTCAAAAGCCCCAAGACCAAGGGGGGGACCCTGGGTGGACGGGTGAGGCCCTGGAGCTGCAGGGAGTGCTGAGGATGCCTCCCCCAGGTCTTGAGAGATGGCTTGCTGGAGAACCAGACCCCAGAGTTCTTCCAGGACGTCTGCAAGCCCAAGTACAGCGGCACCCTGAACCTGGACAGGTGGGTACCGCACAGCCCTGCTCCCGCCTCTGCCGGGCTCTGGGCTCAGGGCCGTGGGAGCCAAGGTGGTTTGTTGACAGCCCTCTCTGGCGTTTCCTGGGGATGGGACGTTGGGGGCTCCTGGGGATGCTGGCCAATGGGGAGTGACACGCGTGCCCACAGGGTGACCCGAGAGGCGTGCCCTGAGCTGGACTACTTTGTGGTCTTCTCCTCTGTGAGCTGCGGGCGTGGCAATGCGGGACAGAGCAACTACGGCTTTGCCAATTCCGCCATGGAGCGTATCTGTGAGAAACGCCGGCACGAAGGCCTCCCAGGTGGGCCCCACCCTCTCCCCTCGACCCTGCCCACCCTGCCCTCTCCCAGTGGCCACTCCCCACCCCCACCTTCTCCCCGCAGCCCTGCCCACCCCACCCTCTCCCAGTGGCCACTCCCCACCCCGACCTCCCCGCAGCTCTGCCCACCTGCCCCCTCCCCCACAGGCCTGGCCGTGCAGTGGGGCGCCATCGGCGACGTGGGCATTTTGGTGGAGACGATGAGCACCAACGACACGATCGTCAGTGGCACGCTGCCCCAGCGCATGGCGTCCTGCCTGGAGGTGCTGGACCTCTTCCTGAACCAGCCCCACATGGTCCTGAGCAGCTTTGTGCTGGCTGAGAAGGCTGCGGCCTATAGGGACAGGGACAGCCAGCGGGACCTGGTGGAGGCCGTGGCACACATCCTGGGTGAGCACTCCCAGTAGGAGCCGCGCCAGGTGTTTCCCCTGCTGGCATCAGGGTCTTGGGACATAGCAGTCGTGCCCCTGTGCGCCTCAGTTTCCCCATCTGCAGAGCCAGGGTGCGGGCGCAGGTGTCACTGTGGTGGTGGTGCTTTGGGAGATGCACAGCCCACGCACCCCTGGGTGTCAGCCCTGCCGCATACAGGCCGTCCCCATGCCCCCTCTGGAGTTGCCGACCCGGCGCATCCCTTCCAGGCATCCGCGACTTGGCTGCTGTCAACCTGGACAGCTCACTGGCGGACCTGGGCCTGGACTCGCTCATGAGCGTGGAGGTGCGCCAGACGCTGGAGCGTGAGCTCAACCTGGTGCTGTCCGTGCGCGAGGTGCGGCAACTCACGCTCCGGAAACTGCAGGAGCTGTCCTCAAAGGCGGATGAGGCCAGCGGTGCGTGTGGGTGGCCAGGCGGGAGTGGGGTCCCCGGGCCTCCCCAGCCCTTCCTCCTTGTTGTCTGGACCGTGTCCCGGCAGGCATACCGCCCTTCGTCACGGGTGCCATTCTGAGCGTTCCCACCCCGACTCCCACCTGACGTAGCACCGTGGGGACCTGCGTGCGTGTCTGTGTGTCCTTGCGTGGGTGCCAGGGCTCTGCACCCAGACCAGCCTGGCATCTGCCCCTGTCTTCACAGAGCTGGCATGCCCCACGCCCAAGGAGGATGGTCTGGCCCAGCAGCAGACTCAGCTGAACCTGCGCTCCCTGCTGGTGAACCCGGAGGGCCCCACCCTGATGCGGCTCAACTCCGTGCAGAGCTCGGAGCGGCCCCTGTTCCTGGTGCACCCAATCGAGGGCTCCACCACCGTGTTCCACAGCCTGGCCTCCCGGCTCAGCATCCCCACCTATGGCCTGCAGTGCACCCGAGGTACTCCCGGGCCCTCCTCTGGAAGCGGTGGTCAGTGCTGGCCATCACGGGGCCCGTGGCTGCCGCCTGCACATGCTGAGTGCCCGGCACTGCCATTGCAGCTGCGCCCCTTGACAGCATCCACAGCCTGGCTGCCTACTACATCGACTGCATCAGGCAGGTGCAGCCCGAGGGCCCCTACCGCGTGGCCGGCTACTCCTACGGGGCCTGCGTGGCCTTTGAAATGTGCTCCCAGCTGCAGGCCCAGCAGAGCCCAGCCCCCACCCACAACAGCCTCTTCCTGTTCGACGGCTCGCCCACCTACGTACTGGCCTACACCCAGGTGAGAGCCAGGCTGGTCCTAGAGGCCTACGGCAAACGTCTGGGCTCCCCACCTGTGCCCTGGCTTTGGGGGACCGTCGCTTAGGAGGCCCCGCCCCTTCCATCTGCTCAGCAGTCCCTCCTTCCTCTCAGAGCTACCGGGCAAAGCTGACCCCAGGCTGTGAGGCTGAGGCTGAGACGGAGGCCATATGCTTCTTCGTGCAGCAGTTCACGGACATGGAGCACAACAGGGTGGGTCCTGGACACCCCTGAGGCCGCAGGACCCAGAGTACTGGGCAGGAACGGAAGGGGGAAGGGAAGGATGGGATGGGACGCGAAGAGCGTTAAAGGCCCCCCAACTTCACCCCTTTAATAGCCGATCCCGGCCGGATGCGGTTGCTCATGCCTGTAATCCCGGCACTTTGGGAGGCTAAGGCGGGCAGATTACCTGAGGTCGGGAGTTCGAGACCAGCCTGACCAACGTGGAGAAACCCCTTCTCTACTAAAAATACAAAAATTAGCCAGGCATGGTGGCACTCACCTATAGTCCCACCTACTCGGGAGGAGAATCGCTTGAACCGGGTAGGTGGAGGTTGCGGAGGGAGGAGAATCGCTTGAACCGGGTAGGTGGAGGTTGCGGTGAGCTGAGATCGCCCCACTCCATCTAGCCTGGGTAACAAAAATGAAACTCGTCTCAAAAAAAAAAAGCCCACCCGCAGTGTAGCACAGGGCAGGCCGGTGCTGTGGGTGCTGCCAGCACCTGCTCAGAGCCCGACCCCACAGGTGCTGGAGGCGCTGCTGCCGCTGAAGGGCCTAGAGGAGCGTGTGGCAGCCGCCGTGGACCTGATCATCAAGAGCCACCAGGGCCTGGACCGCCAGGAGCTGAGCTTTGCGGCCCGGTCCTTCTACTACAAGCTGCGTGCCGCTGAGCAGTACACACCCAAGGCCAAGTACCATGGCAACGTGATGCTACTGCGCGCCAAGACGGGTGGCGCCTACGGCGAGGACCTGGGCGCGGACTACAACCTCTCCCAGGTGCGCAAGGGGCCTGACGGGAACGGGGACAGGGACAGGAGTGGGGTGGGACGGCAGCTGATCGCATCCCCTGCAGGTATGCGACGGGAAAGTATCCGTCCACGTCATCGAGGGTGACCACCGCACGCTGCTGGAGGGCAGCGGCCTGGAGTCCATCATCAGCATCATCCACAGCTCCCTGGCTGAGCCACGCGTGAGCGTGCGGGAGGGCTAGGCCCGTGCCCCCGCCTGCCACCGGAGGTCACTCCACCATCCCCACCCCACCCCACCCCACCCCCGCCATGCAACGGGATTGAAGGGTCCTGCCGGTGGGACCCTGTCCGGCCCAGTGCCACTGCCCCCCGAGGCTGCTAGATGTAGGTGTTAGGCATGTCCCACCCACCCGCCGCCTCCCACGGCACCTCGGGGACACCAGAGCTGCCGACTTGGAGACTCCTGGTCTGTGAAGAGCCGGTGGTGCCCGTGCCCGCAGGAACTGGGCTGGGCCTCGTGCGCCCGTGGGGTCTGCGCTTGGTCTTTCTGTGCTTGGATTTGCATATTTATTGCATTGCTGGTAGAGACCCCCAGGCCTGTCCACCCTGCCAAGACTCCTCAGGCAGCGTGTGGGTCCCGCACTCTGCCCCCATTTCCCCGATGTCCCCTGCGGGCGCGGGCAGCCACCCAAGCCTGCTGGCTGCGGCCCCCTCTCGGCCAGGCATTGGCTCAGCCCGCTGAGTGGGGGGTCGTGGGCCAGTCCCCGAGGAGCTGGGCCCCTGCACAGGCACACAGGGCCCGGCCACACCCAGCGGCCCCCCGCACAGCCACCCGTGGGGTGCTGCCCTTATGCCCGGCGCCGGGCACCAACTCCATGTTTGGTGTTTGTCTGTGTTTGTTTTTCAAGAAATGATTCAAATTGCTGCTTGGATTTTGAAATTTACTGTAACTGTCAGTGTACACGTCTGGACCCCGTTTCATTTTTACACCAATTTGGTAAAAATGCTGCTCTCAGCCTCCCACAATTAAACCGCATGTGATCTCCACCACCGTCCTTTCTTCCCTCCTCCCTGACCTGGCAGCTGCAAGCTCTCCAGCTCCACCCCACCCAGTCACGGGGCCGTGAAGGGGATGCCCTCTGTCCTCTGGTCCCCAGTTCCCACACACCCCTAGGCCATGTCCCAGAGCCGGGGCTGGGCCGGGGAGTGAGGAAGGAGCCCGCGTGGCAGCCCCGGGCTTCCCGGGAAAGCGCTGGGACTGGCGGGGGGGGGGGTACCGAGGCTCTGGCCAAGAAACACCACCAGTGAGAAACGTGTAGGAGGTACAGACACTGGGAAGTTGGCTTCAGCTGAGGAGAGGCCCCTCGTGGAGAATAGTATTTGCTTGAAGTCAGTGGATTGCAGGCATTCGCCCTGCCAAAGATGCCGTCACAGCCTCACCAAGACGGTGTCAATAGCGCCACTGGCTGGCCAGGTTGACCCAGAAGACTTGGGTTTAGGCAAAGGAGTGGAGGCTGGGAGGGAGCAAGGGACAGGGAGCCCTGGGCACCTGGACCCCCGGCATCGAGGGGTGGGGTGGACACAGCCTCCAGGACCCATAAGGGCAGCACCCCACGGGTGGCTGTGCGGGGGGCCGCTGGGTGGACATGAGCTTGGGGTAGAGGCATGGGCAGGAGCGAGAGCCAGGATTGGATTTCGGGAATGGGCAAAGCAGGCCAGCCCGGGGTTCCGGAAGGCACAGCATGCCCACAGAAGAGGCCCTTTCAGTGTGAGTGCCAAGGCACAGAGGTGGGTGGGGGGCTGGGAGAGCCCCTGCTGGAGAGGCAGGGGAGGGGTGGGCGCAGGGGCCATCTCCCAGGGCAGGGTAGTGGGCCAGGACTACAGTGAACACCACGGGCCCTGCTGGGGGGGTGGGCCTGGTGCAGCGGCTGCAGGTGGGCAGTGTCCAGGCGTGAGTGTGGACAGCAGGCGGGCATCGGAGCGAGGCTCAGCCACACCCCTCCTGCGGTCCCCCAACACTAGGCAGCTGCTCCCTTCAGCCGTGGTCCCCTCTGGCCTCTCTCCACCCCTCCTCCGGCCACTCCCACCCCAGCCGTGCACACAGGCTCAGGGCCACCAGGGAGGACAGAGGCTCACAGGCCTATCTGGGGGTGGCCTCAGAACTAAACTGCTTTAGCTCCACAGCCTCAGGCCCTGCAGGGCAAGGCGGGTAGTGCCCAGCACATGGGCTCTTGTCACCCCTCCTGCTTCTCCCGGCTCTCCGGTACCGGAATGTGGTGTCCAGGGGTCTCTGAAGTTCCTGGCTCAGCTGCTGCCAGGGGAGGAGGCGCTCTGATGGGCCTGAGGTGCATCCAAGTTGCAAATGAGCTTCAGGGAGACCTAAGAGAAACCACGTATCTTTGTTATGAAGATACAGTTACCTTAAGTCACACAATTATCTTCACTTCAGTTATTTTTTCTTTCGAATTAAAATGAAAATTAATGTAACGAATTGGAGTTCTGATCCAGAGAGTAGCGAGGCCTGGATTCACCCTCCCACCGGAAACAGCTGAAAATCCAGGCAAAGGACAGGAGGTGCTGGCTGTGGGGATACCAGGCCTCCGCCAAAGAAGGACGGTGACCCCTGGGTGGGAACAAGGTGCCAGGAGCCCTAGGGTAACCTCAGCCTTCTGCCTGGCAGCTTCCAGGCCGGGCACAGTGAGAGGTGGAGTCCAGCAGACCCCCCGAGTTGAGGAAGTGGAGCTGAGAGTCCGGGGGGAAAATGAGGCTGAGGATTGCAGGACAGAGCACCCGGGGGGAGCTGGCAGACAGTGGCGGGGTGCAGGGGCTGTCCCGGGACCGCCAGGCAGGAGGCTACGGGGGCTCTCCTGTGAGCACCAGGCCAAGCACCTTCAATGCGTGCGAGCAGGAAACCAGCAGGAGGATTAGACGGAACAGTGCCAGATACTGCACAGGTCTGGAAACCAGTGCCTGTTCCTACCAACCAGACTAGAAAACCTCAGAATTCGTGAGACATTGAATACTCAGATGGGTGTGTCTCAAGGCCCAAGATCTATTAGCTGGTTACTAGTTAGCGCTGGTACACCTAAAACAAAACAAAAATCTTACAAACAAGACCCCAAAGCATAAATTTTTTTTTTCTTTTGAGACGGAATCTTGCTCTGTCTCCCAGGCTGGAGTTCGGTGGCGCAATCTCAGCTCACTGTAACCTCCACCTCCCAGGTTCAAGCCATTCTCCTGCCTCAGCCTCCCGAGTAGCTACGATTATAGGCACGCGTCACCACGCCCGGCTAATTTTCGCATTTTTAGTAGAGATGGGGTTTCACCATGTTGGCCAGGCTGGTCTCAAACTCCTGACCTCAGGTGATCTGCCCACCTTGGTCTCCCAAAGTGCTGGGATTAAAGGTGTGAGCCACTGTGCCTGGCCTCAAATTGTTTCCAAGTAAACTTACTCCATCCCAGAACAAAGCCCAAAAATATTTAGGTAAAATTCACAATCCCTGGGGCAACTAGTGAAAAATTAGCAGCCAAAGAAGCAGGAAAACAAGACCCACAGGGAGAGAAAATCAATCAAAACCGACCCTGGCCGGACACTGATGTTGGAATCAGCAGCCAAAGACATTAAAGTACTTATTATAGGCCGGGCGCGGTGGCTCACGCCTGTAATGCCAGCACTTCGGCAGGCCGAGGCGGGCGGATCACGAGGTCAGGAGATCGAGACCATCCTGGCTAACACAGTGAAACCCGGTCTCTACTAAAAATACAAAAAATTAGCCGGGCGTGGTGGCCGGTGCCTGTAGACCCAGCTGCTCGGGAGGCTGAGGCAGGAGAATGGCGTGAACCCGGGAGGTGGAGCTTGCAGTGAGCCAAGATCGCACCACTGCACTCCAGCCTGGGCGACAGAGCGAGACTCCGTCTCAAAAAAAAAAAAAAAGAGAGACCAGGTGTCTGAAACCAGCCTGGGCAAAACGGCAAGACCTCATCTCTACAAAAAGTAATGGGCCGGGGGTGGTGGTTCATGCCTGTAATCCCAGCACTTTGGGAGGCCGAGGTGGGTGGATCACCTGAGGTCAGGAGTCCAAGACCAGCCTGGCGAACATGGTGAAACCCCGTCTCTACAAAATACAAAAATTAGTCGGGCATGGTGGCGGGTACCTATAATCCCAGCTACTCAAGAGGCTGAGGTGGGAGAATTGCTTGAACCTGTAAGGCGAAGGTTGCAGTGAGCCGAGATCACACCATTGCACTCCAGCCTGGGCGACAAAGGGAGACTCCATCTCAAAAAAAAAAAGAATTAAGAAATAAAATATAAAAATAACAAACAAAAAATAAGGAGAGGCCAGCACGGTGGCTCACGCCTGTTATCCCAGCACTTTGGGAGGCTGAGGTGGGTGGATCATGAGGTCAGGAGTTCCAGACCAGCCTGACCAACATGGTGAAATCCCATCTCTATTAAAAATACAAAAATTAGCCAGGCGTGGTGGCGGGCACCTGTAATCCCAGCCACTCAGGAGGCTGAGGCAGGAGAATCACTTGAACCCAAGAGGTGGAGCTTCCAGTGAGCCGAGATTGCACCACTGCACTCCAGCCTGGGCAACAGAGCAAGACTCCATCTCAAAAAGAAAACAAACAAACAAAAAAGATAAGGAGAAATAAGAGTATGTATGTGTGTGTGTCCTTATTTTTGCAGAAAGAAACACAGGAAGGATAAGTCCAGTGTGAGTGGAAAGGAGTCGAAGAAATAGTAGTAAAAGGGACCTTTCTCTGATATGCCTTTCAATACAGTTTTGATGTTTTGGAAAGTCAAAACTAACCCTAACCCTCAGCTTATATATGTGAAAAAAAATTAAATCTACAAACGGGGACAAAACTAAAGTTGAGGATAAACAGAAACAAATGAACCAAACTGCACATTAAACTGATGTGGTAACCACACGGAAGAGAAAACCTGAACCACCTTCCGTGGGCATGTTCTAAAGATAGAAAGAATTCCAAAAACATCTAGTTTTTTTTTTGTTGTTTTTTTTTTTCGAGACAGAGTCTCGCTGTCACCTAGGCTGGAGTGCACTGGTGCCATTTTGGCTCACTGCAAACCTTGACTCCCGGGTTCAAGCAATTCTTGTGCCTCAGCCTCCTGAGTAGCTGGGATTACAGGTGCCTGCCACCATGCCCAGCTAATTTTTGTATTTTTAGTAGAGATGGGGTTTCACCATGTTAGTCAGGCTGGTCTCGAACTCCTGACCTCAGGTGATCTGCCCACCTTGGCCTCCCAAAGTGCTGGGATTACAGGCATGAGCCACCGCCCCCAGCCAAATCTTGATCTTTTTTAGAAGATGTATTGTAAATGGGACAGAAGAGAAATACAGAATGGGAGAAAGAGAAGATAGCGGAGGTGATGGACTGTAACTGAAGGCATCAGTCATCAGTACACGCATGCCTTTAAAACGATATACGCATGCACATGTGTGCATATCTGTATTAACGTCATTTTAAATTTGGTCTGCTAAAAAAGCCTGAAAATAACAATAGCCCCAAAGTAATGAGGACACCTGTTACTAAAATCGTGGTCTCTAAACACCACTACCACTGACAAAACCAGGGCTCCCTACAAAACATGCTTGATTCCAGGGTTGGGGGAGGGAAAGTACAGAAAACGAGGAAGCGCTCAGAAAACAAAAACAACAAAAACAGTGATGTGAACACAAGAGCCAGACTGCATGCAGGGGCTTGCACCGGCCAAATCTAGGACGATTCGAGCGTCAAAATGAATCATAGCAGTAATGAGTTAAACATACATCAAATTGGCTGGGTGCAATGGCTCACGCCTGGGAGGTCGAGGCAGGTGGATCACTTGAGCTCAAGAGTTCAAGACAAGCCTGAGCAACATGGTGAAACCCATCTCTACAAAAAATACAAAAATTAGCCAGGTGTGGTGGTGCGTGCCCGTAGTCCCAGCTACTTGGGATGCTGAGGTGGGAGGATCGCTTCAGTCCAGGAGGTAGACGTTGCAGTGAGTTAAGATCATGCCACTGCACTCCAGCCTGGGCAACAGAGCCAGACCCTGTCTCAAAAAAAAAAAACAATCAAAACATCACATCCGGCTGGGCATGGTGGCTCACGCCTGTAATCCCAACACTTTGGGAGGCCAAGGCAGGAGGACTGCTTGAGCCCAGGAGTTCCAGACCAGCCTGGGCAACATGATGAAATCCCTTCTCCACAAAAAAAAATTTAAATTAGCTGGGTATGGCGGTGCTTGCCTGTGGTCTCAGCTACCTGGGAGGCTGAGATGGGAGGATCGCTTGAGCCTGGGAGGTCAAGGCTGCGGTGAACCATGACTGCACCACTGTACAAAAAAAGTTTTGTAGGGTGGCCTTTGTAACTCTTGTAGCTGTAAAATATACGTCAACAAGGAACAAGGAAATGTATGTCACCGAGGGCTCAAGGAAACTATACTCATACATTTATTACATTTCTGCAGCTGGAAGTATGATAGAAAGAGGGAAGTGTCCGGTATGAATTGTATGATATTAATTCTAAAGACATTTGGAAAACTTAGGATATATGTTGAGTAGCCCTAGAACAACTACAAAGCAATACAATGAAGAATCACTAAGAAGCCAATAGAGGATATAAAATAGAACACTAAAACAATACTATTTGGCCGGGCGTGGTGGCTCACGCCAGTAATCCCAGCACTTTGGGAGGCCGAGGCGGGTGGATCACGAAGTCAGGAGATCGAGACCATCCTAAAGAACACGGTGAAACCCTGTCTCTACTAAAAATACAAAAAAAAAAAAAATTAGCCAGGCGTGGTGGCAGGCGCCTGTAGTCCCAGCTACTCGGGAGGCTGAGGCAGGAGAATGGCGTGAACCTGGGAGGAGGAGCTTGCAGTGAGCTGAGATCGCGCCACTGCACTCCAATCTGGGAGACAGAGTGAGACTCCATCTCAAAAAAAAAAAAATCCAAGAAAACAGTAAGAATTAAAAAGCAGGTGTAATTATATTGTTAATGGAAAAAGCAGACTTCATGATAAAGAGAGGGTCTTGGAAGCTTGGCCAGTTCCGAGGGTCAACCCAGCCTGGCTGTGGCCCCCCAGCCCATCACCTCCATCGCCTGGAGGGGTGAGAAGGCAAAATCCAAAGGCAGGTGTCCCATCATGGGGAAGGAAGGCACCCCAAGCCAGGGGCCTGGTGACGTTTCCCATCTTTGTAATTCTATTATTCCGAGAGCATTATATAAATTGAATCATATATACCTCTTGAGATTGGCCTTTCTGTTTCACTCAGCATAACTTTGAGAACCATCCATGTTTTTTTATGTATCCATAGTTTGTGCAAATAGGGACATTTCTGCCCTTTCTTTCTTTCTTTTTTTTTTTTTTTTTTTTTTTTTTGAGACAGAGTCTCACTCTGTCGCCCAGGCTGGAGTGCAGTGGTGCGACGTCGGCTCACTGCAACCTCCTCCTCCTGCCATTGCACTCCAGCTTGGGCAGTAAGAGCGTAAGAGCAAAACTCCATCTCAGGAAAAAAAAAAAAAAAAAAAAAGCATAAATTATTGATTTGAGATCTTTTTTCTTTTCTAACATGGGTGTTGATAGTTAAAACTTTCCTTTGTTTTTTCGAGATGGAGTCTCGCTCTGTCGCCCAGTCTGGAAAGCAGTGGCATGATCTCAGCTCACTGCAGCCTCCATCTCCTGGGTTCAAGTGATTCTCCTGCCTCGGCCTCCCTAGTAGCTGGGATTACAGGCACCCGCCACCACACCCGGCTAATTTTTGTATTTTTAGTAGAGACGGGGTTTCACCATGTTGGCCAGGCTGGTCTCAAATTCCTGACCTCAGGTGATTCACCTGCCTCAGCCTCCCAAAGTGCTGGGATTACAGACATGAGCCACTGCACCCAGCCAAAATTTTCCTTTTAGGAACTGCTTTATTGCATCCCACATATTTTGAAATGTGTTTTCATTTGCATTAACTTCAAAATATTTTTAAATTTTCCTTTTGGTTTCTTCTTTGACCCATGGGTTACTCAGAAGTGTGTTATTAATTTTCAAGTATTTGTGCATACCTCAAATTTCTATTTTTGTTTGTTTCTTATTTATTTATTTAGACATGGTCTCATTCTGTTGCCCAGGCTGGAGTGCAGTGGTGCAATCTCAGCTCACTGCAACCCCTGCCTCCTGGGCTCAAAACATCCTCCCATCTCAGCCTCCCAAGTAGCTGTGATTCAAGCACATGCCAACACACTCAACTAATTTTTAACTTTTTTTTTGTAGAGCTGAGGTCTCACTCTATTGCCCAGGCTGATCTCAAACTCCTGGACTCAAGCAATCCTCCCACCTCAGTCTCCCAAACTGCTGGGATTATAGGCATGAGCCAGTGTGTGTGGCCTGATTTCTAATTTAATTCCACTGTGGCTAGAGAATAGCTTTCCAATTATTTTAATTTTAATTTTTTTTTGAGATGAAGTCTCACTCTGTTGCCCAGGCTGGAGGGAAAATGTTTTATTGTGTCTTCTTTAATGGCCTAGTATATGGTGTAGCCATGGGTGAAGTGTTCCATAAATGTCTGTCAAGTCAGATTGATTGATAGTGTTTCTCAAATCTCCTACATCTTTGCCAGTTTCTTGTCTAGTTGTCCTATTTCATTATTGAGAGTAAGGTACTGAAATCTTCAACTATTATTGTTAAATTGTCTATTTCTCCCTTCTTTTTTTTCACTCTTTTCATTATTAATTTGGGGGCTCTATTGTTTGGTGCTTATGTGTTTCTAATTGTTACATCTTACTAATGAATGGACATGTTTATCATCATAAAATATCGGTATGGGCTGGGTGCAGTGGCTTACACCTGTAATCCCAGCACTTTGGGAGGTAAAGGTAGGAGGATGGCTTGAGCCCAGGAGTTTGAGACCACTCTGGGTGACAAAGTGAGACCCTCATTTCTACAAAAAACAAAAAAATTAGCTGGACATGGTGATGTGTATCTATGGTCCCAGCTACTTGACAGGCTGAGGCAGGAGGACTGCTTGAATGCAGGAAGTTGATGCTACAGTGAAGCCATGTTCACATCACTGCACTCTAGCCTAGGTGACAGAGCGAGACCCTGCCTCAAAAAAAAAAAAAAGAAAGAAAGAAAGAAAGAAAGAAAGAAAGAAAGAAAGAAAAAGAGTCTGTATGTGTCTCTAGTGATATATTTTATCTTCATATCTATTTTGTCTGACATTAGTATAACCATTCCCGTTCTCTTTTTTTTTTGAGACGGAGTCTCGCTCTGTCGCCCAGGCTGGAGTGCAGTGGCACGATCTTGGCTTACTTCACTACAAGCTCCGCCTCCCGGGTTCACGCCATTCTCCTGCCTCAGCCTCCCCGAGTAGCCGGGACTACAGGCGCCCACCACCACGCCCAGCTAATTTTTTGTATTTTTAGTAGAGACGGGGTTTCACCGTGTTAGCCAGGATGGTCTCGATCTCCTGACCTCATGATCCGCCAGCCTCAGCCTCCCAAAGTGCTGTGATTACAGGCATGAGCCCCTGCGCCCAGCCTCCAGTTCTCTTTTGGGTGCCGTTTATATGGTATATCTTTTCTCGTATTTTCACTTTCAACCGGTTTGTGTCTTTGAGTCTAAAGTGTGTAGATTGTGGCCAGGTGAGGTAGCTCACACCTGTAATCCCAGCACTTTGGGAGGCCAAGGCGGGCAGAAAACCTGAGGTCAGGAGTTCGACATCAGCCTGGCCAACATGGTGAAACCCCATCTCTACTAAAAAGACAAAAATTAGCCAGACATAGTGGTGGGTGCCTGTAATCCCAGCTACTTGGGAGGCTGAGGCAGGAGGATCTCTTGAACCCAGGAGTTGGAGGTTGTAGTGAGCCAAGACTGCGCCATTGCACTCCAGCCTGGGCAACAAGAGGGAAACTCCATCTCAAAAAGATAAATAAAATAAAAAAATAAGGTATATTGAATGTAAAGAGCATATAGTTGGATCTTGTTTATTTCTTAACCCACTCCGAAAATCTTGGCCTTTTACTTGGAGTGTTCATTACCGTTTAATGGTATTATTGATACAGTTAGATTTACATATGCCACTAGTTTTTTTTCTTTGTTTAGTTTTTGTTTTGTTTTGTTTGAGGCAGAGTCTTGCTCTGTCACCCTGACTGGAGTGTAGTGGTGCTATCTCAGCTCACTGCAACCTCCCCCTCCTGGGTTCAAGCGATTCTCCTGCCTCAGCCTCCCCAGTAGCTGGGGTTACAGGCTCACGCCACCACATCCGGCTAATTTTTGTACTTTTAGTAGAGATGGGGTTTCTACTAAATTAGCCCTATGCCTGGCTAATTTCTGTATTTTTACAAAAATTATGTATTTCGTATGTATTTTTTTATTTCTCTGTTCTGCTATTGCCTTTGTTGTGTTAAATGGATATTTTCCACTGTACCATTTTAATTTCTTTTATATATAATATAATGTATTTTCTTTTTTTTTTTTTTTTTTGAGACAGAGTCTCGCTCTGTCATCCAGGCTGGAGTGCAGTGGCGCAGTCTCCGCTCACTGCAAGCTCAGCCTCCCAGGTTCCCGCCATTCTCCTGCCTCCGCCTCTCAAGTAGCTGGGACTACAGGGGACCGCCACCACGCCTGGCTAATTGTTTTGTATTTTTAGTAGAGACGGCGTTTCATCATGTTAGCCAAGATGGTCTTGATCTCCTGACCTCATGATCCGCCCGTCTCGGCCTCCCAAAGTGCTGGGATTACAGGCGTGAGCCACCGTGCCTGGCCTATATAATGTATTTATTTTCTTATGATTACTATGGGGATTTCAACAAGCATCGTAATTTATCACAATCTTCTTCAGATTAATACTTAATTCCAGTAAAACACAGAAACTTTGCTCCAATATAATTCCCTTCCCTCTTCCTTTTTGCTGCATTTTTCATATAATTATATGTCTCTATA
Source organism: Homo sapiens (assembly GCF_000001405.40). Classification (NCBI taxonomy): domain Eukaryota; kingdom Metazoa; phylum Chordata; class Mammalia; order Primates; family Hominidae; genus Homo; species Homo sapiens. Next base: position 82,068,442 of record NC_000017.11, on the reverse strand, counting down.
TATTATAACCTCTTTATAGTTACAAGTTATACACCATAAGTTATATTTTTATTATTTATTTATTTATGTTGAGACGGAGTCTCGCTCTGTCGCCCAGGCTGGAGTGCAGTGGTGCCATCTCGGCTCACTGCAAGCTCCGCCTCCTGGGTTCATGCCATTCTCCTGCCTCAGCCTCCCGAGTAGCTGGGACTATAGGCGCCCGCCACCATGCCCGGCTAATTTTTTTCGTATTTTTAGTGGAGACGGGGTTTCACCATGTTAGCCAGGATGGTCCCGATCTCCTGACCTCATGATCCGCCCGTCTCGGCCTCCCAAAGTGCTGAGATTACAGGCATGAGCCGCCGCGCCCGGCTAAAAGGCAAAAGATTCATATGATCTGGGCTGGGCGTGGTGGCTCATGCCTGTAATCCCAGCATTTTAGGAGGTCGAGATGGGCAGATCATGAGGTCAGGAGATCGAAACCATCCTGGCTAATGGTGAAACCCCATCTCTACTAAAAATACAAAAAATTAGCCGGGTGTGGTGGCGGGCACCTGTAGTCCCAGCTACTCGGGAGGCTGAGGCAGGAGAATCGCTTGAACCTGGGAGGTGGAGCTTGCAGTGAGCAGAGATCGTGCCACCGCCCTCCAGCCTGGGTGACAGAGCGAGACTCTGTCTTAAAAAAAAAATCTTTTACCTTTTACAATTACTGGTTCGATACTGTGCTTAAATATTCTGAACCAGTAGGGCCTCCAGCCTCTGCTGATGGCGCTGTGTGTGGGTTGTGGCTGCATTTGGAATTCAGGTAGTTTTTACAATTTGGACTTGGCTTTTACTTTTTGCTTGTACAAAGCCTCACGTTCAGCCAGGGCGGTGGACAGCTGGGGCCCTCGCCTGTCTTTCCTTAGTGTGCACCCAACCTTGCAGTCCACCAGGGACATCTGGCCACCTCTGAAGACCACCAAGGCTGTTCTATCTGTGAATGCAGAAAATCTGAGACAGGTCTCAGTTAATTTAGAAGGTTTATTTTGCCAAGGTTGAGGACATGCCCATGGCACAGCCTCAGGAGGTCCTGACAACATGTGCCTGAGGTGGTTGGGGCACAGCTTGGTTTTATACATTTTAGGGAGACATGAGACATCAATCAATATATGTAAGATGAACATAGCGGCTAGCTGCGGTGGCTCACGCCTGTAATCCCAGCACTTTGGGAGGCCAGCGGATCACCTGATGTCAGGAGTTCGAGACCAGCCTGGCCAACATGGTGAAACCCCCATCTCTACTAAAAATACTAAAATTAGCTGGGTGTGTTGGTGGGTGCCTGTAATCCCAGTTATTTGGGAAGCTGAGGGAGGAGAATCGCTTGAACCTGGGAGATGGAGGTTGCAGTGAGCCGAGATCACGCCACCGCACTCCAGCCTGGGTCAGAAAGCGACTCCGTCTCAAAAAAAAAAATTGGTTCAGTCTGGAAAGGCGGGACAATTTAAAGCAAAAGCCATCGGGGAGGGAGCTTCCTGGTCACAGATAGGTGATACACAAACGGTTACATTGTTTTGAGTTTCTGATTAGCCTTTTTTTTTTTTCTTTTCCTTTTTGATCAGTCTTGCTCTGTCGCCAGGCTGGAGTACAATGGCTTGATCTCGGCTCACTGCAACCTCCGCCTCCCAGGTTCAAGCGATTCTCCTGCCTCAGCCTCCCGAGTAGCTGGGACTACAGGGGCGCACCACCACACCTGGCTAATTTTGTATTTTCAGTAGAGACAGGGTTTCACCGTGTTGGCCAGGCTGGTCTCGAACTCCTGGTCTCAATGTGCGCCACCGCGCCCAGCCTTCTGATGAGCCTTTTCAAAGGAGTCAGTCAGATATCCATCTATCTCAGCGAGCAGAGGGTGACTCTGAATAGAGCGGGAGGCAGGTTTGCCCTGAGCAGCTTCCAGCCTGAGTTTTCCTTAGTGATTCCGGGGGCCCAAGAGATTTCACATGTTTTAGGTACTGAATGTCCTGGTTCAACTTCGGGCTTCGCTCTCAGATATGGAAAGCTCTGACAAAGCTGCTTTTTACATCTGTTGGGTCTCAAATGCCTTCAGTTTAAAATAACCTTCACATCCACTCTGGGGTTCCCAGTGGGTCCCCACAGCTCGAAATAACCCAAGGAGGGTCCACGGCGGGTAGGAAAGTCGATCGAAGGCTGGCGGCTGCGGAAACCCAGGGCGGGCAAGGAAGGTCCCTGGAGGGTGATTTTCCGCAACGCAGCGGCGGAAAGTGAGTGGCTTTCAGAGGCGGCAGGTGAGTGGGTTCGAGGCAGGGCTCTGGGGCCGCTTTAGGATATAACGGGATGAAGCCCCCAATGCGAACTTGGGGGCTGGGCAGCGCAGGGCCTCAGCGCCCACGGTCTACCCGCGGCCCGGGCCTTATGTGCGCCTCAGCGAGGCCCAATTTCCACATGCCTCGTTTCCAGCGAGCTGTCGGTGAGTCCCGGCGAGCCCCGACCCCTCTCTAGCCACGGCCTGACGGGTACGGTGGTGACCTCAGCCTCTGACCTCCGACCCCGCGCCGCGACCTCTCGTCGCCGGTCCCCTCGGAGCCGGGCGCGGTTTCCGGGGAACGCGTTTCCCGCCGCACCGTGGGCCGCCCGGACCGCGCAGGACCGGGCACCTTCCGGTGGCGGCGCGGAGCCTTGGGCCCGGCTGCGGCCCGGCGGCGGCCCCGGCGCGGTGCGGGCGTTCGCGGCGCCCCGGGAGCTGCAGGGGCCCCGGGCGGCGGCGAGGCCGGAGAGGGGCGGGCCCGGGACACCGGCACCCGGCGCCCTCGGAGCCAAAGGCGCGCGGCGGACACGGCGGGGCCCTCGCGCGGTGAGGACGCGGAGGCGTGTGGGCTCCTGTCACTTCACACAGCAAACGCTGCCCGCCGCGTGGCTCCGGAGGAGTCTCGCGAGGGGCGCCCCTGTGGCGTTTCGGGCCAGCCGGGCCGCCTGGCCGGGTGCGGAGAAGGAAGCTCTGCCCTTCCCCTGGCCCGGCGCGGAGCCGATTCTCCCGGGAAGGGGCCGGGGGTCCTAACTTCACCGCCGGGCGGCCTGCTCAGGGCCAGGCCCGCGGGGACGCTGGCGTCAAGGTTTCTTCCCCCTTCACGCCAGTCCCCTACCAGGCCGACATCGAGTCCCGCTCCCCAGGGAGGGTCAAGTCCCAGGGGTCCAGCGGCTCCCCCGAGGTCCGCTAGGAGGTGGCGGCACTGGAGTGGCCGTTCTCCAGCCTGCACCGACCCCCGCCTTTAGTGCCCCCGCGTGTGACCCAACGGTGGTACTGGAGCGGCCTTAGAAGGGTGACCGCTGCCTCTGAGTTGAGTCTTAAGCCCCTCGTTGGGCCTGGCTGAACCCCGGGTCTGCGCCTTTCCCCCAGCCTGGAGACGATGCCAAAGCTGCAGGGCTTCGAGTTCTGGAGCCGCACCCTGCGAGGGGCCCGCCACGTCGTGGCCCCCATGGTGGACCAGAGCGAGCTGGCCTGGAGGCTGCTGAGCCGGCGCCACGGGGCACAGCTCTGCTACACGCCCATGCTGCATGCCCAGGTCTTTGTCCGCGACGCCAACTACCGGAAGGAGAACCTGTACTGCGAGGTGTGCCCCGAGGACCGGCCCCTCATCGTGCAGGTGCGCAGGAGGGGCTGTGGCCGCGGCCGCGGTTGGGTTCCCGGTCCTGGAATGCCTGGGGAAAAACCCTTCTCTCTGTGGCGGGACATCACTTTCAGCCTTTCCAGAGACAGCTCAATTCCAGGAGGAGAGGGAGAAGGTGGCACCAGGCATGTAGAGTCCACGTAGCCACAGCAGTGATTCCTGTGGTGGAGCCAGGGCTGCCAGGTGCACCTGCCAGAATCCAACCCCATTCTCTAGGAGTGGCTCAGGCAGCCTGGGTGCTGTGAGGTTTGCAGCCCTGCTGGGGCCTCTGGATTGCTGCCTCTCACACTCACACTCCCTCTTCAGAACCAGTGGAGATGGCTCTGCTCTTCAGAAGTCAGTGATTGTGGCTTCTGCCACAGTTCAGAAGAAAATCTGTAAATCCGGGTGGCTTGGGGACTCCTCCCGGCTTTGTCATATTGTAAGCCTCCGCAGGACAGAGCACCCTCCTGCAGTGAACCTGGGCCCACACCCTCATGGGGTCACACTGGACCTCTCGTAGGGCTGGGCAGCAAGGGACTAGGGCCTGGCTGGGCCCGTGGCTGACTCCTGCATCTTCTCCAGTTCTGTGCCAATGACCCGGAGGTGTTTGTTCAGGCGGCTCTCCTGGCTCAGGATTACTGTGACGCCATTGACCTGAACTTGGGCTGCCCACAGATGATAGCCAAGAGAGGTGAGCTCCATGTGGAGCATGGGGGCACCTGGGGCAGGGGCCAGAGCCAGCTCAGTGCAGCCCCAGGTGTGGTGAGCTTGGAGGACGGCAGGCCCTGCCTCTGTCGTGACAGTGGCTCAGGCTGGAGCCAGCTGTCCTCTGTGCTCCGCCTCTGGAGGGTGGCTGTCCTCAGGCCTTGGGGGCTAGGGGCCGAGCCCTACTGGCTCTCTCTTCCCTCAGGGAGCTCCCTCTGCATAAACATGATTGCTGATACAGGGTCCCCATTACCCCCTTGCACTGCTGTGTGTGGGGCTGAGCCTGCTACCTCACCGGGCCCCTGAGGAGGTGTTACTTGGTTCCAGACCGTGCAGGGTGGGGGTTCCATTCAGCACCTTCTGAGCTTAGGCAGCTGGGCAAATAGAGCCCCTGAGTCTGATGCCGACAAACCACTGCTCTGACTGTCCCACTGCCCCAACTGGAGACACTGCTGGTTCTGGGGACCTGTGTCCCGCCTGACAGGGCAGCTCCTGGCCTGCGTGGATGCAGGAAAGGGTGCAGAGGGGGTGCAAGGCTTCGGCCCCACCAGCCTTAACACAGGTGCCAGCCAGGCCATGCTTGCTCCTTGCAGGTCACTATGGCGCCTTTCTGCAGGACGAGTGGGACCTGCTCCAAAGAATGAGTGAGTTGGCTGGGTGGATGGTGAAGGACCCCCAGAGACCCTCAAGAGGGACACATGGGCACTGTCCACTTGGTTGGGGCTCAGGAGAGGACAGGCGTTGGCAGGAGTTCTCAGCATCACCCTGGGGCTTCCTGCCCACAGCAGCCTCTCTGCTGGAAGGAGGTGGCTGTGAAGTTGCCTGTCCTGCACCACCCACCCCTTAAAACCAGACAGTAGGTGCCAGGGCAGAGTCCTTGCTCGGGCCCAGCCCCAGATGTCCTGGGAGACAGAGCCGGCCTTGGCCCTGCTTGTTTGAACTTCGGAGGGCCGGGGGTATGGCGGAGGGAGCCTGCCCAGCAACCTGAGGGAGACACCCAGATGGTGGCCCGGGCTGCCTCCCAGCCTCCCGGCAAAGCTGCCTGGGCTCCGCTGTCTGCAGGGCCCTGGGCTCTGGGGCTTGGCCGCTAAAGTGGGAACACCATGGCCCCCTCAGAAGCTGCCTCTCTTCTCCCCAGTTTTGCTGGCCCACGAGAAACTCTCTGTTCCTGTCACGTGCAAAATCCGTGTCTTCCCGGAGATTGACAAGACCGTGAGGTACGCCCAGATGCTGGAGAAGGCCGGCTGCCAGGTGAGCCCTGGGCTCGCGGGGGTGTCATGGGCCTCAGCTGGGCCTTTGCGCAGAGGACATAGCTGAGGCTCTTCCTGTGTCCAGACACCGTGCACCGTCGGCCTCATGGGGGCAGTGGCCCTCCTGACTGGCCTGTCCCCACTGGCTCTGAGTGCCACCACCCCAAGCCCAGGCCTCTACAACAGAAACTGCTTTCCTGGCTCCAGGGTTTTGTCCCTGTGGAGAGAGTAATGTCGGCATCTCTGACATATTCCTAGTGTCACAGAGGCCGGCAGGGCCTCCTTTGGGGATACTCAGCATCCAGTCTCCCTAGAGGGTGAGGAAGGGGCCACCAGGCTGTCAGCAGAGCTGCTCCCCTGCCCGTGTTCCCCGCACACTGAGCCTGGCCTGGCGCGGGCCTGGATGGGCTGCTGTCTCCGGGGGTGCCCCTCAAGACACTCACCTTCTGAAGGTGGACAGCAACCTTGGTGACCCGGGGATGAGCTTGCACAGGGGCTGCCAGGCCCAGGACCCACTTTCCCCCCCAGTGCCCCACTAGCCTGGAGTCAGTCCCTCCCACACCTTTGGCCTTGGGCAGTGGGGATGCTGCCACTTCCCGGCCTGGCTCTTGCATGGGCCTGGGCAGCACATGCAGCCTGAGGTTCCCACAGAGTGCAGAGGCCTTGGGGTAGGCCCCAGATGGCCATTCCTCAGCCCTGCTTCAGGAGCTGATATGGTGAGGGAAAGGTCCCTGCAGTCGGGCATGGGGCACAGGGCTGGGAGGGGCAGAGGGGGCTCGGAGGGGTGGAGTAGGGGCAGAGGGGGCGTGGAGGGGCGGAGGGGGCTCTGAGGGGCGGAAGGGGCTTGGAGGGGTCAAGCGACCACTGCTCTGTCCTAGTTGCTGACGGTGCACGGACGCACCAAGGAGCAGAAGGGGCCCCTGTCGGGTGCAGCGTCCTGGGAGCATATCAAGGCTGTGCGGTGAGTGGGTGTGGGTGACACAGCCCTCAGTCCTTGGGGCTTTGCTGGGGGTCCCAGCTCCACACCTCAGGGTGCTCGGCACGCCTGACGCCCGTGACCACCCAGGGGGCCGTGGCTGGGGGCAGCATCACCTGGGTGCTGTTCCGGGCGGGTGGAAACAGGCATTTCTCTGCCAACAGGAAGGCTGTGGCCATCCCTGTGTTTGCTAACGGGAACATCCAGTGCCTGCAGGACGTGGAGCGCTGCCTCCGGGACACGGGTGTGCAGGGCGTCATGAGCGCAGGTGGGCAGGGCCCAGGACAGCAGCCAGGGCCCCATGCACACGGCCTGATACCACCGCCCAGGTCGGTGCCTCCCACTGCCTACTGCCCTCCCCATGGTGCTGTTCACAGATGGTGTTCATCAATCCCAGTCTGCTCTGATGGGCCTGAGCTGGCCTTGTCCCTTGTGAGGTGGCACAGAAGGGTGTCCTGAGTGTCCCAGGCTTTCCTGTGCCGTCCACCTGGAGCAACCCACGAGGTGTCCTTCCCCGCTCCTCCTCCCACAGAGGGCAACCTGCACAACCCCGCCCTGTTCGAGGGCCGGAGCCCTGCCGTGTGGGAGCTGGCCGAGGAGTATCTGGACATCGTGCGGGAGCACCCCTGCCCCCTGTCCTACGTCCGGGCCCACCTCTTCAAGCTGTGGCACCACACGTGAGTTGCCCCCTAAGGCAGAAGCCACGTTGGAGGGCCGCCCAGGCAGATTCCGTCAGACCCCACCTGGGGCATTTTGCAGGTTTTGTCAAAACAACTTGCTGCTAAGTCAGGTCTTGAGGGGCTGGGGTGACTTAGGAGTGGAGTTGGGCAGGAAGAGACACAGGTCCCCGTGTGCCCAGTGCTCAGCCTGGGGCCTGACGGTGGAGCCGGGAGCCCAGCCTGCGTGACAGGGCCTCTGTCTCAGGCTGCAGGTGCACCAGGAGCTGCGAGAGGAGCTGGCCAAGGTGAAGACCCTGGAGGGCATCGCTGCTGTGAGCCAGGAGCTGAAGCTGCGGTGTCAGGCAGGTGCTGGGGCTGGTGGGAGCCCGGCCTTGCAGGGGGTGAGGGGCTGGGGCCATGACCAGGGCCTTGGGCTTTTGCAGGAGGAGATATCCAGGCAGGAGGGAGCGAAGCCCACCGGCGACTTGCCCTTCCACTGGATCTGCCAGCCCTACATCCGGCCGGGGTGAGAGCCCAGCCAGCCCTGGGCGGGGATGTGCACCAAGGTGTGGGCTCCACCCTGTGCCCACAGTGCTGCGCCTGCCCTGCTTGTCCTCAGCCATTATGGTCAGTCATCTCCTGCCCAAGGGAAAGGAGGAGGGAGGCCTCGGCTCCGAGCAGCACACACCTTCCACGTGCCCCTCGGTGTCCTTGGTGGAGGATGCTGGTGGCTCAGCTGTGTCCTCCCTCAGTGGACGCTCGGATTTTAAATCTTTTCTTCCATAACATACTTCTCTGAGCTCCTCTGATCCTGGTGGATTTGCCCGTGGGTCAAGAGGTTGACCCCAGCTTCTGCTGGGTTCTCAGAGGTGAGGCCATCCGTGGCCACAGCCCTCCCTGGAGCTGGTGGTTCAGAGCTTGGGGCTGCCCGAGCTGCGGACTCCATCTCAGAGGCCCCGGACTCCCTAGTGACGAGTCCTGAATGGGCTGCCCGAGGGAAAGGAGGGCACTCCTCACAGCAGCGGCACTCGCCACGGCCGCCTGGCCCCTCACCCAGACTCAGACCCGTGTGGCTGTGGCTGCTGGGCCCCTCTCACAGTGTCCTTGGGCTCTGCCCGCTGCCCTCCCCTCAGGCCCAGGGAGGGGAGCAAGGAGAAGGCAGGTGCGCGCAGCAAGCGGGCCCTGGAGGAAGAGGAGGGTGGCACGGAGGTCCTGTCCAAGAACAAGCAAAAGAAGCAGCTGAGGAACCCCCACAAGACCTTCGACCCCTCTCTGAAGCGTAAGTGCTGCTTCCGCTGATGGGCCCGAGAGAGCCTCTTCATCACCCCCATCCTCCCTGTTGCCAGTAACAGGAACCCAGACTTGTGGTCAGCAAGGCTCAAGGCCCAGAGCTGGAAGCAGACACCTGGAGGGCTTGGCGGAGTAGTCAGCCAGACTTGGGGTCAGAACGGGGACCCTGTGCAGGCCACAGCCCGTGCATGTGGGACATGGGCTCAGTGAATCAGATGAGGCTATGGGACAAGCTTTTCAGCCAGGTGAAGCTCGTCTACAGCTCAGGGCCTCGGGTCCCTGCGGCTGCCCCTGCCCAGCCTCACACAGGACACCTGAGCAGCTGCTGAGAGGGAGGCTGGGGTCCCCGGGAGTGTGTGCATGGGTCTTGTTGCTGGGCCAAAGGCACGGGACGAGGCTGCTCGCCCCTCTCTTAGCCACCAGTGGCAAGGCCTCAGCCTAGTGCTGTCTCCCCTGAGACCCCTGGTCGCCGCCGTATCCTGGGCCAGCCCATCTGGGCCCTCAACAGGTGGCAGCCTCCCAGATCTCTGACAACTTTACAAGCTGCAGGGGAGACCAGCGATAACCCTGAAACCTTCCCATGTAACCCCCAGGGCGCTGGCCAGTCCAAGAGCAGCTGCCACATCAGGCTGGTGCCAGCAGTCCCTGCCTGCCACACTGCCCCCCACCAGGCCACTGAATGAGGCAGCTGGGAGAGGCAGGAAGTGGGGCTTCAGGCTGAATTCTTGATTTGACCCTTCTTGGCCCTTTTGCTTGGGAGACCTGGAACTGAAGGGCATGGAACCCCCCTTGGACCCTGTGGGCAGGAAAACTGCTCCCCTTGTCCCTGCCTGGGGGTAGGACAGATAAGGCTGCTCGTCCTGCGGCGGCCCCCCAGCCCACCTGCTTCCTATCCGTTTCCTGCAGGATGGTGCCCCCTGCATCCCCTCACCCATTGCTCACGGAAGGAAAAGCAGACGTGGCCAGCCTGCATCCTCTGCCCTCCCTGAGCCTCCTGGCCTGGCTGGCCACAGCTGGCATGGACGCCATCAGCAGGCTCCGTGCAGGCGGACGGGGCAGCCCCCACAGCCAGGGCACCCTGGCCCTCACTCACCAGCACCCTTTTGTTCTTTTCCTAGCAAAATATGCAAAGTGTGACCAGTGTGGAAACCCAAAGGTGAGTGGGTTCCGGCTGCAAGCCACCAAGGCTTCAGCTTTGGGGGTGGGCAGGGTGGTCTCTGCACTGCTTGGGGTGGCAGGTCTGGTGCCCGCCCAGCTGGGTTTGCAACGTGGCTCAAGGTGGCATGGATGCCTCAGGACGGCCCCTTGCTTCCAGCCAAGCCCCTGCCCAGGCCTGGAGGGGAAGAGAGTCTGGGTGGGTGGGGGTGAGGGAGAGGCATCTGGCTTGGGAGCAGTTCCCAGGGCTGCATCCAGGCCGTGGGCATCTGGCAGAGGCTTCCCCAGTGGGGCTGCTCCCCTGCTGGCCAGCCTGGCCCCGGGAGTGGTGCTGGCCACAGGCTCCCGAGATTTCCTGTGCCCAGGGCAACAGATGTGTGTTCAGCCTGTGCCGCGGCTGCTGCAAGAAGCGAGCCTCCAAAGAGACTGCAGACTGCCCAGGTGAGGGCGCCTACCACCCGCCCCGCAGCAGGCAAACAGACCCCCTCCGCCTCCTGACCCCCGACTCCTCTCACTCGCTCTGCCAGGTCACGGATTGCTTTTTAAAACCAAATTGGAGAAGTCTCTGGCCTGGAAAGAGGCCCAGCCTGAGCTGCAGGAGCCTCAGCCAGCAGCACCTGGAACACCAGGTGGCTTCTCCGAAGTCATGGGCAGTGCCCTGGCCTGAAGGCCCACAACCCCCACCCCCAGGACTGCTGCTGGAGCCTGGACACGTCCTACTTAAGAAAATGCCTTTTACTCAGGGAATCTCCTGCTACTTAATGTGGAAAGACACGCCCATGTCCCCCTTCGGCCCACTCTGGGGGCCTGGAAATGCTGCAGTGGGGAGCAGGCCCCAGGCTGGACCTGCCCTGTCCTCAGCACGCGTGTGCAAAAGTGAACAATAAATCATTTCAAAGATGCGAGAGCCCACAGCCTGTGACCACTGCCCTCTCAGACCCAGGGAGGCATGAGCCGGGGCAGGTGCGGTTGGGGCCAGTGGGGGCTTCTGAACAACAGGATACATCTAAATGAAGGCAGCATCTGGGTAGACAAAAGTGGGGGCTTAGGTCCCCTCCCCACCTCCCCTAGGCGCCTCCATAGGCAAGTGGCCAAAGCCTCCGGGAGCTTCGTGATGCCTCACAGCCTTGGAAGCACCGCCTGCGAGGCCACAGTGGCTGCTGCTGGGGGCTGTTGAATCTGAGGGCCAGGCTTCTCATTTCTCTCACCAGGCCCTGCCTCCAAGCCTAGTCCCAGGGAGACAGCCCTCAGGAACCCAAGGCCACCCAGGGGTGACCAGAGCCTGCACGGCAGGAAAGAACAGCCAAGAGCAACGCTGAGTCTGCTCTTTAATGGACACCGCCCACTTGTCTGCACCTGACTGAGGCGGGAACAGGAGGGGTCTGGGAAATGGTGCCACTGGGCCTGGGTGCCGCACAGTCTGCTCCCTGGGGACAGAAACCCACAGGGTCGAGCCCTGCAGGCCTCTCCTTCCAGGAAGGGCCACAACTAGCAGCCGCCTGCCTCCTCAGCCCCAGGGAGGGCACACAGGCTGGGTGGCACCCAGTGGCCAGGCCCCTTAGCTGGGCCGCAGGCAGCACTGAGCCGCCTGGAGGTCCGAGGTCCGTGGAGGTGGGGAGGGGGTGCAGATGTCCTGGAGGCCAAGGTTCACCCCTCACATGTTGGTGCTCATCCGGGACTGGCTGTTGGCTGGAGTCAGCTCCCCCTGGCTCCCTTCTCTGGGCGGGGACTGCAGGGGAGACAAGGAGCAGCTCACAGCCACCAGGCCCCACACGCCGTGCGCCTGCCCCCCCTCAAGCCAGCCCACCTTGACATGGATCTGGTTGCGGAGCACAGCTGCCCGCAGCATCATGGCCTTGGCGCGGCGCTGGAACTCCTTGCCCATCAACAGAGACTTCTCAAAGGTGGTGCTGCGCTGATCCACGTCCCGGGCGTATAGGATCTGTGCAGGCACAAGCTCAGCGGGGCCCAGGCTCACCCCCAGCTGCCCCCACCGCCCCGCAGCCCACAGCCACCTTGCTGTGTGAGTCCACACGGGCACTGATCAGCCCCTCCAGGATTAGCTGCGTCAGCTCGTCCTCCAGGGCGGCCACCGTGGTATTGAAGGCTGCCGCCATCCTATGCATGTCGGCTGACACGTAGGGGCTGAAATACTGCAGGGCAGAGGGAAGTCAGCTCCACAGCCCCCTGCATGCCCGCCTGCCGTGTGCCAGCCTGACCCCCACGCTTACCTGGATGAGGGCACGGTTGCGAATCTGGGTGTACAGGGTCCTGACATGGGGGGCCAGATACATGTCCAGGAGCAGGTTGTCCTGGGGAAGGGGCTGGTCAGGACCAGGACAGGAGGCCAGGCAGGGCCCCACCTCACCCCTACCCCAGGCGGGGCCCACCTTCATCTCGTCCAGCATCTTGAGACATGAGGCGTACTTGGACTCGTAGAATTTGAAGATGATGTCTCGGACCTGTGGCTCCAGCTCCAAGAACAACTTGAAGGAGCTGGTGAGGCAGACCCCTCAGAACTCTGTCCTCTGCCTGCCCCTCCCTCCAAGTGGCCAGTGGGACACCAGTCCCCAGACAAACACCTGAGAAAACGCTGGGGCCAGGGGGCCAGGACATGCAAGGCCGAAGCAGCAGCCACGGAGAGGGACGGGGACAGCCTTCAGGGCTGCAGGACCGGGGCACCTACCTGCTGGAGATGACATTGCGCTGCAGCTCCTGCCGGTCAAAGGTAGCCAAGGCGCACAGGCCACCGTAGATGGCCACGTTGCTGGGGGACAGCAGCTGAGGAGCAGAGACCTGGCGTCACAGGCAGTGAAGGGCCAGGCCACCCCTGCCTGCCCATCACCCGCTCGGAGAATGCCTAAGACCCCATTTGTGAGAGACCTCACCCTCCTACAGAAGCAGCCTGACCCATGAGCCCATGCTCTGCCTCCCAAGTCCCCAGAGGGCTCCTCACCTCAGGGAAGTCACAGTGATCAAAGGAAGCCAGCAGGAGGCACTTGGCAGCCTGCTTGTACTTCCTGGCGGCCAGCTCTGCCAAGCCTAGTGGAAGGAGCCGGGGGCGGGGAGGGGGGAGAGGGGGTAAGACCCCAGAGCCTGGGGAAGCCGCTAACGCCTGGAAACCAGGGAGAACGCGACCACCAGCCGGCTCGCTGGCCTCTCCTGCCCCGGGAGCTGTTCCTCAGCGCTGGGGACAGATACTCTAGTCACGGGTGGAAAGAGCCCCACCAATGCTGAGGAGGCTCCCTGAAGCCAGGCATGCAGGGAAGCCCTAGGTGCTAGCAGGGCTGCAAAGGACACCCCAGTTCAGAGCAGCTCGGGCTGGCAGACCTGCCTCACGCCCACAGTGACAGCAGCCAGACCCTGACCACACGTCACCCACTGGCTTCCCCGGGGCAGACTTTAGGCACCACCTACACCTGTACATGTGCCCACAACATCCTGCGCCCTGCCAGGGAAGTTTTCCCTGGCTGAGGCAGGGACCAGCCTACTGCCCTGGGCTGGGAGGACTTAGCAACAGGGGAACGTGGGGTCAGCTGGGCGTGACCCAGGCCCTCACCTGCGGCACACTTGAGCTTGGTGAGGATGGCCTGGGTCTGGCTGTCACGCTCTCCTCGCTGCTGTAGGAGGAAGCCACATGCGTGAGGCCCATGCTCCACATTTCCTAGAGCTCGATGCCCAGCCCCCAGACTGAGAGGGGATGAAGGCAGATTCAGATCTGGGGGAGAATGAGGTGGGGGAGGACAGGAGGGGCCAGCAGTGGTCAGGAATCCTGGGGGCAAGGTCTCTGAGGAGGTGGCCCGTACCTCGGCAATCTCTGGGGTGGACTCAGCCTTGCTGACGTAGCTGAGCACATGAGACCAATTCTGCAAGTAGACGCTGACCTGGCGGGGGGGCGCAGAGCCAAGTGAGCCCGGGCGCCCCAATGGCCCAGCCATGCTGCCCACCCCCGCCCGCCGAGGCAGGCCGACCTTGATGACATTGAGGCACATGTTGATGACGTGTTTGGCGCTGGTGCAGTAGTCCCGGGCCCGGGAATAGCACTTGAGGGCGTTGCTGAGGTCCCCACAGTCCAGGTAGTGGTCGCCCAGGTCGTCGTGGCCGCGCCGGATGCTCTCTTTGATGGAGTTGCCCTTGTAGTTCTTCAGGTCTGTGTCCAGCTTCTCCAGCTTCAGCAGCGCCTTCTTCCGCGTGGCCTCCACCCAGGCCGTGTCCAGGGCTGGGGGCTCCACGCCGCTCTCAGGGATGGCGTCGGGTGCGTTCTGCAGCTCCCTGAGAGAGGACCTGGCCATCAGGATGGCGGCGGTCACGGGGGCCAGGGAGGAGGGGAGGAAGCCGCCAATCTCAGGCTGCCCTCAAAGGCCCAACCGGCACACAGGTGGGCACCTCCCGCTGGCCTCAAACCCCACCTCTAGGGACCAGTCTGCACCAGGGCCACAGAGAGAACTGCTGCCCCAGGAGCCTACAGCCGGGTGGGGAAACCAGCAGGGAGGCGGCCCCTGAGCCACAGTCTCCAACAGCTCCCCTTGGAATCAAAGCCCTGCATGCACACACACAGAAGCCACACACACACAGGGCACTTCCACTGCTGGCCAAAAGAGAGCGAGAGCTCTACCCGCCCGACTTCCCAGCACAGGGGTGGGAGATGCAGGGCACAGGAAGGGGGCCCAGTCCCAGACACCCGCGCTCCCTTGGTGGCCTCTGCTTCCTCTCGCCAAGCCCCTGGCCTCACCTGGTGGCCTCTGAGAGCTTGCGGTGGATCTCCTCGTACATGTCCACGTTAAAGGTTCTCTGCACGAAGGAGAGGGCCATCTTCAGGGCCTCCACCCGCAGCGTGGGGCAGTGATCAGCAATGAACTGCAGCCGTTCGATGCGCATCAGGCCGCTGTAGCTGGCCGCGTACTGTTCCAGATCCTGGGAGCAGGCACAGACAAGAGTCAGGCAGGATGGGAGGCAGGACCCTGGCCCCAGGCCCTGAGGGTCAGGAGTTGGGGCCTGACTGTCCTAGCCAGAATGTCGCCCTGGGCCCATAACCAGAACCGGGCATGGGGGTACGAGACTGACTGCTGTCCCAGGAGCTACGAAGACCGCTGGGGTGGGCCTGGCGCAGGAGCCTCAGGAGTGGGACCCTGCACCCGGGGGCTTTCGGGGATAGACACCCACTAGTGACTGCTGGTCGCTAGGCTGAGCGGGGAGGAGACCTGCCCTGGCTTCTCCATGAGCAGCATCTGAAGCTGAGCTACAAGCCTCATGTGAGTGCGCAATCAGAAACGCTGATGGTTTCGGGGTCAGAAAAAGACGACAGCGATCACTGAGGAGGATCATTCTACCTGCTGTGCAGGCTGCAGCGGGGAGTGTGCCCTGGACCCCTCAGCAGGACTGAGACACCCAAGGTCCCCCCACTGGGCTCCGTACCAGGCTGGGGTTCTCCACCACGTAGTTGACGTCAGGTGCATTCTGCGGGTCTTCCTGGGGGTCCACGTCGATCTGCATGGGCTCCACGGCCCCCTGCAACATGGGCCAGGCACCTGGCACCTCGTCCTGGGGACTGCCCCAGGAGGGCGAGAGACCCGCACTGTTCTCTGAGGTCAGCTCTGCCCAAGATCTTCCAGGCCAGTCGGACCACACTCCCGCCGCTGCTGTCCCCCAGGTGTGCCCTCCCAGTCACCCCCGCCCCCACCCAGGCTCCTGTGCCACCACATCAGGGAGGGGTCTCCTCACAAGACTCTAAGGCTCAGAAGCAGAAACCCCTCGCCTGATTCTAGCCGCTCATCTCTGAAAGCCAGAAAGCAGACAGGGGACAACCAACTACACAGGGGCCTCTGAGGGCCCCTACACGTTCCCAGCCACCATCCTGATGTAGTTTCCTCCAAGCCACGGAGAAGAACGGGACGCCACCTCAACCCCAGGAGGCAGGAGGACCAGCCCCCGGAATCTGTCCTGAGCAGCGGAGCAGCAATACTGGGCTGAGAGTCACGCCACGGAGTTGGGAGAAGGGGAAAAGAGTCATCTCAGGGAGCCTCATGGCCCCCAGCTGGGAGACACAGAGAAGCCAGGACCTCGGCTTAACACAAAGCAGGCTGGAAAAGCCGCCATGCCGGGCACTCGCCGGACCCGTGGGCCTCCCGCGCTCCTTCGGGAAAAGCACCAAGAGCTCGGCTCCCTCCGCAGGCCCCGGGCCCACCGGGGCTCCCTCCCCTCCTGCGCTTGGCACTGAGTCCCTGTCCTCGGCCAGCAGAGCAGCAGGGGCCCAGCCACAGCAGGGGCGGCCGGGGCCCTGCTCCCCCCTCCCTCGCTCGGGGGTCCCTGTCCTGGAAGGTACCTCGTAGAGCAGCGTACAGGCCGACAGGCTGGCGCTCAGGCTGAAGTCCCCGGCCGTGCCGGGCAGGACGAGGTCTGACCTACTGCTGTGAGGGGTGCAGTACAGATCTGTCACTGACGAGGAGGCCGAGCTGGGGGCCGAGCTATCCCTCATTCTGTCCTGACTTTCTGCACCCCCCGACCCTGACACAGAGCTGGCTGGCTGCTGAAGGGAGAAAGAGCGTTAGCGTCGGGGCGGCCGGGAACCTCTCCCGTGAGCTGCTGGGAGGGGAGGCGGGGCGGGCGCGGCCCGGCGGCCCCCGATCGCAGCGCGCAGCCACGGCGGAGACGCGCCCTCGGCCCTGCAGCCCCCGACGCGCGCTGCCCGCGGAGGCCCGGCACGGAGCGTGCCCGACCGACTCCTGGCGCAGGCCCCGCGCCCCTGCTCGACCTCAGCCCGGCCCCAGTGGCGGGGGGCGCGGGGGCGCGGAGGCCCGGGGCGGCCTCGGCTCGTTACCTGCAAGTTAAACACCTGAACCGGCAGCGGCATCTTGCACCCACCCCGCCGCGGCGTGCCGTCCACTTCCGGGGCAGCGAAGCCGTCGCTTCCGGGGCGCGGGGCGGGGCGGGGCCGCTGCGTTCTTAAAGGGGCCGCCGCCCACCCACGGCTCCGGCCAGGTTCTCCGCTCGCAGCGCCGGGGGTCCCGGCGGCCGCATGAGCCGCGCGCGTGGGGCGCTGTGCCGGGCCTGCCTCGCGCTGGCCGCGGCCCTGGCCGCGCTGCTGTTACTGCCGCTGCCGCTGCCCCGCGCGCCCGCCCCGGCCCGGACCCCCGCCCCGGCCCCGCGCGCGCCCCCGTCCCGGCCCGCTGCCCCCAGCCTGCGGCCTGACGACGTCTTCATCGCCGTCAAGACCACCCGGAAGAACCACGGGCCGCGCCTGCGGCTGCTGCTGCGCACCTGGATCTCCCGGGCCCGCCAGCAGGTGCGCCGGACCCCGACCCCGACGGCGAGCCCCACGCCCACCCGCCCCGCCTCCCAGGGTCTAGGCCCGGCCCAGGCCCCCGGAGGCTCCGCGCGGGGCGGGTCGGTCTCCGGCCTGGGCAGCGCCCCAGAAGCCTCATAGATTGTTTCTCCCCCAGACGTTTATCTTCACCGACGGGGACGACCCTGAGCTCGAGCTCCAGGGCGGTGAGTGTCCCCCACTCCCCGGCGCCCGCGGGATCTGCCCCCCGAGCCTTTCTCGCTCCGAAGCCACGGCCCCTTCGCTGCTGTGGGTGCCTTTCTCTGCCCAGGCTCCCGAGGCCCGGGGAGGCCCCGACGCTGCCCAGGTCACGCGGCCTGCGGAGGGCCCACCCTGCCAGCCAAGCTCTGCTCCCCACCAGCCTCTCACACTAGCCGCTTCCCGGGGCGTGGGGCTAGTGCCACGTCCCCTGAAGAAGCGCCAGCAGGGAATCCGCCCTTCCAGGCCAGGTCAGGGCGAGCTGCCTCCGTCCTGTTTCCACTCAAGAGATCCCAACCGATGGCCGCCTGCTTCAGCCTCGGTGGCACCAGCAGGGTCAGCGCGTGAGGGCTAGGGCTGTGGTTGGACCCAGGCAAGGTGTCCAGGCATGTCAGACAGCCACGTTGTGCCCTGGCCCTTGGGGGCAGGTGGGGCACAGGCCTTACCCCAACCCCAGTGCCATCCTCTACGTGCGTGCTTCCCGTCTCTGATTCGCAGGCGACCGTGTCATCAACACCAACTGCTCGGCGGTGCGCACTCGTCAGGCCCTCTGCTGCAAGATGTCCGTGGAGTATGACAAGTTCATTGAGTCCGGGCGCAAGTACGCGGCGCTGACCCGACCCGCAGAGAGCTCAGAGCCAAGCTGGGTGGGGGCCTCCTGTCCAGCCATGCCAGGCCCTCGTGCCCAGGACTCCCCTCGCCCACAGGTGGTTTTGCCACGTGGATGATGACAATTATGTGAACGCCAGGAGCCTCCTGCACCTGCTCTCCAGCTTCTCACCCAGCCAGGACGTCTACCTGGGGCGGCCCAGCCTGGACCACCCCATTGAGGCCACCGAGAGGGTCCAGGGTGGCAGAACTGTGAGTGTCGGAGCAGACGCCATCGGAGCAGACGCCTTCCTTGACACCAGCCCGGGAGGCACAGCAGAGGGCGTGGAAAGCTGGCTTGAGAAGGGCATAGGGTTGGGGGCCCAAGCTGATCCACCCAGGTGGTTTGCATGTGGTGTTTCAGGAGCAGGCCAGGAGGCCCTCACCGTACTGGGCAGAGAGGGGGTGTCTGGGCCAGGTGGGGAGGGTCTGGAGGCTACGGGTCAATGGCCTGCAGAAGCCCCCGGCTCTTTTTGCTCCAAGAAGCTTCTGTTACCTGGGTGGGATCTCCTAAGGGGCAGCTTAAGAAAGATGCCTGGGGAGTCCCATGAAGAGTCAGGGGTGAGAAGCCCTGTCCTGGGCAGCTCTGACCACCACCCCATCTTCAGGTGACCACGGTCAAGTTCTGGTTTGCTACTGGTGGGGCCGGGTTCTGCCTCAGCAGAGGCCTTGCCCTCAAGATGAGCCCATGGGCCAGGTGAGTGGGGGTCCAGCTGCCCGGGCTGGGAGGCGGAGGCTGAGACCTGAAAGGTGCTGACCGGCCTCCCCCCAGCCTGGGCAGCTTCATGAGCACAGCTGAGCAGGTGCGGCTGCCGGATGACTGCACAGTTGGCTACATCGTGGAGGGGCTCCTGGGCGCCCGCCTGCTGCACAGCCCCCTCTTCCACTCTCACCTGGAGAACCTGCAGAGGCTGCCGCCCGACACCCTGCTCCAGCAGGTACAGGCGCCACTCTGGGTGCCTCTGCCACCTGGGCTTTGCCCCGCCCTGACTCCCCCAGGGGCCCCACTGCCCCGGCCCGATGCCCGGCTGAGCAGGCAGGTGGGATTTGCATGTGGCTGGGGGTGGACCCTGGACAGGCCCCTTGGCCTGTTGGACACAGGGTCCTCACGTACAGATGGGGTATGGTGTCTGGGGCAGAGGAACGAGGGGAGAAGCACAGTTCTCGGGCCAGTGAGGCCCCATGCCAGCTGGGCAGTGGGTGTGGTGTGTATGGTGATGGTGAGTCGGAACAGGTCCCATCACGTGGAGCAGGGAGGGAATGAGGGTCAGCTTTGCCCTGGAGGTTTCAGATCCCTATCTTCTGTCCCCCAGGCTCTGCCTGAGGTGTCCCCCTACTCAGCTCATGCCATGCTTCAATGCTGTTTCCAAGCCTGGCCTCCCCGAGGGCCTGGGGAGAGGGGGTGGGCAAAGGGGCTCTAGCAGGGCTCCTGGCCAGGGGCAGGCGTGGCCCGAGACCAGACCAGGCCACACACTCTGCCCACACCCTTCCCTCCCAGGTTACCTTGAGCCATGGGGGTCCTGAGAACCCACATAACGTGGTGAACGTGGCTGGAGGCTTCAGCCTGCATCAAGACCCCACACGGTGAGTAGGTAGTGGCATGGGCAGGCCCTCGGCCCCGCAGGGGCTCTGGCATCAGCTCCCTCTACCCACGGCCCTGACCCCCGCTGCTCCCTCCGCCCACGGCCCTGACCCCGGCTTCTCCCTGTACCCACGGCCCTGACCCCAGGTTCTCCCGCCGCCCACGGCCCTGGCCCCCGCTTCTCTCTCCGCCCACGGCCCTGACCCCTACTTCTTCCTTCCCCAGGTTTAAGTCTATCCATTGTCTTCTGTACCCAGACACGGACTGGTGTCCCAGGCAGAAACAGGGCGCCCCGACCTCTCGGTGACACCAACCACCCCGACCCAGGGCTGCCTGGCTCTGTCCCAGGCGCGGGGAACCAGAGCCCCCTATGGGCTCAGTGGGCTCCCTCAGGTGCCACGGCCACACCAGTGAGATGCAGGCACCTGGCAGACCCTCTGGCTAGCCTGCAGCCCCCCCTCTCCCAGCCCCTGGTGGGCTGCGGTGATGGGTGTTTTGGGAGAACGAAGACAGCCAGGCTGATGGCCAGGGCCGCAGTGCCCCTCCCCCCGACCCAGCCCCAAGGTTGATCCCACGGGAACAGGCTTCCACCCCAGCACTTGCGCACCTGGGAGGGAGCTGCCATCCGGGCTCCATTACCTGTTGCTGAAGGCGGGTGCTAGGCTGGCTGGGTGTCAAGGAGCAGGCTCCAGGCCAAGGTCCTGGCCCAGCCACGGCCATTGCAAGGGCTCAGCCTGGCAGGCTTTGTGGGGGACGCCGCCCTCTCTGCCGCAGGCTGGGTGCACGGCCGGGCACCACAGTGGGACTCAGGCCCGGGAAGGTCATGTTCTCGACCAGAGCTTTGCTCCCAGTCCAGGCGCCTCATTCGGAGGCCTCTTGACTGGGACCACAGAGATGTTTTCTCCGCTCTGACTTGTGGCTCAGGACTACTTTCTGGGTCGTGCTCCTGCCCCACTGTGCCTGGGCCCATAAACAACAGGAGCCTTTTGTTCCGCTGACCTGCCCATCCCAGCAGACCCACCTCCCCGCCTGGTGCCTTCCATGGAGGGAAATGGGACAGGGGCCGTCATCTCCCCTCTGCCTCCTGCTTTGCTGTTGCCGAGCACGAGTAAAGCTTTTGTTCTTACTTCACGTGGCTCCTGTCTTAGTCACCCACCGGCCCAGCTCTCCTCGGGTCCCTGCCATATCCCCCTTCTACCCCAGGAAGGCTCTGTCCCAGGCAGGGCTGTATCCTTGCCGTCCTGCCCACCCAGCCTTGAACCCACCAGACTCTTCTTTGGAAGCCAAAATCTCCAGCAGAGGTGGCGTGCGAGGGTCCCGCCGGGAGGGACGGACACTGGACGCTGCCCTGAGAGGCCGCCTTCCTGAGCATCGTGCTTGCCTCCTCCCGTGTGTTGTGTGGAGCCAGGTGCACGTGGGTGTGTATGAGGGTGGGTGTGCGTGGGCGTGTACACGAAGCTCAGTGGACACATTGAGAGTGGGTGTGTACGTGCATGTAGGTGAGTATCCACCCGTGTGTGCGTCTGTGTGCATCAGTGGGTGTGTGCGTGGCAGTGTCTGCGTGCGTGGGTGTGTGCACTTGTGCGTGGGTGTGTGGAGGGCAAAGAGGAGGCACCCACATAACGCGCGTGGAGTTCGCTGGTTTCTGTCTCATTTGTGCTCAGCCTGGAGTAGAAGGCACCCCAAGGAGACTTGAGGTTAATCATGACTGGGTCCTCAGCCAACAGCCCAGGCCCTTGGCTTTGTCCACTGCAGGCTCTGGGCTGGGAGAGGAATTCTGGGGCTCAGAACAAGTGTCGGGTGAATTTCAGCAAGTCTGAAACCTGCATTTCAACAGAAACGAAAGAAAAGCGAATTCTTGAAAATTGCTGCAGAACTGTAGACGTCCCCTGCGTCCCCTGCGTCCGCGGTGGGTCTGCCCGCGTGGCCTCGGGGCCTCACGCTGGCTCTCCCGGATGCACGGTCTGGGTGTTGCGCTTTTCTCTGACCTCATGTGGACCTCCCTCCCTCCTAAGCCTGCGCCACACGGTCCCGGCATCCTGGGAGTGGGGAACGTGGACTAGAGTGCGTTCACGCCACCAGAAAGGGTGTCTAGGGACAAAGTGTCCCCAGTGGGTTGTTTCCAGGGCATGAGGCTCTAGCAAATCTTGGTGCACACACGCTTTCCGGAAGAGTCCAGCTTGCAGGTCCTCTGAGAATATAATGTTGTATCCGTTTTACCTAAACTCCGTCAACACTAGTCTTAAAACCTAAAGCCTGTTACTGCTGTCTAACGGAAAGGAGATGATCATTCATGTTTAAGCCACACTCTAAGGTTGCATAGTGCCTGGTCCGGGAGGTCACCCTGTCTCATTTATCCTCCCCATTTTTTTTGGCCTAAGTTCAGGTCCACGAGGTCCTGAGGCTTTTCTCCTAAGTGACCAGTTACGCTGCTCCCTTTTGTATTGTTGGGTTATGTTTATAAACGTTTCAAACCAGCAGTTTTCCGCTTTGATTCAAATAACCATTCCCGGGCAGGACCAGTCCCAGGCTCGCTGTTCTGGGCAGAGCCCCTGGCCGTCCCAGGCCCAAGTCCCTGCTGGACCCAGTTGGCTCCAGCTGCAGAGAGTCAGTGTGGACAGGGGTGAGGAGGGAACCAGGGGCGGCCACCCCTCTGGAGGAAACAGGGCTTGGAGGAGCAGGGGGGCTCTAGGGGGCCGGCCTGGTAAGAAGCAGCCAGCCAAGGTCCCATAGGCAGGTGCTGTTAGGCCCGCAAGGCAGCGACGTGGTCACAGGCACAGGTCACGTGGGGTGTGTCATGGTACCTGATGAGACAGTGTCCACACTCAGTGGACACCTCCCTTCAGCCCTAGGAGTTTTGAACAACACAGGAAACCACCAGCTCCAACATGTCCAGAGAGCACCTCCCGACAGCAGCAGAACACATGCTCTCCTCGAGCGCACGAGAACTTTGTCCAGGAGAGGCCAGATGTTAGACCACAAATCAAGTCTCAGTGTGTTTTGAAAGATAGATACTAAACCCTGTCACAGTGGCACGAGCCTATAGTCCCAGCACTTTGGGAGGCCGAGGCGGGAGGATCACTTGAGCCCAGGAATTCCAGACCAGCCTGGGCAACATAGGGAGACCCCCATCTCTTAAACAGAATAAAATGTATTATACAAAGTTTCATCTCTGAGCCCACAGCAGAAGGAAATCTGGAAAAGTCACAAATTTGTGGAAATGTAACAACGCACTCTTAGCCAGTGGGTCAAGGAAGAAATCACAAAATACCTGGAGACAAATAAAAACAACTTAAAACTTAGGAGATACCATTTTGCTGAGGGAGATATTTACAGTCGCAAACGTTACATTAGAAAAGAGGCTACTCTGGGCCACGCTGCCTGTGGCATGGCCCTGCTCTGTGTGGAGCCGCTTAAAAATAACACTAAAATAGGCCGGGCACAGTGGCTCACGCCTGTAATCCCAGCACTTTGGGAGGCCGAGGCGGGCAGATCATGAGGTCAGGAGATCGAGAGCAGCCTGGCTAACACGGTGAAACCCCGTCTCTACTAAAAATACAAATTAGCCGGGCGTGGTGGGGGGCGCCTGTAGTCCCAGCTACTCAGGAGGCTGAGGCAGGAGAATGGCTTGAACCCGGCAGGTGGAGCTTGCAGTGAGCCGAGATCGCGCCACTGCGCTCCAGGCTGGGCGACAGAGCGAGACTCCGTCTCAAGAAAATTAAATAAAATAAATAATAAAAATTTAAAAAATAATAATACTAAAATGAGTATAAATGCTTGAGGGGGTGGACACCCCATAGTCCGTCATGTGTGTCTGTCACACTGCATGCCTGTATCGAAACATCTCAGGTACCCCATAAATATATATGCCTCCCATGTACCCACAAAAATTTTAAAAAATAATAAAATAATAATTAAAAGAAAAAAGAGGCTAGGCATGGTGGTTCATCCTTATAATCCCAGCACTTTGCAAGGCGGAGATAGGAGGATCACCTGAACCCAACCTGGGCAATTTAGCAAGACCTTATCTTTACAAAAAAAAAATTGATAATTAGGCACGGTGGTGTGCCCGTGTAATCCTAGCTACTCGGGAGGCTGAGGCAGGAGGATGGCTTGAGCCCAGGAAGTTGAGGCTACAGCAAGCTGTGATGGTGCCACTGCACTCCAGCCTTGTCAGTAATCAAAAAACTCCTGACAAGGAAAAGTCCTGGGCCTGATGGTTTCACTGGTACATTCTACCAAACATTTAAAGAAGAACTGGCCGGGTTTGGCCGGGCGTGGTGGCTCACTCCTGTAATCCCAGCACTTTGGGAGGCCGTGGCAGGCGGATCACAAGGTCAGGAGATCGAGACCATCCTGGCTAACACGGTGTAACCCCATCTCTACTAAAAATACAAAAAATTAGCTGGGCGAGGTGGCGGGCGCCTGTAGTCCCAGCTACTCAGGAGGCTGAGGCAGGAGAATGGCGTGAACCTGGGAGGCAGAGCTTGCAGTGAGCCAAGATCACGCCACTGCACTCCAGCCTGGGCAACAGAGCGAGACTCCGTCAAAAAAAAAAAAAAAAAAGAACTGGCCGGGTGCAGTGGCTCATGCCTGTAATCCCAGCACTTTGGGAGGCCAAGGCGGGCGTATCATCTTAGGTCAAGAGTTTGAGACCAGCCTGGCTAGGCATGGTGAAACCCTGTCTCTACTAAAAATACAAAAATTAGCAGGGCATCTGTAATCCCAGCTACTCAGGAGGCTGAGGCACGAGAGTCGCTTGAACCCGGGAGGTGGAGGTTGCAGCGAAGCAAGATTGCACTTTCACAGCAGGTGAAGGAAACGACGGGTGACAACAGAATGGCCAGGAAGGCCGTGGCTTGGAGTTCATTTTCCTACCCAGCACGTCCTCGCTATGCAGACGGCAAAACATGCGACCTCCCAAAGCCTGGGGTCTGAGCAATGAAGGACCTGCCTAGCCCATGCTGGGGGATCCACAGGCTTGGGCGCCCAGGCACAGGGCACATGGAGGTGGCGGGGAGGGCTCCTGGCTCTACTCCTGGGGCACCAAAGGCTCTGGGGGCAGGCTGAGTGTCTACACATGGCTTTCCATGGCCCTCAGAGGAGACCCTGTAGGAAACTTTCTCTGTAGCATCCGTGAGCTCAAATGCTCCTCCACGGCGGGGGGTGCTTATGGCAGGAAGGGCCTAGCACTGAGCCCACAGACACCCGCAGAGTCGATCATACCTCCCGGCCTTGGGCTCCCGGGGAAGCCTGAGCCCCATATCCTCCTCTCTGTAGGGACTACAGAGGCTCAGAAGGCCGGACGCGAACAGGAGGGCCCCACCCCCATCCGGTCGTCTTAGGAACAGTGGCCCCTGCTGTTGCCTCGCCACATGGGACCATCCTGAGAGCTGGAAGGACCGGCCAGCTGTCCCGTGGAAGATGGGAGCTGGGGGTTCTTAGGTCTTTTTGACCCCCTCATTGTCCAGAAGAATCAATATGGCCTTAGGGAGCCCTTGGCTTTCCTCCTGGAGCGGGAGCCTTTCCCCAGCCCCCACCTATGGTTGCTTTCCAGAGCTCAAGGCTCAGGCCCAGCTCCCAGCACCAGGTGCAAACCTGGCTCAGCCAGGAAGGCCAGCAGCCACCCAAGACCTGTAACCACGTTGGCCGCCTTCACCTGCTCTCCCCCAAGCTCAGCCTCATGGCCCAGCTTCAGGGAGCACCAGGGTCTGTCCCCTCCTGAGGGTGGCTCTCCTGCAGGAGGACTTGAGCCCAGGGACAGGGTCCTGGCCAACCCTGACTCCTAGCAGGGATCCTCACAGAGAGCAACATCGAAGCCGAAGCTGCTGATTTCCAGGGTCCTCTTTGCCACCATGGACCAGAGCGTGTGTGTCCGTGTGCGACTGTGTGTCTACACACATATTCACTTGTGCATGCCTGTGGGGGGTGTGGATACATATGTGTATACACGCATGTCTGTGGGCCTGTCAGCTGCAGTGCATGCACCCCCATGCTCAGGCCTGCATGTTCACATATGCTCCATGTGTGCACTTGTGTGGCTGCCTGGTCCATGCATTGCCATGTGTGCTCACGTGTGCATGCCCGTGTGTGCGTGTGTGTGTGTGTGTCCTGTGTGGCTGCTGTGCCATGGCATGCATGTGTCCCCGGGTGCACACACATGTCCCCGTGTGCATGCTCATGTGTGTCTACACCTGTGTGTGCCTGTGTCCCCGTGTGCATGCTGATGTGTGTGTCTACATCTGTGTGTGCCTGTGTCCCCATGTGCATGCTGATGTGTCTACACCCGTGTGTGTCTGTGTGTGTCCCCATGTGCATGCTCATGTGTGCCTACACCCGTGTATGCCTGTGTCCCCGTGTGAATGCTCATGTGTGTCTATGCCCATGTGTGCCTGTGTGTGTCCCTGTGTGTATGCCCAAGTGCTTGTGCTCACATTGGCATGTGCCTCTGCGTGTGTGCACACAGACATGAGGCCAGGAACAGGTGGCCTCTCCCTCCCAGGGTCCCCCGTGCTCTCTCTCAGTCATGCCTTCCTCCCACCTCTCCAGGAAGCCCCCTGTGCTCCCTCTGGCCCTGCCTGTGTGGTTCACATGCTACTGGCCTCCATTTAATGGTTTCACTGCAGCTGTGTCTCTGAGGGCTCAGTCTTTTTTTTTTTTTTTTTTTTTTGAGATGGCGTCTCGCTCTATCACCCAGGCTGGAGGGCAGTGGCGGGATCTCGGCTCGCTCCAAGCTCCGCCTCCCAGGTTCACGCCATTCTCCTGCCTCAGCCTCCCAAGTAGCTGGGACTACAGGCACCCACCAACAGGCCCAGCTAATTTTTTGTATTTTTAGTAGAGACGGGGTTTCACTGTGTTAGTCAGGATGGTCTCGATCTCCTGACCTCGTGATCCGCCCGCCTCGGCCTCCCAAAGTGCTGGGATTACAGGCATGAGCCACCGCGCCCAGCCTTATTTTAAAAAAATTTTTTTAAAACTTTTTATTTTTTATTTTTTTTTGAGACGGAGTTTCACTCTGGTCACCCAGGCTGGAGTGCAATGGTGCGATCTTGGCTCACTGCAACCTCCGCCTCCCAGGTTCAAATCATTCTCTTGACTCAGCTGCCTGAGTAGCTGGGATTACAGGCACGTGCCACCACATCCAGCTGATTTTTGTATTTTTAGTAGAGACGGAGTTTCACCACGCTGGCCAGGCTGGTCTCAAACTCCTCACCTCAGGTGATCCACTGGCCTTGGCCTCCTGAAGTGCCTTTGTTCTCCTTTTTGCCCTTTGAAGCATGTGATCTCTGTGACCTACTCCCTGTTCTTGCACCCCCTCCCCTTTCAAAATCCTTAATAAAAACCTGCTGGTTTTGCGGCTCAGGCGGGCATCAGGGTCCCACCGATATGTGATGTCGCCCTGGGAGGCCCAGCTGTAAAAGTCCTCTCTTTGTACTCTTTCTCTTCATTTCTCAGCCAGCCAACACTTATGGAAAATAGAAAGAACCTACATTGAAATACTGGGGGCTGGTTCCCCCGATATCTGGCGCGCCAACGTGGCTTTTCTTTTTCCTGAGTGCATGTGGGGACCCGCTTCCCTTTGGTAGTTGTGTAGAAACGTTCATCGGTCCGGTTCACAGAAATGCTTGTTCGACTCAAAAAAAAAAACCAAAACTGACTCATATGGTTTAGTAATAGACTGGGTACCAAAGGGCTATTTAAAAAACAATTGCTCCTGTGGCGGGAGGGAATGCCTGGAGGCTACTTGTTTTATTTCTTATTGGAAGAACGAGGATCATCATTTTACTTTGTATAGGAGGTTCAGCTCTTTCTTTCCCTTAAAATGGGAAAATAAGGACATTGTCCCCCGAGGGCTCGTGTGATACTCCCCATTCTGAGCTCAGAACACCCAGAACTTTGAAAATTGGCTCTTGCCACATCCAGACTGCGAGTATGGGAAGGGGAAACTTTTCTGTCTGTTGTCCCTGCTACCGCCCCTCGCGTCCGTGATTCTGAACCCCATGATAAATCTCCTTTGAACCCTTTTCCTCTTTTTGATGCCAGTCCTCTTTTATGGGACTCCAATTGGCATTACGATAATTTTTCTCAACCCAGGTATGCCACTCTACCTCTTCAGCATCCCCGGGCACCTCAAATTGCTTTTTTTTTTTTTTTTTTTTTTGAGACGGAGTCTCGCTCTGTCGCCCAGGCTGGAGTGCAGTGGTGCGATCTCGGCTCACTGCAAGCTCCGCCTCCCGGGTTCACGCCATTCTCCTGCCCCAGCCTCCCGAGTAGCTGGGACTACAGGCGCCCGCCACCACGCCCGGCTAATTTTTTGTACCTTTAGTAGAGACGGGGTTTCACCGTGTTAGTCAGGATGGTCTCGATCTCCTGACCTCGTGATCCACCCGCCTCAGCCTCCCAAAGTGCTGGGATTACAGGGGTGAGCTACCGCGCCCGGCCCTTCAAATTGCTTTTTGACAGCGGATAACATCGGGTGTGGCCACCACTGCTCCTCTCCCTCAGTATCAGTGTAGATTCAGACATTCTGCTTTGTTCACCTCCAATGTGACTATTCCTATAGAGTTGTGTTAAGCTTCGTTATATGCTGTTAGTGGGGAATATCAAAATTTGGACGAACAATCAAACTATCCAATGTATTAATTGTCATTTATATACTTGTGTTAACTCCCGTTTTGACTCTAGGAAAAGTGTAATGTTGGTTCGAGCTCGAGAAGGAATCTGGATACTGGTAACTTTACCCAGACCTTGGGAATCTTCCAAAGCTGGGCAAGAGGGCAGAGGGCTAGGGGCCAGGATCGGGCCCTCCAGGCAGTGGTTGGGAGGGCACAGGGCACAGGGTGGGGGTAGGGGATGCCGAGGGTGCTTCTGACCAGCCAGCAGGACTCACAGGGAGCAGGGCTTGAGCCACGGATAACAGGACCAGTGAGGCCTGGTCCACTCTCCTGGGGGCACGTGCAGGCCGCTGGAGGGGTCTAAGCAGATGGGCCTTCCAGGAAGGACAGGTTGAGGGGTGTCCTTCCCTTGGCTGCTGGCAGGCAGAAAGCAGGCTCCAAGGGTAGGGGCAGAAAGCAGAGTTTACAGGGCGGCCAAGGGGGGGTTGGACTGGCCGCAGTGCCAGGTCTGATATGGACCATGCACTTGGCTGTCCTCCAGAACAAACCAGGACCTTGCCTCCTGCTGTGCCTGGCCACCCTTGCCTCCGGCCTGTCCACCTCTGTGGGCCCAAAGCCCCAGATGATCCAAAGGCCCTACAGTCACCAATTCCATACTCCTGGCCACAGAAGGTCACTCCTGGCCACAGAAGGGCAGTAGTTCTAGACTTTCCTACCATGACCCACAGAACAAAGTAGCTTTTACATGGAGGCCCAGTGTGTGGGTGCACACACACACGCATCTGTAACTGACCCCAAAGCCTCGGGAAGCAATGCTGGTCTTTGCTGGACCACCATGTACTTCCATGACCCCAATCCCTTCCTATCCTATTCAACTTCTAAAAGGTGCCCCTGGCCGGATGCTGGCTGTCCAAGGTGACCTGGGGTTCAAGTCCCTTTCAGATGAATGTAGGGTACAGCCCTATGGGGCTTAGCAGGTCTTCTCCCCGTGTGCGGAGACACGAGATTGTGAGAAATAAAGACACAAGACAAAGAGATAAAGAGAGAACAGCTGGGCCCGGGGGACCACTACCATCAAGACACGGAGACCAGTAGTGGCCCCGAATGGCTGGGCGCACTGATATTTATTGCATACAAGACAAGGAGGGCAGGGTAAGGAGGGTGAATCTTCCAAGTGATTGACAAGGTGAAGCAAGTCACGTGATCATAGGACAGGGGGCGCTTCCCTTTTAGGTAGCTGAAACAGAAAGAGAAGACCATACATCAGCGCTTTCTTCTATGTACTTATAAGAAAGATCAAAGACTTTAAGACTTTCACTATTTCTTCTACTGCTATCTACTACGAACTTCAAAGAGGAACCAGGAGTACGGGAGGAACATGGAAGTGGACAAGAAATGTGACCATTAAATCATAGCACCACAGGGAGGGGGTTAGGCCTCCGGATGACTGCGGGCAGGCCTGGATAACATCCAGCCTCCCACAAGAAGCTGGTGGAGCAGAGTGTTCCCTGACGCCTCCAAGGAAAGGAGACTCCCCTTCGCAGTCTTCTAAGTAACGGGTGGCTTCCCAGACAACGGCATTACTGCTTGACCAAGGAGCCCTCAAGCAGCCCTTATGCGGGAGTGACAGAGGGCTCACCTCTTGCCTTCTAGGTCACTTCTCACAATGTCCCTAGGTTATATTAGTAATGCAACAAAGAGTAATATTAAAAGCTAATGATTAATAATGTTTATACTAATGATTGATAATTATCCATGATCATGATCATTTTTATATCTAATTTGTATTATGACTATTTTTATTTTAACTGTTTTTTTTTTAAAGATGGAGTCTTGCTCTGTCGCCCAGGCTGGAGTGCAGTGGCGCAATCTCGGCTCACTGCAAGCTCCGCCTCCTGGGTTCGCGCCATTCTCCTGCCTCAGCCTCCTGAGTAGCTGGGACTACAGGTGCCCGCCACCGCGCCCGGCTAATTTTTTGTATTTTTAGTAGAGATGGGGTTTCACCGTGTTAGCCAGGATGGTCTCGATCTCCTGACCTCGTGATCCACCCGCCTCGGCCTCCCAAAGTGCTGGGATTACAGGCGTGAGCCACCGCTCCCGGCCTATTTTCTTTGTTATACTGAAACAGTTTGTGTCTTCAGTCTCTTGCCTTGGCATCTAGGTAATCCTTCGCCCACAGATGAAAGCGGAGCTCTGCTGACATTGGTGTCTTCTCCAGACGTAGTTGGTTGTCCAAATTCTTTCCCTTGGCTTTAAAGTGAGCCGGCGGTGTCCTGCTCCCAAGCCTGAGAGATGATGGGCACAGGCGACACTTTTTAGGACATGCCGATGTTTTCAGAAACAAAACAAGAAATGTTAGCCCTGAAATTCTCCATTTCACGTGTTCTTCCTGATATTAACCACACATTCTTTCCGATATTAACCACCACATCGTCTTTTTGCAATAATCTTGGCAGGGAAAAATATGCTAGCCAGGGTCCACTACGTCGATTTCAAGCACGGAAGATGGGTCACACCAGGCACTTCAAAAGACCCGTCCCTGAGGCAGCGGAGACCCCGCCCCGCCCCGGCGCGCCCACTCCTTTCGGCCAATCACTGCAGCGGGGAGCAGCTATTTGAATGTCCCCACCGCCTATCTGAAGGCCGCCCTGCCATTGGCCCCGCCGCGCCCCGCCCATCGTGGCCAGAGCTTCAAGTTCCGCAGCCCCAGTGCGGAGGGCGGAGACTGCGCCGACATGGAGCTGTTCCTCGCGGGCCGCCGGGTGCTGGTCACCGGGGCAGGCAAAGGTGGGCGGCGGGGAAAGGTGGGCAAAGGCCGGCGGCGGGCAGAGGCGGGCAGGGGACGCCTTCACTGAGCCCGCTCCCGGCAGGTATAGGGCGCGGCACGGTCCAGGCGCTGCACGCGACGGGCGCGCGGGTGGTGGCTGTGAGCCGGACTCAGGCGGATCTTGACAGCCTTGTCCGCGAGGTAGGTCCCGCCGGGTCCCAGCGCTGCGAGGCGGCGAGCCAGGAGGGGGCGGCAGCGAGCGGGGGCGGTACCTCTGTGCGCGACTCCGCCTCCCCTCGCGGGCGCTGCGCTTCTCACCGCGGCCTGGGCGCCCGCGCACCCTCTCTCGGGGCTGGTGGCCTGCGTGGGCGGCCGGGTGGTCGGCAGAGCCGCCGGGGCCCCCGGGCTCAGAAAGAGGCCGAAATGGCTGCGAAGCAGGCCCCGGGCAGGAGTCGCTCGGGCGCAGGGAGGAAGTGAACCGGCCGGAGGTAGCGCCCGGCTGCTGGCCCCACAGTCCCGACACCTTCGGAACTCCTAACTCCTTTACTTGTCCGGCTGAAAGGTCACCAGCCCCAGTCCCCAGCTGTGCCGCTTGCTGGGCACAGAGCCTCTGGTAACTGCCCCCTGATACACACAGTGCCCGGGGATAGAACCCGTGTGCGTGGACCTGGGTGACTGGGAGGCCACCGAGCGGGCGCTGGGCAGCGTGGGCCCCGTGGACCTGCTGGTGAACAACGCCGCTGTCGCCCTGCTGCAGCCCTTCCTGGAGGTCACCAAGGAGGCCTTTGACAGGTGAGCCTGTGAGGGCGGAGGAACCTCAGGGAGGGGCTGTCCTGGAGGACGCAGCAGCCCTAATCTCTGACCAGGGTCTGTCCCTCGGCCTCTAGATCCTTTGAGGTGAACCTGCGTGCGGTCATCCAGGTGTCGCAGGTGAGCTGCCCTGTGGGCTGGACGGGAATTCTCGTGAGTGATGCCAGCTCTGCCTCACGGTCTCGCTGCGATTCCAGATTGTGGCCAGGGGCTTAATAGCCCGGGGAGTCCCAGGGGCCATCGTGAATGTCTCCAGCCAGTGCTCCCAGCGGGCAGTAACTAACCATAGCGTCTACTGTGAGTGCCCCAGCTGTGCCCTCAGCCCCACCCCAGCCCCAGCCTCGCCCTCATCACCGACCCCAGCCCCAGCCAGCTTGGGTTCCTCTTCGTAGGCTCCACCAAGGGTGCCCTGGACATGCTGACCAAGGTGATGGCCCTAGAGCTCGGGCCCCACAAGGTGAGCAGGGCTGGGGTACCTCCCCCAACCTAGGACACCCCACTTGCCCTGCTGACCCCAGCTGTCCCGGTGTAGATCCGAGTGAATGCAGTAAACCCCACAGTGGTGATGACGTCCATGGGCCAGGCCACCTGGAGTGACCCCCACAAGGCCAAGACTATGCTGAACCGAATCCCACTTGGCAAGTTTGCTGGTGAGTCAGGTGGGAGCCCAGCCAGCGTGGTGCCAGCAGTCCCTGTGTGTGCCCTGGGTAGGGGTGGGAGGGAAAGATGGGCGGCAGCCTCCTTCCTCTATGCCCCTGACCCCCGCCCTGCCCACAGAGGTAGAGCACGTGGTGAACGCCATCCTCTTTCTGCTGAGTGACCGAAGTGGCATGACCACGGGTTCCACTTTGCCGGTGGAAGGGGGCTTCTGGGCCTGCTGAGCTCCCTCCACACACCTCAAGCCCCATGCCGTGCTCATCCTACCCCCAATCCCTCCAATAAACCTGATTCTGCTGCCCAGACTATGTGCTATTCCTAGGCTGCCAGCAGGTAGCTGGGGGCTTGGGGCCAGGTGTGGAACGCGGGCAGAGACCCATGACATTCACATTCCAATCCAAGGGGGAGCGTGGCTCCCACTCCTGAGGTTTTCAGGCCTGGCCAGTTCTCTGTCAGGGAGGTGGGAGGTGGTGAAAGGTCACCTCCCAAAGAGGGTGGTGAATTTCAGCAAGGTTGGCCTTCGGGCCTGTCCAGAACCTCTGGGGTGAGACGGTGTGTGCATGTGAGTGTTGATGGCCCCCTCTGTGAGTGTACAGTTGGCTCCTCTTCCTTCAAGCTAATGAGTAAGACAAAAGGGAAACAAGGAGAACGTCAAGCTTCTCCACTTCGTCGGTGATCTGAGCCACTTTGTTGAATCAGATGATGGTTTTCGGAAACTAGAAGAGCGTTTCCTCAACTTGTGCTATTCACAATGTAATGAGCATAGACACAGCACCCTGAAGTCTAATCTGCATTTTATCATCTGAAGTCTAGACAAGTAACCATAAGTCAAGCCTCCTCCCACCACGGCTGATTTCAAGCTACCAGTTAGATGTCATTTAACGTGGAGCTGGAGGAGATGCCCTCAGCACCCTGTTATGTGGTGTTTGTGTCCATAGGTCCCACAGATGTACATAACCGAGGGGCAGAGAAAACAGTCGTGTATGCAGAAATAAGTAGGAAGTGACGTTTGCCGATTTTGCTTTTAATAACACAAATTGTAAGCTTCTATAATTTGTTAATGATCATTAACAACTGGCTAGCAAAATTGTTGAGAATTCAGCAGTTGGCTTTCCTGAGCCAGTAGGAGCTGCCCCCACACAGCACAAGGCGGAAGCAGACAGTGGCCCTCATGGCACCCCCCAATCCCGAGTGACTCTAATCCCGGGACCATGGCTCCCTCCAACCCCGAGTGACTCCAATCCTGGAACCTCATGGCACCTTCCAATCCCGAGTGACTCCAATCCCGGGACCTCATGGCACCCTCCAATCCCGAGTGACTCCAATCCCGGGACCTCATGGCACCCTCCAATCCCGAGTGACTCCAATCCCGGGACCATGGCTCCGGGCCCACTGATTCTGGCTTCAGCGTCAGCGGACTGTGCTGGGTCACTGCTCTCTTCACTCTCCACACCACACCCCGACCCCCGCGCCCTCCTCCACCCTGCCCCTCTGCCTGGATTGCCCTTACTCCCGGTGCCAGCCAGAGGAGTTGAGGGATGCGGGGAGCCTGCCTCGGCTCCCACGAGGCTCAGAGAGGCCTGACCTGCTTCAGCCTCTTTTCAGACCTTCCCGGTCAGCACAACAGGCGCTGCCTGAGAACTGGCCCGCCTCTCCCCACCCCTCCCTGACATGTGCCCTCCCAGAGGCACAAATCAGCCTGAGGGAGGCCTTGTACACAGCCAAGTAATCATCCCTAGGGCTCAATGCACTAGCTATTGCTTTGATCTGGGTCGGCTCCTTTGGGGGGCTGAGCAGCTCAGCAGGCCCCCTCTTCCCCTGGGGTAGGGTGGAGGAAGCTTAGTGCTGCCTTTGGGAACTCAGCTCTGAAGTGCGGCTGGGGTCGGCTGGGGTGTGATGGACCCGCTCTGCACCATCACAGAGGGGAATTAGGAGCAAACCGCCCCAGGACAGAAGGGCAGGTAGTGAGAGGCAAGAGGTGTAGGTGGAGAATGTTTATTGTATAAAATGAGAAGGGGCTGCCCCACCTCGGGGCACAAGGAACAGAACTCCCCCCCACCCTCCCCCTCCAGGGAAGCCCATCCTGGGGCTTCCCTGCACCTGCCCCTGCAGCCCTGAGGGAGACCCTGCTCCCTCCCGGCCTCCGGCGGGGGCCAGGGAAGGCTGGAGCCACACCCCAGAATGAGGCGGCAGAGAGGACAGGATCCTGCCACCCAGCCTCATCCCCATGCTTCCCCCCGGCCCACCCCCACCGCTCCCCACAGCCGACTCAGGGACACCACACGTCTCAACACAACAGCGGACACGTCCAGGGCTGCTCCCCGCCAGCCCTCAGGCTCGGGTGGGCCAGGGCTCTAGAAGACGGTGCACTTCTTCCCCGGCTTCTTCACTGGGGGCGGGCAGAGCACCGCGCGGATCGCCTCGTCAAACACTGTCTTCAGGCCCCGCTGGGTCAGGGCTGAGCACTCCAGGTATTTCACAGAGCCTAGCGGCAGTGAGGAGGGGAGACAGTGAGGGTGGGGTACAGGGAGGCCCTTACTGCGCCTCCCCACCCCTCCCCTGCAGGCCGCCAGCGCCTACCCACCAATCTCCCGGGCCATGGCCAGGCCCTGTGGGTAGGTGATGGGTGCCAGCTTCTTGTCCCGCAGCCGCTCAATGGTGTCCTTGTCGTCGCGGAGGTCCAGCTTGGTGCCCACCAGGAGGATGGGCGTGTGGGGGCAGTGGTGCCGCACCTCCGGGTACCACTGCAGGGACAGACGCTCTGATCCCTAGGCCCGGAGTCGGCTACCCCAGCCCCACCTGAGCAAGTCACGGCCCTCAGGGACTTTCCCCACTGTTCCAGAGCTACACTTGGCTCTTCTTCCTTCAAGGGGTGACCAGGGGCGGATTTGGTGGGGAGATACCAGGAACAAACACGCAGCCAGGGAACCTGGAGACCTCCCAGGGCCTCCTAGTCAAGGCCCATCCCCAGCAGCCAGAGCCCTCAGAACCCTCCATTCTGAGAGCTGTGACCACCACCACGGCACCCCATCAGCCCCCATGGTCATCTTCAGACCCCACTCCGTGTGCCTACCCCAGGCAGAACCCGTATCGCAATTGCCTCTAAAGGACAACTTGTCGGGGCAGGTACTGGGGCAAGCCCTCTCCCCACAGGGGCCCCCAGCCTTGCCCTACCTTGGCACGAACATTCTCGAAGGAGGCCGGGCTCACCAGAGAGAAGCAGATCAGAAAGACGTCCTTGGGAAAAAGGTGGGACCTGGTGGAGTGGTCAGGGGCTCCCCAGGGCCCTGCTCCCTCCCTTGTGCGGATCTCAGGGACCCCCCCAGCTCCCGGGGCTGGCCCCATTGTTACGTACAGTTTGGGGGTAGGAGAGTGGCCGCAGCCGATCGTAGTCCTCCTGACCCGCTGTGTCCCACAGCCCCAAGTTGACTGGTTTCCCGTCCACCATCACGTTGGCAGAGTAGTTGTCAAAACTGCAGAGCAGTGAGGGCAGGGTCAGGGCTTGGGAGGGGTCCCAGAAACCCCCAGCCCTGCTGGCCTGTGTCTTGGGGTTCACAAGTCTGCACAGAACTAGAACTCTGGCCAGCACCTCAGCTCCAGCCGGGAAGCCCAGAGACAGGGCCACCTGAGCCGACGTGGAAGCCCAGAGGAGACCCTGCCCGTGTCCCCCCCATGCCACACTCACACGGAGGGCCTGTGCTCTCCCGGGAAGCCCCCACACTCACACGGTGGGGATGTACTCTCCGGGGAAGGCGTTGGTCGTGTAGCTGATCAGCAAGCATGTCTTCCCCACGGCGCTGCGGACAGGGCAAGCCACGTGGCTCCCGGGCCCGGCCTCGGACCCTCTGCCCAGCAAGGGCAGCCCCCTCTCCCGGAGCCAGAGGCGAGTTAGGGGCGTCTGGGGTCGAGAGGGGGACCCAGCCCACCAGATCCGTGGCGACCTAAGGCTGGAGGACGACCTGGGCAGGCCGGGCTCCGGGGGCTGGGGTGGTGAATAAGGGCGCAGGGCGCCCCACACTGGGGCCCCAGGCAGAGGCCCCGACTCCGAGGGTGGCGGCAGGAGAGGGTGGGGCCGGCTGAGGGTTCAGCCCAGGTGAGAGGCCTGGCCCCACCCACTGGGAGGACAGGGCGGCGGCCCCGCCTCGCCCGCAGCCAGCCCAAGCGGGAGCCGGGCAGCATCAGGTGGGCCCGAGCTGGAGGCCCGCGGACCCCGCCCCGCCCCACCCCGCCCTCCTCGACCCCGGGGCGCACGCGGCTCGGGCGGGGTACGGCGGGGCCGCCTCGCGAGGACCCGGGCGCCACCCCCGCCCCGCCCCGGCTGCGCCCCGAGCCCCCGAGCCCCCCTCCCGCCCAGCCCAGCCAAGCGGCCTCCGGGCCGCGCACTCACCCGTCGCCGACCACCACGCACTTGATGGCCTGCATGGGCGCGGGCCGGGCGGCGGCGGGCGCGGCCGCGAGCCGAGCTGCGGAGAAATGCCCGGCGCCGCAGCGGCCGCGGACCCGAGCGCCGAGCGATCGGCCGGAGACAGCCGAGCGCCGCCGAGCGCCGGGCGCGGAGACAGCCGAGCGCGGCCGGCGGGGGGCGGGGGGCGGGGGCGGGGGCGGGCGGGGGGCGCCCGGCCGCGCGGCTGGCGGGGCGGGGCCGCCCGAACCCGGGCAGAGCTGCGCGAGCTGCGGCGCCCCCGCCTCCAGCGCGACCCCGGCCCGGGGGTCTCCTACGGGTCCCTCGGGGCGCAGCGCAGGCCGGAGAGAGCCCAGCGACCTGGACCCGGCGGGGAGGGCTCCGCGCGCTGCGCTTTCTCGGGGACCCGCCCCCTGCCGCCGGGAGCCAGCTGGGAACTCCGGGGTCTGCAGCCGCCCGAACCCCCAGACGGACAGCCCCCGCGGCCCTCCCGTCCCTTCAAGGCAGCGGCGAGGAGGGGCGAACAGCCGCACCCCGGCAGGCCCTCCCTGCAGGGCTGGGGGCAGAGGGCCGCGCGTTTGGAGAGGCACGGACGGTCGCGCGTTTGGAGGGAGAGGCGGGGCCAGAATGTATCACAAAGTGCAAACGCGCTGTATTTCCAAACCCCGCCGCGCGCAGGCGGCCGCAGCGTTCACGGTGACATCGCAAAAGGCGAGGGGGAGACGCGCCCGCGGGACCCCTTCCCGGTGTGCTCCCACGTGGCGTCGACCG
This sequence comes from Homo sapiens, assembly GCF_000001405.40. Lineage (NCBI taxonomy): Eukaryota > Metazoa > Chordata > Mammalia > Primates > Hominidae > Homo > Homo sapiens. Next base: position 82,031,010 of record NC_000017.11, on the reverse strand, counting down.
GGAAGAAGGGGCCGGTAGGGAGCCCTTCCCAGGCGCCTCCCACGGGGTTCCCCCGCAGCCGCGACACCACCAACAGTCGCCGCAACCGCCGCGTGGAACAGACGACCCGGGTCTCAAAGAGGCGGCGCGGGCGGGACGCAGCCCCTGGTCCATCTCGGGCGCCGCCTGATGCACTCCTACTGCGCCCGGGTCCTCCCGGCCTGTCTCACTTTGGGGGGCTCAGGGTCCTCACGGGGGACGCCTGCACGTAAGCCAGGACGGCGTTCTGCAGGAAGCTCGCCCTCTGGGCCTCCTCGTCCCGGATGCGGGCGATCTCCGCCTCCCGGAGCCGCAGCTTCTCCCGGAGAGACGCGTTCTCGCTCTCCCTGTCCAGCAGCGCCTCTCGGTGGTCGCTCGCCATCACTGCAGGGCAAGGAGCGCAGTGAGCGGACGCAGCCCCAGCGCACCGTGGCACGGCCTCAGCACGGGAGACCTGGCCAGCCCCGCTCTCTGGCTGGCCTCACGTCCCACCAGTGGGCGGCGGGAGGACAAGGGTCTGGCTCACCTTTCAGCTGGCGCTCCAGGGCCGCCGCCTTCTCCCTCAGCGCCTCCTGAGCCGCCAGCTCCGCCTGCAGCCGGCCGTTCTGCTCCTGCAGCTCCACGCGCACCCTGCTCACCTCGGCCACCCTTTCCTGGTCCTTGAGGCTCAGCTCCTGCCAGGCACGAAGGCTGGGGAGTGAGGCGAGGGTTGGGGGCTAGCACGCCCGGGGCCCCCCACCGGAGCCCCGCCTACCTGCTGCAGCTCTTCCAGGCGCCGCCGCAGGCCCTCAACTTGCAGGCCCAGCTGGCTGACCCGGGTCTGGGCCTCGGCCACCACCTGCTTCTGCTGTAGGCAAGCGCCCTGCGCCTCGTCCCGTGCCTGCGCCAGCAGTCTCAGCTTGTCCTCCAGGTGAGCCAGGCGCTGTTGCTGTGAGCACAGGGGCCGCCACGAAGCATGAGGGGCTCAGCCTGAGCTCAGCTGAGGGAATGTCTGCACGGGCACGACCCCACCTCTCTGCAGGACTGGCTGCTCTAGTTACTATGACTCTGAACCCGCTCCCCTGGCAGCCACCTCCTCCAGATGCCCTCTGGGCTCTCCTCCTCCCTCTTCGGTCACACCACCCCTCCCATCCATCCATGCGTGTAGTCACAGGCTGCAGAGATGGGCCAAACCTCTCCACCGTCTCAGGCCCTGATCCAAGGCTGAAGCGGACCCACCAGTGTCCAGGGTGTGCTCATCTGACCTCAACACCACACTCCCGCCTCCCCACTCAGACCGAAGCTCTGGAGTCTGCATGCGGGCCGCAATGCCGGGCAGCCTGGCTCCCCCGGAGGGTGGCGGACATGTGTGGCTCACCTCCTCCAGGCGGGCCTGGCTCTTGGCCTTGATCAGCTCCTCCTCAGCCTGGCCACGCTCGCTGAGTGCCGCTGCTTTCACTCGGCTCAGCTCCTGCACAGATGGCCACCTGCCAGCCCGTTCTCCTGTCCCTGGCCCAGGGCCCTTCTCTCTCTGGCCCATCCAGCCAACCCCAGCCAGGGGGGCTCCTCTCTGCCAGCCTCCTGAGGGCCACGCAGCTGCTCTGCCACCTAGCTCGCTGGGCAAGGTTCCTAAGGCCAAGGAAGTCCGAATGCCACCTAAGTCCCTTTAGCTTCTTGGGCACACTGGTGGGTGGGTCCCCAAGGTGGGGCCTATGAGCCTCTGGGAACAGGAAGAGGTCTCTGGTCCTGAGGCGGCGAACACCAGGGGCCCCTGCCTTGTTCAGCCCAGGACTAAGGCAGAGCTTGGCCCTGCCTGGTGGGCACTCACCTCCTCCAGGGACAGCCGCGCCGCCTCCAGCCTCTGCACCCGCTCCTGCATGGCCTTCTCACTCTCCTCCAGGTGACGGGTCATATGCTCCACCTGCTCAGGGGCAGGGATTGTGGGGCCAGAGTGGAGAGCGGGCCTCCCTACCTTCTCCTCACGGACTCCCCACCCTGAAAGGCAGGTGTCTCTTGAGAACCTTGTTCATTCTGAGAAAGCACTGCCTCAGATGGCCTAGCAGGAAACTACCGCAGCATGCACACCCTGAACGAGTGGGCCTTGGTGTCTCTTCAACGGCAGCCTGTACTACGGCTCAGACATTGCCGGGGTCCCCCCGCCGCCCCCAATAGGAGGTTCTGGGTCTGACATCCGCTCAGGCTGGCAAAATACGGCCACCCAGTGACCCAAGGTTGGCAAGGGAAGCTCCCACCAGGTGTGTGCTTTGGGGACACCTGCGTGACACCAAGACCAGAGACTGAGGCGCATTAGAGGCCAACGAAGAGGGCACCTCCTTGATGCGCAGGCTTTCGGAGTCCTCCAGGCTCTGTCTGCATCTTCTCTTCTCCATGTCCAGGCGCTCTGGAAGCCCAGGGTGGGCAGAGTATGCGTGAGCATCCCCTGGGGGCCCCCGTCCCCCGGTGCCCATCCCCAGGCCCCTCCACAGCAGGCCTGCCCGTGCCCACCCTCGGCCTGGATGGCCCGCATCTTCAGCTCAGCTGACATGCTGGTCATCTCCTGCCTGGTCTGGAACAGCTGCTCCTGCTGACACCTGAACTTCCGCTCCAACTCGTCTACCTGAAAGCCGGCACCAGGGAGGGAAGCTGCAGCCCAGCCCTGCCGCGCCCACCCTGGGCTCCCTGGCTCCATCCACCACAGCTACCTGGTTTTGCAGAAGCAGGTTCTTTTCATTGGCAGCAGACAAGTCTCTGAGGAGTTTAGACTCCCGCTCTGCAGCTTCCTGGGAGGGGAACGGGGTATGGGTAGTGAGGGTCACGAAGCCGCCACGCACCCCTTGGCCCACCCCTCTCAAGCCCTGCCCACCCACCTGCTGCTCCAGCTTGAGCTCCTTGGCCTGCCTCTGTGACAGGCTCAGCTGCTCCTGCTCCGCTGTGGCCAGGAGCTCCCCCAGGTCCTGGGCCTTCTGCTCCGACAGAGCCAGGGCGGCCTCTGTCATCTGCAGCCTGCAGAAAGGAGGGGCAGCACCCCCGCCCCGGTTGGAGTTTCACTTGCCTTATAAAGGCCTCGCTGCTTTCACTGTTGCTGGGCACCTAGTCAACCCCAGCCAGCACCCGCCTCCTCCAGGAAGGCTTCTGGGTTACTGCCCCAGCCTCACCATTTCCCACCTCTGCTTTGCAAACAGGACTTGCACACAGGTTCACACCACCTTTCTCTGCCCTGTGGGCACGTCTCTGAAGTATCCTGAGGCCACCCCCCACTTACTTGGCCTTGAGAGCGTTGATGATGGAGTGCCTCTCATTCAGGGCTTCCTGAAGCTGCCCTACACGGGCTGCCGACGCCCTGTGGGCAGAGAGGAGGGTGCAGAGAGTAACCCAAACCCCAGAGCGCTCCCATACCCCTCTGGCCTCGGTAGCTGCTGCTGTTCCTTAAGCATCTATGGTCGCCTGGGCACTGAGCCTCCAGCGACCTCCTCGTGGCCTCACTCGTGGGCTCAGGTTGGTCCCATCTGAGTCTGAGCCAGGACCTGATCCCTGAAGCCTCACCCTGCCCCTGCCCTGGGCCCGCTCACCTGCTGCTCTTGGCCATCTCTTCTCGCTGCTTATCAATAGTCTCCATCAAGTCGAGGAACTGGGGACAGAGACAGCCGCAGCCCTGTCAGGGCACCTGCAGCCTGTCCACCTGACCTTCTCAGGGGGAAGGAGAGCCAGCGCCCACCAATGTGGCAAGGCAGCGGAGGGTTCCACCCACGGTGCCCTGTCTCCTTCACAGGAAGGGTGGCCCCTGCAGAGCGAGGCCTCAGGGCTCAGACGCCAGCTCCCCAAGGAAGTCCACCTGCAGATCAGACCAGGAGGCCGCCCCTCCTTCCTGGTACCAGCCACTCAGAGAGGCTCCAGGGCCCCGAGGAAGGGAAGATGGGCAGACCACGGGGCTGAGGGAGGAAGGACGTGGCCAGGCCCTCCAGCCATAAGCAGCTCCAAGGTCAGTGAAGGCGCCATCCTCACCTGCTTGGACTTCTCCTCCCGGAGGTGCTGGACCTCCTTGCTGAGGACGTGAGTGCGGGCTTGGTTCTCCTGGAAGGTGGTGAGCCGGTCCTGGCTGTGGCCCATGGCTTGCTCTGCAGAAGGAGCTGTGTCAGCTGGGCACAGGGGCTCATGCCTGGAATCCCAGCACTTTGGGAGGTCGAGGTGGGTGGATCACCTGAGGTCAGGGGTTCGAGACCAGCCTGGCCAACATGGTGAAACCCCATCTGTACTAAAAATACAAAAAAGTAGCTGGGCATGGTAGCGCACACCTGTAATCCCAGGTACTCGGGAGGCTGAGGCAGGAAAATCGCTTGAACCGGGAGGTGGAGGTTGCAGTGAGCCGAGATTGCGCCACTGCACTCCAGCCTGGGTGACTGAGTGAAACTCAGTCACACACACACACACACACACACACACACACACACAAAGGAGCTGTGTCACCCCGGGGCTGCTTAGCCTCAGGAGTAGCTGGTGGCCACCAGCCCTGCACCCAGCGGCTGGCTGCTTGGGAATCTATGCCGTGTGGGGCAGCGTCTCACCCGGCAAGTCAGGGGTGCCCCCTCAGTGCATGGGGGTGGAAGTGCTTTGTGGGGTTCGGGCTGTGAGCAAGAGCCGCCTGGTGTTGGGGAGCGCGTGCACATGTGGGGCAGAGGTGGTGGGAGCTGCTCCACCGCAAAAGGCAAGGGCCATCCTGGGGCATCTGGCCACCATCCCAAAGGTCAAGGGGCACTGCACAATGCTGAGGCAAATGCTGTGCCCAGCTCAGTTCTGGAAAGATCTGGGTAGCATGTGGCGAGGGGGCAGAGGTCAGGAGGGATGACAACAACCAGGGCAGTGCCGAGGCGAAGCCAGGGACGGCGCAGCTGGAGTCAGAGGCCAGGCAGAACCAGCAGGAGGGATGAGCCCTCAGCACAGGGGCTGGAAGAGGCTGCCGCTGTGCGCGGATTAGGGAGTACGGGGGGCCTGGCAAAGTCCCCAGCTGAGTCTGGGGCACTGGGGCCTGAGGCTGAGACATCAGCTGCAAGGATTCGGGGTCGCTGGTGGGAGGGAATGTGTGGAGGCCAGCACAAGCCAGGGGGCCCCACCTCACCTGACTCACATGCAGGGCCACAGACTCAGGGTGACCAGGGAGCCTTCCTGGCCAAGGCCAAGACCTGGGCCACCCGAAGCATCAGCAAAGCCACCAAGGCCAGGACTGTGAGCCACACGGCCTCAGCTTCCCCAGCTGTGAAACGGGCACCCTCCACTGCACAGGTCCTAAGAACTCAGCAAGTACACAGGGCGCCTCGGACAGTGCCCATGTGTGGCGAACGCCATTCAAGTGCCAAACAGGTGCCCCACGACCCCTCCGCTCCTTCCTGCTTCCCCTGGGCTCTCAGGCTGCTCTCCTCATCAGTTCCCGTCCTGAGCCCGGCACCCCGCCCTCGGTGGACAGGCCTCTGTCAAAGGCTCACGCGTCACTCCACACAGCCCTGCACCGTACCCACGGCTCTGAGGACGTCTCCAGGGATGTTGTTCCCAGCCAGGTCCAGTCTCCACAGGGTTCTGTTGCTGGGGAGACAGTTCATGAGGGCCCGGCCCCCCAGGAGGCCAACGTTATTCCAGCGCAGGTCTGGAAGGAAACCTGTAGTCACCAGACAGAATGCACCTGGCAGAGGGGGAGCTGGCCTGGCCGGGGTGCTTCCCTAGGGGGCACTGCCTTGCAGTCATCAACAGAGCAGGAGCACAGGCCAGTCCCCTAGCCCCTCACTTCCCAGAGCAGAGGCAGCCTCAGAGGGATGAGGGAGCCTGAGGGCGCCTGGGAGGCCTCACCCAGCTGCTGGAGGGTGGTGTTGCCCTTCAGGGCTAGGGCCAGCTCCTCCGCGCCCTTGTGACTGATCTGGTTGTTGCGGAGGTCCAGCCGCTGCAGGGCGCCGTTGGCCGCCAGGCCCCCGCAGAAGGTGGCGAAGGCATCGTCCCACGTGCCCAGGCTGTTCCACTCCAGCGTGAGGCTGCAGGAGGGGCAGAAGCCAGTGTTCACCTAGGGGACTGCCTAGCCCGTGGGGTCCAGGGCTTGGGGACGGGTGTGGGCTTGGGGTCTGATGGGCCGGAGCCTCTGCCTACCCCTGCCAACGTATGTGAAACATGGGCACCTGGCAATGGGGAACTCTTGGGCTGCAGAAGCATGTGCTCGGGGCCAATCCTCAACCACACAGAGACAGGGCCTGGGGTCGGGACCACCACCCACCTCTGAATGGACTTGTTCTGTTGGAGGAGTTTTCCCAGAGCCTCGGCCCCTGCAGCCCGAAGGTTGTTGCCCTAGGAGAGAAACAGGCCGGTAGTCACTCGCGTGCCCTGACTGGCTCTGAATTCCCGCCCATGCCCCAAGGGCCTTGGTCAGCCAGGGGACAAGCCTGGGGTGCACCCTGCAGCCTTCCTCAGCTCCTGGGCTCCCTGTCTTCAGGGGGCTTCCAAGGGCCGGCTTGTTTGCCAATGTGAACTCTTGCTCTGGAGATGGTCACACACAGGAGGCCATCAGAGAGCGGCCTGGGGACTCACAGACAGCTTCCAGCCACCTGCCCAGACCCCAGGCCCCCGAGACCTGGCATCTTCCACCTCTCCTCTTGCCCTTGGGTGGCACACTCGGACACTCAAGAGTGCAGGTATCTCACCTTTAAGTCCAGAAAGCGCAGCACGGTGTTGGCACACAGGCCTCGGAGCAGCAGTGTGGCCCCTGTGTAAGGGGGGCCGGCGGTCACTCTCTGCCCCTGCTGACCCCAAGGCCCTCCCCGTGGGCCCCTTTTCAGGGCAGCTCCCTAGACCCAGGAAGGGACAACTGTCCCGATGGTCTGGGTTGGCGCTGGCCAAGAGTCTCGCTGCGAAGTCATGTTTGAAACACCTGCAGCCCCTGCCAGGCACCAAGCCGGCTCTGCACGCGGGGAACCAGGTAAGACCGCGAATGTTAAGGCCTCTCCCCCGTCATACAGAGGAACTGCCCTCTACTCCCAGGTGCAGGAAGGGGCGCCCCTGCTCGCTTTAACTACGGCACAGAAATTGGAGAGCCTGGAGAGGAAGCGACCTCGGGCTGCCGAGGCAATGGTGTGGGCAGCTAAGGAGCAGAGGGATCCACCCCGCCGCGCCTGCCCACCTTCCTCGCTGAGCATGCAGTCACTCAGGACCAGCTCCGTGCACAGCGTCTCCCTCGGCAGCAGCTTGCCCAGGGCCCTGCAGGTCTCCACCGTCAGGCTTTGCGTGGCCAGGTCCAGCCGGCCCCTGGGAAGCTGGTGCAGCTGCTGCAGGACAGCCTCCTGGGGCTCGGCCCCACTCTCCCTGCACAGGCGGCTGTAGGAGCGCCGGAACTCCTCCATGACCCGCGGGGCCGGCAGGGCCTCCTCCGCATGCTCCCGCAGCTGCTGAAAGGGAGCCGCGCGGTGCGGAGCAGTCCCAGCGCCGGGTACAGGAGACGGGGCCTCCGCCGACCCGGGCGGAGAGCAATCCGAGTGGGCTCCGCGGGCGGGAGGTCCTGGGAGCGCGGGGCTGGGCGGTAGTCAAGGTCCGCTTTGGGCTGGGGCCCCGCAGTGCTTGGGGACCACCCGTGCAGGAAGCAGGCAGGTGCGTCGCGCGCCCCCACCCAGCCCTGCCCCGCCTGCAGCCCCGACCCCCGCCCTCGCGACAGCCGCGTCGGGGCCTCAGTATCCAGGAAGAACAAGGCGCGCCGGGAGAGGCCGCGGGAACTACAACTCCTAGCAGGCTCTGCGCAGGCAGCGCTTGGTGCGGGCCAATGAGAACAAAGGAACTGGCGCGCCTTTCGGGCCGCAAGCTGAGAGGGGGCAGCGCGCTCCAGGTTCATTGGCTAGGGGCATGAGGGTGGGGCCCCGGGAGGGCATGCTCCGGGCTCATTGGCTGAGGGTCGTGAGGGTGGTGCCCCGGGAGGGCGCGTTCCAAGTTCATTGGCTGCGGGACGTGAGGGAGGGGCTGCTGGAGGGCGCGCTCCGGGCTCATTGGCTGAGACGTGGGGGCGGGGCTCCGAGAGCAGGCGCTTCGGACTCATTGGCTAGGGGCGCGGGGCGGGGCTCCGGGGGCGCGCTCCGGTCTCATTGGCTGGAGGCGCGGGGCGGGGTTCCGGTGGGCGCGCGTTGAGGCTGCGGTCATGGAGGGAGCAGGAGCTGGATCCGGCTTCCGGAAGGTGAGGGCCGGAGGGCAGGGGCTAGGCAGGCGCGGACGCTCCGTCCCGACCTCACGCGTGACACTGTGAGGGCCAGACGCCAGCCCCCGCGCCGCCCCCTGTGCCTTTGAGGTTGGGCCCGTTCTCAGACTCCATCTCCGGCCGGGCCGCGCGCCCCGCGCCCTCGTGGGCTGGTGTCTCGCAGCTGGTAGGAGGGGGCGTGGAGCAGCCGGGGCTGCGGGAAGGTGGAGAGGGTCTGCAGAAACAGGCAGGGGTGGGCGCCGTCACGGCGGAGTCCAAGCCGGCGAAGAGAGAGGAGGAGCTGGGCCGCCGCCCTGCGCCCTGAGCCTGGGGTCTTTTGTTAAGGGGAGATGAGGCCCCAGGACGGGGACAGTGAGATCGTCCAGCCCGAGGAGCCGGCAGGACCTACCCCAGCCGCCAGGCACAGTGGTTTCCCTTTTGTTTGCTCCCCGGTGGGCGCCAGCACTGGGCTAGGAACGCGTGGTTTCTTCGGTGCTCCACGTTACACACACTTGACAGGGATTAACCCCACCTGCCAGTGGAGAAACTGAGGCACGGGGGCGTTAAGTGACTCAGCAGGGCTAGGGTCAGACCTAGGCCGTCTGAGCCAGGATCCGCCCAGGCTGGAGGGCGTGCCCTGCTCTTCCCTGTTCCTGGAAGTGGAGCTCTCTGGGGGTGCCATGTGCAGAGGACCCCATCGGTGCAGGCAGAGTGGTTTCTGAACCTTTCTACTGCTCTACCTGAAGGTTGGGGCACCGAGCTTCCTCGATGTCAGCAGGGCCTCGTGGGCCTCTGTGGCCTGGGAAGGGAGGGTCTCAGGCCCTTGTGAACCCATCCTGGAGGGAGGACTTCAGCCCTGTAGAAGCAGGGAGAATTCTGTTTCTCCTGAATCAGGCCCTTCTTTATCACCCAAGGCAGCAGGCGTGGGGGGCGGGGGGTGTCGGTGTGGGGAACTCTGGTGGTGGAGTTGAAGATTCTTGCCGGAATTCAGAAAGAGAAAGTCACTGAGGCTTGGGCCACCTCACTGGGTGGTTGTGAGAACACCAGGTTAAAGTAGCCAAAAGGCCACTGCCGGAGACGGGGCACTGGGTACACACCCCAGGAGGTCATGTGTTCTATCAAGCCCACCTGACAACTAGAGGCCCAGGGGCTCTGGCCAGAGCTGGAGTTGTGGTCATTGCAGAGAATGAGCGTGAGAATGACGGGGAGTGGGGGGCCCGTAGCCCTGGCGTGGCGCCCACGTCATGGGGCAAAGCTGGCTGTGTCCTAGGCACCCTCCACAACCGCCCCAGTGCTGGGCCTGCCTTCCGAGGCCACTGCCGATGTACGGGGAAGCCCCATGGATTGTCGAGGCAGACCTGGCATCCGCCACTCTCTGGCGTGGTCTTCCTTCCAAGGCCTGGGGCAGCAGTGTTGGGGGTCCCGGAGCAGGTGGGGAGATAGTGCCTTCTCTACCTTTTCTGGTGCCTTTCTGGTACTGCTGGCAGTAAGCAGCTGGAAGGACCAGCAGGTGGCACTGGGCTCATGCGGGTGGTGACTGGGACCCTGGCTAGGGAACAGCAAGGGCTCAGGACGAGCCGGGATGCTGGACAAGCCGGGATGCTGGACCCTGCTGCCCGCTGCTGGGGAACATTCTTCACCATCTGCATCTTAGGGCTTCACCCGTCCATGCTCTGCTTGTCACCTGCTGGACTGCTCTGGGTGAGGTGCTGTGACCTCCCTGTGGCCGATGCTGGTGGCCTGGCTGGTAGTTCACCCACCTGCCCTTTTAGTGGCCTGTTTCTGGGCTCCTGGGTGCCCACTGCCCCCACCCCCAGTCCTGGACTCTCCGTGCTGGCTCCTTTCCCGGCGGCTGTGGGCCGGTGCCTGGCCTGGGCCACCTCACTGAGTCTCATGGCTCCACCAGCCACCCAGGGCTGCCCTCCTGAGTCTCGGCCGCCACCACTGCAGCTGCCACCCACCACTCCTGTGTTCACACACAACGCATCCCAAACTGATCTCCTGTGTCCTAGCTCCAAAATGCACTTGCCCACGGCCCCCCATCTCCTCAGAGCAGTGCCGTCCTTTTGGGGTCTTGGCGTAGACTCCTCCCTTGTCCCCGTCCTCCATCCATCAGAAAGGCAGAAAGGCCCTGGCTCTGCAGCCCCCTCCCTTCCCCCCACCCCGGGCATGGCAGCCAGAGTGGTCCTTTCCAACGCCAGTGCTGCTTTCCACAAAAACCTAGAGAGGACTCCCAGTTTCCTGCCATGGAGACACGGAGAGCTCATCATGCCCTGGGCCCTCAGCGTCTGGCCCACCCCTCACTCCAGCCTGTGGACCACGCTGGCGCAGCCCCGCTCTGCGCTCCCAGGACACCAGCACCTCCTGCAGGATCATGAGCACCAGGGCAAGACGGGCGGAGCTGACCCAGCACCCAGAACAGAGTTGGCACAAGGAAGGCCCTACTGGTGGCACTCCCTCAGGCCAGCCCACCTGCAGAGCAGCCACCTCCAGCCTCCAGACCCAACCCGGGCTCTGCCTTCCCTGCCTCCCCACAAGGAGAGCAGAGCCATGGCCCTCTGCCGGGGATGGGAGTGCAAGATTAGGCCGGACTCGACGAGGCCTTTCTCCACTCTCTCCCTGGAGCCCCAGCAGCGGGGCCTGCTCCCGTGTCTGCGACCACTCACGCCGTAGGGAGGCTCCCAGCCCAGACCCTGTGCAGGGCCCTGGCGCCCCCTAGTGGAGCTGCCCACGCATCTGCTTCAGCTTCTGCCACCCGAAGCACTAGGCTGGCCCTTGTCCCCTGCCCTGGGAGAGGCTCAGGCACAGAGGGCGTCTCCAGCCAGAAGTCACAGCCACTGTCACCAGAATGGTCACCACCCTGGGGGGTGCGGGGGGGAGGGCGGGGCGTGGCGCTGACACCCCCCTCCCTTCTAGGAGCTGGTGAGCAGGCTGCTGCACCTGCACTTCAAGGATGACAAGACCAAAGGTGCGGGTGGGGGTGCGGGCGGGAGGTGGGTCCCCGTGTCTGTCCTCAGGGACCCTTTCCTGCAACTCTGCAGGGCCAAGGCCTCGGGAGGGCGGGGGTATGTCTGGAGCACCCAGCCAGAGCGGTGGGTGAGGGTCCCGCATAACCTCCCCCTGCCTTGCAGTGAGCGGGGACGCGCTGCAGCTCATGGTGGAGTTGCTGAAGGTCTTCGTTGTGGGTGAGCCCAGGGCCCACGCTCCCTCCGGGCACAGCATCCGGAATTTTGCGTTTTTCCAGCGGGAAAACCAAGACGTGTTTTCCCGTTTCCCACAAGGGCCTAAACTTGGGTCTCCTGAGCCTGTTTGTCAGGTGCTGTGGCCTGGTTCTGGGGGCTGCCCGTGGGTGTTGGGGGGGGCACCGGCCCAGGCTGAGGCCCTCACTGGGCTCGGGTTTAAGATCCCCCCAGCATCCCCCACCTCTCGCGTTTCTCACCGCAGAAGCAGCAGTCCGCGGCGTGCGGCAGGCCCAGGCAGAAGACGCGCTCCGTGTGGACGTGGACCAGCTGGAGAAGGTGCTTCCGCAGCTGGTGCGTGAGCGTGGGTCGGGGCGCAAGTGGGGGTGCCCGGCTGGCTGGCCCTAAGTGCTTCTCTTCCCCACAGCTCCTGGACTTCTAGGGATCTCAGCCGTGGCTGAGGCCACCCCCAGAGGAGCCCCTGGTCCACAGAAGCAGGCCTTGTGTTTCCAGCGGCCTCTGATAAGAGGCAGGGAAGGACCTGAAGGATTTGGAGTTGATTCAAACAAGATCTCTGGGAGTCTCCAGCCTGTGCAGAAGGGGCAGGACTGCAGTGCACTGCGGGCCTTGGAGTGTCCAGTGGGGACACTGGTGTGGGAAGGGGCAGCACCTGGGGAGTCCCTGCCTCTCCTCCCTGGGACAATAGTGTGCATGCCACCCGGGGTCCTACAGGCAGGTGCTGGGAAAGGCCTGGCCAGCAGGTAGCCTGTGTGTTTGACAAACAGCAGCTGGCAGCGCTGCCTCCTGCCCACATTCCTGCCACCCGACATCAAAGCTGGCGTGTGACCTTTCCAGCCATGCGATATTCCCCTTGGAAGATGCTTCCCCAGGCTATAAATTTGTTCTCACAAAGCAACATCAATAAATCAAAACTGTCTCTCCCAGCTTGGCTTTCTTGCCATTAATCACCAAAGTCAAACTGCTTCAAAGCTGCACTTCCCGTGTGTGCCCTTCCACTCCTGGTAAGAAAGCAAAGCGCCAGGAGGATGCACTAACAAACAGCATGTGTGCGAGTGCCTCGGCCCCACCCCCAGGCGCTGTGGAGCCCGGACCACGTACATGTGGCCACCTGCCTGGGAAATGTTATTCCTACCCCAGGGGTTGGGGCAGCCACGGGGGCTGCCACCAGTGGGCAGTGGCTTCCACGAATGTTCCTGTGGTCACAGGCAGGACCAGGATGCACAGGGTGAGAGGGACCCTGGCCCAAGGCCCTGCTGAAATGAAGGCCTCCTCTTTTCCCAAGCAGTGCCAGAGAGGTGCAGGTCAGCCCCCTCGGGCCACGCCCCCTGCCCACCCTTGGAGACGCAGGGCTGTGGGACCTGTCTGGATGCCCCACCCAGGTCTGGCTGCCCTCTGACTCTCAGGGGCCTCTGGCATAAGCCCCACTTGTGCCAACGCTTGGGAAGCGGGCAGGGCCTTGGACCACTTCCCCTCCAGCCCACCTCACGTTCTCTCTCTTGTCAGAGCCCAGGACTGGAAGCACCCCAGGGGCTCTCAGCTGAGCGCCATCCTGGAGCCCCGTGCAGGGAGGGGAAAGGGTAGGGAGTCAGGCCCCAGGGTGGGAAGCACAAAAGCTGCCCCTGGGAACCATCGGAGGCGACCCAGCCTCTCTCCTGCCCTGGTGCCCGAAGACAACTTTGAGGCGAGCCTCTTCATCCTCGATGTAGCCCCAGTGGCCCCGGGCAGGCAGGGCTGCTGGGATCCACCCCTTCCCCGCCCTGCCCACCTCAGTAGGTCAGTTTGAAAGCCCTGGGAGCCTGTAGAAGTCATCAGACTTGCTGGGGAGGCTGGCTGCAGGGTGGACCAGGGCCAGAACCCAGCACTATAGCCCGCTCGGGGGCAGCAGGAGGCCTGAGGCCAGGCCCTGCCCTACGGATGTGGGGTGACCTACTAGCTCCTCCCCCAGCTCCTGGCCCAGGGCTTGGCTCCTGGGTTGCAGGTGATTTCCCCCAAAAGACTTTCCTCAAGCACTTCTGTTCTCCTTGGAGGAAGTGTAAATAACTGTTAGGTTAAAAACGAAGAGGAGACCCACGCGGGTTCAGGATGCACACCACGGTCCACCAGGCTCCTCAGGGGCCCACACCATGGTCCACCAGGCTCTCAGGCCTGGACACTGCGGTCCAGCTGAGCCAGGGCAGACGACGGGGGCCCTTTTCTGGAGGAAGCATGACAGGAAGGCGTTGAGGGATGCACAAGTCTTTATTCCTGCTGGCAGAGGAGGTGGTCCTGTGGCTGGCGGAGTGGGCACCTCAGGCTGGCAGCTCTCACCTCTTGCTGGCTGTAGTGCAGACACATCAGGGTGACCACACACCCCGGGCTCTCACCACCCGGCCACCCGCCCACCAGCCCGGCTGAAGCACTCGGCCCTGCCGGCCACAGCACCTAGCCCCCCAGCCCACTGACCCTGCCACAGCACCCGGACCCCCGCCCTCCACCCGGCCACAGCACCCCACCTTCCACCCAGCCGCAGTACCCGGCAGCTTCAGCCACTTGGGCACCTTGCCCAGGCTCCTCTTCACGGGCTGGGCCGTCCCTGGGATGGGCTCAGGGGGGACCAGCGCCCCCTCCTCAGCAGCTGGCTCAGACTTAGGTGCAGGGTCAGGGGCTGGCAATGGGGAAGGGGACCCGGCGGCCCTGGACATGTACCTGTGGGGAGGCGAAGACACAGAGTGGTGAGTGCCGCCACGGGAGGTGCCCCCAGACCCACCGGCACTTACCTGGCCACCAGCACATCGGCCGCAGATGGGGAGATGGCATGCTCCAGCAGGCCAGGCTCCAGGTAGACACCTGCAGGGAGGCCCAAGCTCACCCTGAGCCTCTGAGGAGGGGTCCACTCACCATCCACCCAGCATCTGCCCACCAGCACTCAGCTCTGGGAGGGGGGTGGCCAGCAGGTGGCTGTCCCAGTCCTCTCTCGGGGAGGTGGTTACTGGGGGCCGCAGATCTCCCTCTCAGACCCAAAGGAGGCCCCAGACCGAACGCCCTCCCGGGCAGCTGGCTCTGAGGTCCAGGGACAGGCTGGCTGGACTCCGACACTGGCCCCAACCACTGACACTCACCTGCCGGCTCCTCGGCTCCCAAGTGCACCAGAGCGGCCGGGAAGAGGTTCGCCTGCAGGGAGGGCGGGGGGCTCAGGGGCCGGGTGTGGGCAGAGCACCCCCCTGCTGTGAAGGCAGCTACACCCCCAGGGCCAGGCCCCAGCTCCACCCTCAGACAGGCTCTGCCTGCCCGGCCCCCATGAGCCCATCGCCCAGCTTCCTGTCTGACACCAGCCCTACCCCTGTAAGCAAGGCCAGGGCGTCCTGGGACCAGCGCCCTCCATGGGACCACCCCAAGCCCCAAGCCAGCTGAAGGCTGGGGCCTCGAGGGTCCTCAAGCCATGCAGCATCACCGTCCTCCCTCCTCTGGCCTCTGCACCCGAGGAAGGTGGGGCCAGGCGTGGCGGGTCCTGGCGGATGCGCCGGGACCACCGTGGAGGGGTGCAGCTGCCAGGCTGGGGTATCCCCCTCCCAGCTCCAGATTCCCCCTCCCGGCTCCAGGCTGCTCAGGGCCACAGGCTGGGGGTGGGAGTGGGGCTGGGGGATGTTAAAAGATTAATAAGAGGAAGCTTCAAAGGCCAGGCCCAGGAACGCCGAAACCTCAGCCTCCAGCCGGGGGCCCAGGGACACAAACAAGGGCCGTGAATGCTTTGAAAACCCAATTGTGCCGCCTGGGATCAAAGCCTTGTGAGCAGAGAAGGGCCTGTGGGGTGGGCAGGGGCTGCCCGAGTGGCCCTGGAGAGGCGCCGGAAGCTGGGGAGCCAGGAAGGGGGCACGGGGAGGACAGCGCCAGGAGCTGCCATGGTCTCAGCCTCTCCCAGATGGAGAGCATGCTCCGCCACCACCGGGCCTCCAAGATTCACACCCAGGCTGCGGCTGCTCACAGAAGCCCAGGGGACACTGCCCAGAGGCTGCTGTGGGCACAGGAGCCCTGGCCAGCCCCATCTGCATCCCACCTGCTGCCGGGCGAGAGGGCTCCCTCAGAGGCCACCGATGCAGAGAGGCACCTGGTTCTCATCATAGCCCCCACAGGCCAGGACCCCCAACCAGCACTGCCCCACGGGACGCACAGAAAGGGGCGGGCAGGACTCGGGAACACCAGGAGAGGGAAGTAGGCTTGGCAGCCAGGCCTGGGGCACCTGGGCTCCCTGTCTGCGCCTCTGTGCAGGGAGCACTGAGCCAGGCAGCCTACCCGGCCTGTCCCCACGTGCTTGTGCCCAGCCTTGACTCGGGAGGGATCGCCACTGCTCGGACGAGGGGATGGTGGAGAGGAGGGTCGGCAGACTGGGTGGCATGGAGGCTGACCAGTGCTTGGAGAGGCTCGGCCTCTGGATGGACCCCAAAAAAGAAGCCTCCCAGAGTCCACGTCGCCTCCATCTCCTACCACTGGCAAGCGTGTTCTCTGCTCTGGTCCCAGGCACCGTTTCAGCGAGGGACCCAGGGTGAATGGAGCCACCCGGTCACCAAGCTGGGGCTGGAAAGGGAAAGTGGGTCACACCGTCCCCCCAGCCAGAGCAGGGCCCGGGAAGGGCCTTTGAGGGAGGCACAGGCTGAGGGGCCTCTCCCCACCAGCACTGTCCCAGGATGTCTCAGGCTGCCCCTGCCTGGCTCCCTCGGCTGACAGGGAGAAGTGGGGGTGCCCGCCCTGCCCTGACACAGCCTGAGGGCCTGGAGCCGGCCCCTCCCTAGCTGCCGCCCAGGACACTGGGGCCCCAAATCCAGCCGCCTCTCTGCTGCCAACCCCTTGCCCCACTCAGTGTTGCCAGGAAGAGCTTCCGAAAGGAGGCCCACGTCAACCCCCACGGGGCAGCAACTCTGTAGGGGCTGCATGCACACGTGGCCCAGCGCCTGGCCGCCCCCTCCAACGAGAACAGCACCACCCTCCGGGGAACGAAGCCAAGAGAGGAGCCCTTGCAGCTCAAGACGCCCGGGAGGGAGGCGGCACCACAGCGCCTGGGAGGGAGGCGGCACCACCGTGCCCGGGAGGAAGGCGGCACCACAGTGCCTCGGCAGGGAGATGGCACCACAGAGCCCGGGAGGGAGGCAGCATCATGGTGTCTGGGAGGGAGGTGGCACCACGGTGCCCGGGAGAGAGAAGGCACCACGGTGCCTGGGCAGGGAGAGACGGGGCATCCACCCACAGAGCGGGAGTGGGGGCTGCAGGAGCCATCCTGCCTTCTGCAAGACCATTTGTCAACGAGGAACATTTCAGAGGGTCCAGGTGGGGTAGGGCCTGGTGGGTGGAAGGAAGGGGGCCTGTTGGTCCCAGAGAGGCCCCGGCAGTGGGCGACACGGCAGTGCAGGACGGGGCTGTCCTGGGTGGAAAGGAAGGACGACAGAACTGGCTAGGGGCGGGCGCCCAGCAGGCACTCAGGCCAGAAGTGCCAGTCACGCCCTGCCAGGTGAGTGGCTTGGGGAGTGGGGAACCAGGCAGCAAGGGTGGCCTGTGTCCTGGCAGACGGTCCCCAGAGGCAGCCTGAGAGCTCCAACAAACGGAGGGTGTTAGGAGCCAGGCTTGCCCTGCCAAAGCCAATGGAAGGAAGCCCAAACAGCAGAGCCTTTGAAGAGATAAGTGAGGTGACCGTGACATCAAAGGTGGGCCTAGCCCAGGGTGACCTTCCTCATGACCTGAGGACGCGGACCGCACACAGAAGTGACTGTGTGAGGACACCAGGGCAGGGCCAGCCCTGATGCCCAGGGCCAGGACGCAGGTTTCAGGCAGGGGCGGGGGGCTTTGTTCCCCACAGTGGTGCCCCCACACTGCTCACAATTCCCTGTCCTCACTCCTGGCCGCCTCCTCCCAGCCCTCCCAGAAAACCTGCACTCTCCTGGGCCAGGGCCACAGAGGGCTGCCGGGCTACCGGAGCCCCCACACCCACGCACGCTGTCCCTCTCGGAAGCCGGGGGCCGGCCCCTGGACATCCCCCAGGCAGCAGGCAGCCGGAGTGGGGCTCTGCCAGAGACGTGAAAGCTGGTGCTTCCGCGCCCGCCGCCTGCTTGCCTGCCAGGGAGGCAGGCTTCCTTCCCTCAGCCCCGCCAGCTCTCTGACGGCAGGCAGGCAGGCAGGCACGTCACCGGGGACACCACCCCGAGAGGCCCCGAGGCTAGAGCCGAGCTGATGGAGGGCAGGAGACGGTGGCTGGTAGGGAAGCCAAGCGTCCCCAGAAACAGGGCAGCAGCACCCCAGTGCTCTCAGGGGCCTCCCAGCGGGAGGGTGGGCTGCAGGCCTGGGCACTGGTCCTCCTCCATCCCAAGGCATCTTCCAAATTCAATGTTTATCAACTGGCTGGCCAGCAAGGGAGGGGATGGAGACGGAGGAAGGAGGCCCGGAGTCCGCCCGGCAGCTCGGGGGCTGAGAGGGGACTGTCTCACCCCTCCCCTGCCTCCGCTGCAGGGAATCCCGCTCAGTCCTGCTCCTGATCACCCCTGGCAGCTGCCAGCCTTCTTGCCCCAGCTCAGTAAGCGGCTGCAGCCCCAGGCAGTGAGCAAGCTTCTCACCTCCAACCCAGGCCTCTGTAGAGGCCTGTGGCCACTTAAAAAAAAACCCGCCTCTGTGGCTAATTAAAATATCTGAAGAGGCTTTGAAGAGGAAACCATTAGGCCAGAGGGCTTCGGAAGGCCCCAGGCAGCTCTCCCACAGGCCAAGGACAGGACATTCATTGCTTCTGGCTCTGGAGGGCGGCCCAGCAGGGCTGGGAACCCGGCACCCTCACCCTGGCCCCACCCTCAGGAGCCCTCAGGGAGGTGGCAGGGACCCACAGAAGCAGCGGACAGCTATGGGCACCAGGGCGTTCCTAGCAGGGACCGGGGGGCCAGCGGGAGAGGCCGGGCAGGGGGAAGGGGCAGCTGAAGCCCAAGGCGGCCGCCTCCAGCTGAGGGCCTGGTCCCTCTGGGGCTCCCTGAGCCCTGCTCCGAGGCCTGCCGGGCCCTTCCTCACCCAGACCCCTGGGCAGGGACTGCTGCCGCCTTGGCCCCAGCACAGCAGCCCAGGGGGGCCGAGACCTCCAAGCGGCCTCAGTTCAGGCAGGCCGCCTAGCAGGTCCTTTCCCACCCGGGGCCAGGCAGGAAGCAGAGGAGGCCGGAAAGCCGTGTCAGAAGCAACTTCAGAGGCGCACGGCCCCCTCGGAACCCACCGGCTCTCAAAGGCTTTATTATCCTGCCCCAGCGCCTGCCAGGCCCCTCCTTCCTGCCCGAGGCCTCACGCTCTCGTCCTGCCCTCCCTGGAGGGCCCCGCCCCGCAGCACCCCAGGGAGGCCCTCAGGTACCTGAAAGAGGGTCTGCGTGTGGTCGTCCAGGACTGTTTTTGGAGGGGTGATGACTGAGGAGAGAAGGCACCTACGTGTTAGGAAGCACCGTGGACCTCGCCCATCCATGCGCCCGAAGGAAGACAGGCCTGCAGATGGGGGTGACGCCTCAAGTGGGGCAGAAGAGCCCCTCACGAGCACGCCCTGTGCCCACACTCCTGCTGCAGAAACTCCAGCTGAGGGCTCGGAAGGGCCGGTGGGGGGCAGGCCCACCTGCAGGGGACACCACCCGTGCAGCCCGGCTCCCCTTGCAGTGGGCAGCCTAACCCTTTGCCACCTAGACACCCTCCAAGGGAGGCCAGCCACTCCCTGTCCACCCACCCTTCCCACAGCCCTCGGGCAGGAGTGGCCTGAGCCCCAGGGGTGGGGACCAGGCTGGGGTGCAGCAGGGCTCCAGAGGGGAGCAGGGCGCTGAGAGAGAAGGCAGGAAGCCTGGCTCCCACCGCCTGGCTCGGGGAGAAGGGCCCTCCTAGGTCTCCACACAGACACCATGGGCTGCAGGAGGCACCTGGGCGGGAGGCCACAGATGCTGCTCCTGTGGAGAAGCTGCCACGAGCCCCAGCTGGGACGGGCGGTGTGCCCACAGCACCAAGGCCCCGAGCACTGGAGGCAGGAGTGGGCTCAGGAGAAAAAACGTACACAGGTAAAATGACAGCTCGGGGTTCCCCAGGTGGCTCCTCACGAAGTCTCGCAAGTCCCCCACTGCAGAGGAGAAAAAGAACATACAGACAGCTCTTCCACCACGCCAGCCCCGGGCTGCCCCAGCACCTGGGCCACTGCTCCCACCCTCCTGGGCCTTTCCCCGAGGGGTGGGAATTCAGCCCTGTTCCTCCCACAGCACTCCAGGTGCTCGGCGTGGCTGGGCCACCGTGCGGGCCACACTTGGGACCCCCGCCCTGCTGGAGAGCACTCCCACTGCCACCCGCTGCCCCCCAGCCCCACCCCCGCCCCAGCCTAAGCGCTTCCCTTTCCCTGGGGGAGGCCCCTGTGACCTTGGGCTGCTGCCGCCCGGCCGTCTGGGTACAGGTCACAAGCCCCTGAATGTCACAGCACCACTGCCCTCCTCCCGGGGTAGGGTGCCTTCCTCTGGGTGCCCCTCTGCCCCACCCATGCCCAGTAGGTGGGCGACGTGAGCACTCAGGACCACGGGCTCCCTGAGCTGGGGCCGGGCACCTGGAGCAAGCGCCCAGCCTGCCTGACACTCTGCGAACTGGGATGCCTCTGCACCCCCAAGGGGACATCAGCACCCGCACCCACCCAGTGCCCTGGAGCCCGCAGGCCAGGTGGCTGCAGTCCTGTGGCCTGGAAGGAAGGAGCCGGGAGAGGCCCCATGGGCCCCTGCCCCCCATCCCCGGACACCCCACAGCGCTGCCCACCTGTCTCGCTGGGGCGGAAGAAGCCCTGTAGGACGTAGCGGTCGGGGAACAGGACCCTCAGAGCCACCTAGGCCAGACAAGTGGAAGGGTTGGAGGGACGGCCGGAGCTGCACCAGGGACCAGGGCGTGGCCTCCCCACTCGGCCCATGCTGGGCCATGGACACCAGGGCTGAGGCAGGCAGAAGCAGCCACCCCCAATCAGGGCCTGGGCTTTGACTCCCCCGTGGCAGGCTGGGCATGGAGACAGCCAAGTGCCGTGTGTGTGCACAGCGGCCTGCGTTCTAAAACCACACTGACCTGGGTTCAAATGTGCTGGTTTTTTTTTTTTTTTTTTTTTTTTGAGATGGAGTCTCACTCTGTCGCCCAGGCTGGAGTGCAGTGGCATGATCTCGGCTCACTGTAAGCTCCACCTCCCGGGTTCACGCCTTTCTCCTGCCTCAGCCTCCCGAGCAGCTGGGACTACAGGCGTGCGCCACCTCTCCTGACTAATTTTTTGTATTTTTAGTAGAGATGGGGTTTCACCGTGTCAGCCAGGATGGTCTCGATCTCCTGACCTCATGATCCGCCCACCTTGGCCTCCCAAAGTGCTGGGATTACAGGCGTGAGCCACCACGCCCGGCTCAAATGTGCTGTTTAAAGTTTCATTCAGCCAGGTGTGGTGGCTCAAGCCTGTAATCCCAGAACTTTGGGAGGCCGAGGCGGGCAGATCACCTGAGGTCAGGAGTTCGAGACCAGCCGGGCCAACATGGTAAAACTCCATCTCTAGTAAAAAAAAAAAAAACAACAAAAATTAGCCGAGCTAGTGGTAGCGGGTACCTGAAATCCCAGCTACTTGGGAGGCTGAGGCAGGAGAACCACTTGAACCCGGGAGGCGGAGCTTGCAGTGAGCTGAGATGGCACCACTGACTCCAGCCTGGGCGACAGAGAGAGACTCCGTCTCAAAAAAAAAAAAAGGTTTCATTCTAAATCATGAGCAGGGGAGGATCAACTGGCCACTAAGGGCATGCGCGCCACCACGGGGGGGCCCTGCTCAGAGCTGTGCCTCAGTCGCCCCCACGTCCCATCCACAGACCTCACAGGGGGCCCCCTCAGAGCTGTACCTCAGTCGCCCCCACGTCCCATCCACAGACCTCACAGGGGGCCCGCTCAGAGCTGTGCCTCAGTCGCCACCACGTCCTGTCCACAGACCTCACAGGGGGCCCGCTCAGAGCTGTGCCTCAGTCGCCCCATCCCGTCCACAGACCTCACGGGGGGCCCCCTCAGAGCTGTGCCTCAGTCGCCCCCACATCCTGTCTGCAGACCTTTGGGTAGCGCTCCAGCTTCTCCTTTATCTGCGCCTCCCTGAAGGCCTTGGTCACCAAGGGGGCTTCTTCCAGGCGCTTCCTGTGGTGAGGAGGGGAAGGAACAGGGCTTCTGGTCAGAATGGGGGCCCTGGCAACAGGCCCCGGGCTCCTCACCTGCACCCTCCAGGGTGGGAGTGGGCTGCTCTCCCCACACAAGGCAGGAAGGTCTGGACGCCCCTCCCTGGGCCCCAACCCTCTGAGGTCCTGTTAAGGGCAGCCTGTCAGGGACCTGGGCCGGGAGCCAGTGCTGGCACTGGGGACAGCGGGCAGCACAAGCACCCGATGGGGCAAACCCTGGCGCGAAGATGCCGGGAGGCACTGAGGGGGCACCCACCGCTCACTCTTGAGCTGGGCCAAGCGTCTTCTCACGTCGTCCACCGTCAGCTCAAAGAACTCATCAGGCAGCTCCGCTGGCCAGGCCTGCAGCCGCTCCTCCAGGTCGGGGTGGCACACCACCGGCTCCCGGTCCACGGGCTCCCGGTCCACGGGCTGGAGGCAGAGGGCGCGGCTGACGGCGGGTGTCACGGGCTGGGCCCTCCGCACCCCGGGCTGTCAGTGCCCCAGCCGAGGTGGTCACACAGACTTGGGAGCTGGGCCCACTCCCTCCCTGGCCCCGGCCAGCGCAGGGCCAAGGCCAGGTCCTGGGGGCAGGGCTGGGCACAGCAGCTGGGGGACCCCACCCCACTCAGAGCCTGTCCAGGGCTGGAGACCCCCCTCTCCCAGTCAGTGCACCAGACCTGATGCTGAGCCCCTGCTCCCCAGCAGGGCACATGGCCCCTGGAGTCTGGCTCAGGCCACGTCAGGGTCTCCATGGGGGGGAGGGGTGGCGACAGCCGCCAAATTAGAGCGTCGGCAAAAACCCCAGTCCAGCTGCCCCCGCTGCCCTCTTGGCCACAGCTCCATGGCCAGGCTGAATCCATGCACGCCTGCCCCCAGGGAACAAGCCGGCCCCTCCCTCTGCCCACCCTGGGATGCGGGAGGGACAGCGTCACCCCTAATTGGCATCAACAGCAATGAAATTGACAAAGCCGGGCCGTGCAGCTCGCGGAGCCCTGGGCAGTGATTTCAATGCATTCAGCACAGTGCTGGGGTACGTGGGACACCTCAGCACTGCGCCGACCCACACTCGGCCCCGTCCCCCCTCACACAGAACAGCCGAGAGCTGTCGGGAGTTGGGGTGGCCTGGAGCCGGCTCTGGGCTCCCACTCCTACCTCACACTCTCGACACCTGGGGATGGCTTGGCAGTCCCTGCGAACAACCCTCCTGGTCCCGTCCCGTCTACCCTGCAGTCTCCCACCCAGCCACGGGCTGCTGCCTCCTGCCCTACACAGCATTCCAGCACCCCCACCATGCCCACACTGGGTGACAGCCAGGGTGCGCCTGCCAGAGGTACGCCTGTCCCAGGTGTCTCCAGGGCTGCCCTCCGGACACACCTGAGACCTCGACTGCTGTGGGCGACAGGGCCCTGCAGCCACCCAGCATGTGGCTCTGTTATGACTTGTCACGGGAGTCTGGCGGGAGCTGCACTGACCTCAGCAGCGTCATGGCAGGGCAGCCAGTGAGGGCTGACCACGGCTCGGCAGTGGGGCCCACAGGTGGCTGACCAAGGCCCCTGGGGGCTGCCCTTCCAAAGCCACAACCATCCTGCAGCCACTGAGAGCAGCCTGCGCCAGAGCTTTTTATAACAAGATGCCAGGCGCCAGGCGGCCCCCCACAGCCCCAGCGCCTGCATTCCAGAGGGCCGCGAGCACGCCTGGGTTCCCGGGGGAGAGACCCTGGGCCAGGAGCCGCCATGTCCATGAGCGGCCAGGCCAGCCTGTGGCAGGTTGGCATCCTCTGCAGCCTGGTCCAGAGCCTCCCTGGAGGAGCCCCCAGAAGCCACACTGTCTTCCCAGGCGGGCAGAGTACCCCTGATGGGCTCGTACTGAGCCTGACCACCAGACGGGGCCCCAGGACATGCCGTGCTCAGGCGGCCACGTCCAGGGCACAGCCTGGTGGTCACTGGGGGAAATGTGGGCTGCTGCCACGTCCGCATACTGGACAGTGCCAAGGACCCCCAGGCCCACAGCCCACACCAGGGTGCCTCCAGGATGGGGGCCATAGGGGACAGGACCATCAGCATCACGCTGCTAGGGGGCTGTTGACTTCATTTGGAAAACAAAACTGAAAAAATCTCTAATTCCTGTGGATCCACCCTAGATTCCTACCCGTCATCCCAAGGGCCTGGCTCAGGAAGCCTCTGTCTGTCAGACAGACCCAGGGTCCCACACGGGGCCGTGGTAGCAGGGGAGAGCGGCCTCTACGGAAACCTCCCACACCCGCCCTTCACCTGGGCAGAGCAGCCCCGATCCGGAGCAGCCTCGCTGGAGCCTGGGGTCAGGCTGGATAAGCGGCTACCAGAAGGGCCCAGGCCACCTGAGTCACCCCGAGAACATATGGCGTCTGCAGTAGGGCTGCTGGGAAATGTCACTTGGCCACCAAATGACAGAGGGAGATGCCAGGGGACCCTGTGTGTGGAGAAACTTCAAACACCCATCAGCTCAGCTCCGAGCCTTCCCCAGGAGAGACTTTCTGTCCCACAGAGAAGAGGGGCCAGGAAGGGGGAGCCACAGCGGCAGGGCCTGGGGTCTCAGGGCTGCCCCAGCCACACCCAGCCCTGTTGACTGGTGAGCTCTGCCCAGCAGTCTGGCCCGCATTTGTGGCATCAGCGCCGCTCCCGCGCCAGGTGGATTCACAGAGATGCCTTTGGATGGAAAACAGAGGTTGAGGGATGAGACACTGTGAGGGAAAAAAGCGACAGCGAGGGCCCTGCAGGGCAGTCAAGGCCTGGCCCCTGGGGGAATTCCCGTCCCCCCTCCCCAGCCTCCTCGCCGGTGCCAGGAGAAAAGAAACGGGCTGCCTGTGCAGGCCAAAAATGACGTCAACCGGGGGTGAGGCGTCCTGGAGCCTCCAACACAGGGAGGAGGAGCAGGAGGCAAGGAGAGAGACAAGCACCCTCCTTTCTCTTTCCCCTCAATTTCTTATTTTGAAATATTTCAGCCCACAGAAAGATGGGCAGACACAACAGTGAACACCCCTCATGCAGATGTGATCATTCGGCTGCATTCACTTTCCTTCCGCTCTGGGGCAAACATGCATGCACATATGTGCACACACAGACATGCATATACACACACACCTGCATGCACCCAAGCACACGTGCACCCGCAAGGACACACACACACCCCCAAACACGCACGTGCACCCGCAAGGACACGCACACGCCCCCCAAGCATGCACATGCACCCGCAAGGACACACACACACACACACACCTGTGCACATGCAAGGACGCACACACACACACCCGTGCACACACGTGCACCCACAAGGACATGCACACACACCCCAAGCACGCATGTGTACCCGCAAGGACACACACACGCCCCCAAGCACACACGTGCACACGCAAGGACACGCACACGCAAGGACATGCACACAACACCCAAGCATGGACATGCACACAAAAGAAAACCACAGACTGTGCCCCAGGAGCACAGCAGCATCTGCTGAGAGAAGGACTCTTGTCCCAGCTGCCAGCATCACACCAGGGCCCACCGCATGGGGGAGGTGGCTCTCACACACCCACACTGGAAATGTCCCTGCTGTCCCCAAGTACCCGGACGGTTTTCCCACACACACGGTCACGCTGGGGCTGGAGCTGTGCCTCCGCCCCTTCCCACATCCCGACAGGGGCTGTGTCAGCAGGACGCCTCCGTCCGCCGTGGTCTGGCCCCCAATTCTCTGTGCTGAGTGAGGTTCGGGTTGAAGGTTTCAGGGAGGAGGCAACTGGATGCCATACCACTGTCCCTACAAACATCCCCACCTGGAAAGCTCCCAAGCAGACGGAGGGCCAGCGGGGAATGAGGCCCAAACCTCAGCAGTGCAGGGGGCCCCAACCTGGGTCTCAGCCTTGGTGGGGTCCCCCAGGTGTGTGGCCGCCAGGTGTCCCTGGGGGCCTTGCCACGCCTCAGGAAGCTGCTGGGGTCAGTCTCACTCAGCCAACGGGGTGGCTGAGAGCCAGGAGGAGCCTTCCAGAAGCCTGCGTGGGGCTTCCTGTCTCAGATGAGGCCTCTCACGAGACCTGCCGACCCACGGGGCACACAGGCGCTGCAGCAGGAGGAACTGAACCGCAGGGCAGCAAGAGCCGGGGGACCACTGCCCCGCAGGCCTCCGAGACCAAACCCCAGGGCCCAACTGATGCCCACTTCACGCGGCCTCATGTTTCCGCCACCCCGGCGCCCCACCCTGCCACTGAGCAGAGGCCGTGTTCTGCTCTGCCCAGCGGGCCAGGACTGCCCCAGAAGAACCAGCAATATTTCCGGAACACTCGGCACCCCCAGGCCTCCCGCTGCTCCCCAAAGCCCTTGCCACCTCGGAAGCTGCCTGCTCTGGCAGAGGCGAGAGCCCCACGGCTGCCGGGGCATCCAAATGGCAGCTGACCCTCGCCCAGCCACGGATGGCCTCCCCTGAGCCGATGCAAAGAGGCCCAGACCCCCGGCCCCGGGCAGCAGGTCGCAGGTCCATGGGAGCAGCTGGGCTCTTCCAGACAGGTTCAGGAGATGGAGCCCAGAACCTTCTCTGTGCCGCTGATGCCCCCGGACACCAGTGCCTTCACCAGGAGGAGCTCGCCATGCTGAGCCCAGCCTGGTTTCCGCCTCACTGCCTGGGCCCGGCTTCCAAAGGCCCCACACTCCCTTCTTCCCGACCCTGCCCCTCTTGCTGGGCAGAGTCAGAGGTCTCAGAGGACAGGGGTGATGCCGGGGGCACAGCAGGGTCCAGCAGCCGGCACTGCACTTTCACAGGGGCTGTGTGTGCTGAGCTCCCCAGAAGCTCAAAATGCGCCACAGGGTGGGGGTGCCTGTGGCTGCCACATGACACACAAGGAGGCAAGGAGCGTGGAGGGTCCAGCTGGCACCATGAGGGAAAGGTGTGATGGCCTCTCAGGCTCCGAGGGTGGCCGGGCAGCTGTGAAAGACCCGACTCCTCCTGCAGGTGAAGCCCCTGCATGCTTCTGCCCCTTTAGCCCCTTCCTGTCTCCTGCAAACCCAGGCCCCCGGTGGACCCCCAGGTCCCGGCCTCCAGGAGGGCCGCCAAGGACCGGACCACAATGATGCTAACCATTTATCCAGATGCCCCGAAACTGGAAGGGGGCCGGAGAAAGGCCAGAAAGGACGGGCAGGACTAAGGACAGGGACGCTGTCCGGGATGCCGGGGGCAGCCCTGCGGGCGCGCGGCCTCACAGCAGACAGTGCTGGGGCATCCCTGGGCCGCTGAGCTGGGAAACCGAGGGGAGGGAGGCTGGGGGCTGCAGGGTGAGGGCGCCAGGGGCATGCACACAGGCCGGGACACTGCCCAGAGGTCTCCTTTTCTTGACAGTAATTTTCCAGGATGTGATGACACACAGAGGAAAAATGTGAACCCATTCGGAGGTGGCCCCAACCTCAGAGTTTCCAGCGTCTCTGAGGGTTTGTGTTTTTCCCTCCCGGCCTCCCTCCCTCCCACCGTCTCGGCCCGGCCTGCCCCGCCAGGGCTCCGGTGAGAGGGAGTGTGGAGTTTCCCCTGGAGGCTCTGAGCTTCAATGAATCACTACGCCAGACACGGGCCAAACCTCCCGAGTTACTCAGCGCCCCGGCCACCCTCGGAGGCAGGCGGCGGAGCACGTGGACGCCATCAAAGGCCTGGGACGTGCACAGCAGGAGAGGCTGTGCCAGGGCGTGGGCGCGGGCTCTGTGGGGAGACCGCTGCGACCGGCGTGGACAGGCATGCACAAAGGACGCAGGCGGGACTGCCTCTGAAGACACCACAAACTCCATGCCCAAATTTTACATCCAAAGCACGGGGAACACCCTCAGCACAACATCCCTCCTGCACCAGGCAGAGGCATCAGGCCTCGAATCCCACCCAGAGGAGACGGCGCCGCCCCCAGGCTGAGCACAGCATCCGCACCGATGCTCATGGCCCGGGCCTGCCAGCGAGTGGCCACATGGCTGGGGAGAGGCCAACAAGGAAGGCCCAAAGCAGAGATGTTTCTGTTTTGAGACAGCGTCTCGCTCTGTTGCCCAGGCTGGAGTGCAGCAGTGCAATCTCAGCTCACTGCAGTCTTGATCTCTCAGGCTCAGGCAATCCTCCCGTCTCAGCCTCCCAAGTAGCTGGGGCTACAGGCACACACCATCACGCCCTACTAATTTTTAAATTTCCTTTGTAGAGATGGGGTCTCGTTATGTTGCCCAGGCTGGTCTAAAACCCCTAGGCTCAAGAGATCCTCCCAGCTCGGTCTCCCGAAGTGCTGTGATTATAGGTGCGAGCCACTGTACCCAGCCAAGAAAAGTTATTTTAGGCTGGGCACGGTGGCTCACGCCTGTAATGCCAGCTCTTTCGGAGGCCAAGGCCGGCAGACCACCTAAGGTCAGGAGTTCAAGAGCAGCCTGTCAACATGATGAAAACTCCATCTCTACTAAACGGGCACCTGTAATCCCAGCTATTCAGGAGGCTGAGACACGAAAATCGCTTGAACCCAGGAGGTGGAGGTTGCAGTGAGCAGAGATCGCACCACCACACTCCAGGCTAGGCAACATAGACAGACCCTGTCTCGAAAAAAAAAAAGTTATTTTAAAAAGATGAAAACAGGCCGGGCGCGGTGGCTCACGCCTGTAATCCTAACAATTTGGGAGGCCAAAGCAGGCAGATCACCTGAGGTCAGGAATTTGAGATCAGCCTGACAAACATGGTAAAACCCCATCTCTACTAAAAATACAAAAATTAGCCGGGCATGGTGGCAGGCGCCTCTTAGCTACTCAGGAGGCTGAGGCAGCAGAATCACTTGAACCCGGGAGGTGGAGGTTGCAGTGAGCTGAGATCATGCCACCGCACTCCAGCCTGGGCAACAGAGTGAGACTCTGTCTCAAAAAATAAAAATAAAAATAAAAATAGGCTGGGCACAGAGGCTCACACCTGTAATCCCAGCACTTTGGGAGGCCGATGCAAGTGGATCACCTGAGGTCAGGAGTGCGAGACCAGCCTGACCAACATGGCAAAACCCCTTCTCTACAAAGAACACAGAAATTACAGGTGGCAGACACCTGTAATCAATCCCAGCTACTCGGGAGGCTGAGGCAGAAAAATTACTTGAACTGGGAGGGGAAGGTTGCAGTGAGCCGAGATCGTGCCATTGTACTCCAGCCTGGGTGACAGCGCGAGACTGTCTCAAAAAAATAAATAAAATAAAATAAAATGAAAATGAAAAGATGAAAATATAAAGCATGAGGTACTCATAAGAAAAAAAAATCACTTTTTAATTTTAAAAAGAAAAATACTTTAGAAGATGAAAAGAGGCCAGGTGCAGTGGCTCACACCTGCAGTCCCAGCTACTCGGGAGGCTGAGATGGAAGGTCATGACTGCTGTGAGCCGTAATTGTGCCCCTGCACTCCTGCCTGGGCAAGAGAGCGAGACTGTGTCTCAAAAAAAAAAAAAAAAAAAAAAGGAAAAAGAAAAAAAAAAGAAAAGAAAAATAAGAACAGGATTCAGGACTGCTGCAGCCTGGGCTGACCATGAGCCCGTCTGGAGCTGGGCACGTTACGGTGTGGCAGGCGTGTGTCACTGTGGATAAAGCGCACCAACACCCCCGGACAGGCAGGAAAAGCAGTTTGGTGAGGGGGGTCATCCGCAGGGCAGAGTCTGGAGGCTGCTCCTGGGGGAGCCCGGGAAGGGCTGACGGGGCCCCTGACCTGAGTTCCTGGAACAATCCCAACCAGGGGATCTTGGGCCCAACGGGGAGGAGAGTCCAGGCCAGAAGGGGCCAGTGGGGTCTGCGCCCTGCAGCAGCCGACTCGCCCAGTACGGAGCCCCACACTCCCAGTTCTCCCCACAGCCCCAGTGGCGAGCATCCACCCCCTACCCCCCGGGGTTCCTCACCAAAACACAAGCGCCTGTCAGTCACCAGGCTTCTAAACAGCCGGGACTCAGCCAGCCACCTGCAAAGTCGCTGAGCCATCTGCCAGCCACGCTTGGTGGCCATTCCAATCAAGGCCACAGGCTGTGCCCCTAGGGACAGCCTCAGAGCCCAGGGTTGTCCTCAGACACCCATGAGGCATAGCAGGGACCTGGGCCACCCTGGCCACTGACTGTGCTGGCCGCAGGGATGGGAGTCTGCACCGCGTCGGATGTGGGGGCTCCTGTCTAGCCCGGCGTCAGGGTCCAGGGGCAGGAGCCCCTGGCCCAATACCTACTGCCCAGGGTCAACAGCACCTGCCCTGCCAGGCACACGGGGGTCCCAGGCAGGGTGTATTCACCACGCCCAGTGCATGACCCGCTCCAGGCCCAGCCTCCTCCCCGCTGGTTTACCCCCAAAACCCTGGGACAGGCTCCTCCCCGCCCCACGAGTCCCACACCGGCTGTCAGCCACAGAGGGCCGGGTGTGAGCAGGGGTGCTGAGGAAACCCCAGGCCCCGGCTCCAGGAGCAAGGTTCACCCCCGAGGCGGGAGGGGCAGGCAGGGCAGCAGCCGCCAGCCCGTGCGGGCAGACCCAGCCTTTGATCAGGAGCGGCCCTCGTGCCAGCTGCCGGGAGGCCGAGTTGTGGGGGGCGTCTGCTGGGACTGGCGTCCCAGCCCAGCACAGGGCTGCAGGGCAGCCTCCCAGCCAGTGGAGGCACTTCAAAGACAGGGCCAGGGGGCGCCGGGCAGCCCCAGCCTCTCCCAGCGCCCGGTTCTGATCGCCAGTAAAACTACCTTCTAATAATTAATGCCTGACATCAAAGGCAGGAACCGCCCGGGTCTGTGAACCACCCCGGGTCTCGGCCGAGGACCTGCCTGTATTTTATCCTGTCTCTTCCTTCTGACTCTTTATTTAAGTCCAAAAACCACACACAGGCAAAACATTAATGGGAAACTTGGAAACTCTTTTTGCTTACTAAAGTGTACCTTTGAAGTTCCCCAAAAAAGTTCTGTTTTGTTCCCTTCTCCCCTCCCCCCATCACTGAAAGGGACCCAGCAGCGGCATGTGGCCCCGGGCCCTCTGCGTGTGCGGCTGGCGGCGATGGGAGGCGCGGGGCAGGCAGGACGCCCTCCATCAATCAGCTGCCCAAGTCCCAGATCAAAGGCCCTCAGCACGCCATGCAGGCCAGGCACACGCTCCCTCCCCTGGACCCCTCCTGCCAGCCAAGACCCCACCCCAACAGCGCCTCCCGACGGGCGAGCACGGGCGGGCACTACTCTGGGCTGCGAGCCCCATGCTCCACGCCCCACGCTCTGCAGACAAGACCCGCCCTGGTCACGGAGGGAAGGGGCTGAGGCCCACGCCTCTAGAATGGGGGAACATGACAGCCACTGTGTCTCTCACACTGAGGGGTCCCCACAAGAGCAGGCCTAGAGGGGGTCAGCCCCTGCTCACCCGGAGCACACGGGTCGAGGGGCACGAGCGCTTCATGGGGACTCAGGTGTCACAGTGCAGAGTTTGGCAGAGTTCCCAGAGGGAGGATGGGGTGCCAACACCATCATAGTCCTAGAATGGACCCAACACCCTCACTCCCCACTCCCTTGTCCACTCAACAGGAACAGTCCCAGGACAGCCAGGGGGACAGAAAACAGAGGGGCTGGACCCTGACGCCGGGCTAGATGGGAGCCCCCACATCCAACACGGTGCAGACGCCCGGCCTCTGCCCTCCCAGGTGTGTGGCCGGGAGGCAAGAGGGAGGCATGAGGTTGCTTCACTCAGAAGTGGCCAGAGGAGGAGGAAGCAAACTCCTGACCTCACCTGAGTTCCGGGACACGTAGCACGAGTGCCCAGGGGACAGCCGAGGCCGGGGCCATGTGCACAGAGCCCTCCTGGCCACTTCTTGTTTTCTTTTTTTTTTTTTTTTTTGAGATGGAGTTTCACTCTGTCACCCGGGCTGGAGTGCAGTGGCACGATCTCGGCTCACTGCAACCTCCGCCTCCCGGGTTCAAGAGATTCTCCTGCCTCAGTCTCCCGAGTAGCTGGGATTACAGGCACCTGCCACCACACCCAGCTAATTTTTGTATTTTTGGTAGAGACAGGGTTTTGCCATGTTGTCCAGGCTGGTCTCAAACTCCTGACCTCAGGTGATCTGCCCACCTCGGTCTCCCAAACTGCTGGGATTACAGGTGTGAGCCACCATGCCACAGGCCCAGACACAAATATTTTAAATGTCCACAGGAGATGGAGGCATGGGGGCCTTCCAGGCCCACTACGTCAGCAGGAGCTCAAGAAGCTCTGACCTGGCCCCTGGGCTGTGGCTGGCAGCTGGCAGCCTGGCCCTCAGGGGACACAGGGGCTGGGAAACAGCCTCCTCCCATCCCTGTCACCGAAAGCCGCATGACAGTCCCCCAGTCTGCCTCTTTTGGCACAAAACCCATAAATGCCACGAACACCTTAGTTCTGCAGGTGAGGAAGCTGAGGAAGTCAGGTTTCAGCAGCCCAGGTGCAGGGCTCTGATGCGGGGTCAGGACAGGGACAAAGGAAAAGTCAGCCACAGGGCCAGGGACCCCACAGACACGAGGTCCCCACGGTTGGGGGGAGGCGTGAGGGAGAGGGTCAGGCCACAGCCACACACAGGCATGCTCGGAGGTCAGCACCTGGCCGCCTGCCTGCATGCACTCCCCGCCAAGGGCCCAGTGCCCCAGTGGTGGGTGTAGTCTGCAGTGAGCAGTGGCCATAACCTTCGGAGAACTTCCAGAACCCAGAAAAGAGGGGCCACTGCCCAGCTCCCTTGTGAGCCAGGTGAAATTCGATTCCCAAACTGGATGAAGACAGAGCAAGGAAAAAAAGTCTGTCTCACTTATGAACACACATGCACAAGCCAATAAAATAAAGCATACGGTCATCTCCATTGATGCTGAAAACACTGAAACGGTTCAACACCCACTTAAGATTTTTTTAAATGTCAGAAAGTTAGGAATAGTAACTTTCTCTGCTTGATAAAGGCTTTTTATAGCACACATCATCCTTGGCAGAGAAATGACTAGTAATTCCTGTTACGATCAAGACAAGGAAGGATGTCTACTAAGATCGCCACGATCCAAAAGCACCAGAGGCCCATTCGCTGCAACACAGGAAGAAAAACGATGAGAGGACAAAGGGAAAGGTCTGCAGAGGCCCCGACAGAAACCAAGACGCCACTAGAACTAGCAAGGAGTCAGCCAGTCAAAGATGTAACAGGAAGCATGATACTATCCACAATATTATAAAAAGTAACTTTCAGGCCTGGTGAGGTGGCTCACAATTGTAATCCCAGCATTTTGGGTGGCTGAGATAAGAAGATCGCTTGAGCCCAGGAATTCGAGACCAGCCTGGGCAACAGAGAGAGACCTCGTCTTTATGAAAAATAAAAATAAAAATAAATTAGGCTGGGCGCGGTGGCTCAAGCCTGTAATCCCAGCACTTTGGGAGGCTGAGGCGGGCGGATCACCTGAGGTCAGGAGTTCGAGACCAGCCTGGCCAACATGGTGAAACCCCGTCTCTACTAAAAATACAAAAATTAGCTGGGCGTGGTGGCACACGCCTGTAGTCCCAGCTACTTGGGAGGCTGAGGCAGGAGAATCGCTTGAACCCGGGAGGTGGAGGTTACAGTGAGCCGAAAGTGCGCCACCACACTCCAGCCTGGGCGACAGAAGCAAAACTCCATCTCAAAAAAAAAAAAAAAGTGGGTGCCTCAGTAAAGGTGGTTTAAAACCAGAAAAAAGAGCTGGGCGCGGTGGCTCACGCCTGTAATCCCAGCACTTTGGGAGGCCGAGGTGGGTGGATCACAAGGTCAAGAGATTGAGACCATCCTGGACAACATGGTAAAACCCTGTCTCTACTAAAAATACAAAAAAATTAGCTGGGCTTGGTGGTGCGCGCTTGTAGTCCCAGCTACTCGGGAGGCTGAGGCAGGAGTAATCACTTGAACTTGGGTGGCAGAGGCTGCAGTGAGCCGAGATCGCGCCACTGTACGCCCACCTAGGGACACAGTGAGACTCTGTCTCAAAAAAAAAAAAAAAAAAACCCAGAAAAAAAAAAATCATTTGCCTGAGAAGCTAAGAACAAGCCCAGTGACCCTGCTCAGGTAGGAGGTGGGGCTTGATTCCAGACCAGATTGAAGACTGGCTGATGCGTTCACCAGCTCCCCCTTCCCTGGCCATAACCCGGAAGTTACCACCCCTTTTCTAGAGATTTCTGAATGCCCCACCCCTTAACGTGCATGTAGTTGAGTGGATGTAAATGTGACCACGGCCATGCCCTGAGCTGCTGCCCTCCATGCACCACCCCAGGGCGGCCCTGCTCTGTGCCACACATCACGGAGCCAACACGGAGCTGACACAGTTGCCGCCTTGTCATGGAGCCAACACGGCCTCATCCCGGAGCCCACACGGCCTCATCCCGGAGCGGACACGGCCTCATCCCGGAGCAGACACAGCCACCGTCTCAGTAAAGCTACTTTCTCTACCACCTGCTTACCCCTAAATTCCTTCCTGGGCGAAGTCAGAAGGCTCCTGTCCAGAGCCCCGCGTTTGGGTTCCTCTGCGCGTTTGGGTTCCTCTGCCCGCATCACGGCCACGCCACCAGGCTGACCAGCTAAAGCCACGCAGGGCTACACATCAGGAGAAAGGACACCCCCAAGTCCCAAGGCCTAGAGCCCCTTTTACCCGCTCCCGCTCCTGCTCCTGCTGGGGATCCCGCTCCCGCTCCTGCTCCTGCTCCTGCTGGGGATCCTGGCCCGACTTGGACTTCTTTGGCTTGGAGGGGCCTCCAGGGCTGGAGAGGGACTTCGGCAACTTAGCTGAAGATGATGTCAGAGGCCTCGTGGGCCCAGGAGGGCCCCCCAGTCTCTGTCCCCCACCCGAGAAAGGAACAAAGGGGGCAGCTGCGGGTGCCCTTGTGCTCTGCTTCTCCTGAGTGTGCTCGCAGCAGGGCCCTGAGGTGTCCGCGTCCTCCGGACGGCTCAAGTCGCCGCGGCTGAGCTCCCCAGATTCCAAGGGAAGTGGAGCGCTGGCGGCTGCCTGGCCAGCCGACGCTGACGAGCCCAGGCTTCCTGGGGTCTTGCCCACGGGGTCGTAGCACTTCATGACAAACCTGAGTGGGGCCAGAGGACAAGGGAAGCACCTTGTGGTGCCTACCCCCGGCTCACCCTCTCCCGGCCCAGGCTCACCCTCTCCCGCCCCCGGCTCACCCTCTCCCGCCCCCGGTTCACCCTCTCCTGCCCCATGCGCCCTCCCAAGATCCACCGCCCCTCTGGGGGACACAGAGATGAGGTCGGGGCAGCCCAGCCCCCACGCCCACAGGCAGGCAGAGGCCACCAGGCGCTCTCCATGATGAGGGCCTGGGTACACCTACTCCCCACTTGCCACGTGTCCTTTCTCCTTTCCTTTGAGACCACTTTTTTTTTTAGCTAAATAGACTCCTCGGCCCCAGCAGCACTGCCCTTACCTGATGGTGGCGCTGCCCCCGGTCAGGCCCAGCGACTGCAGCGTCGTGCCCCGCAGGGCAGCTTCACCCGTCACCTGCAGGAGGAGCAGCCAGGACAGGTGCGCCTTGCACCGGGACCCCAGAGCCCAGGGAAGCCCTCCGGGCACCGGCACCACCAGGACCACAGGCCACGTGCCCTCTCTGGCCTCCATCCTACCCACCCCCCACATCTGGCCCCTGCCGGTCCACACCCTCCACAAGGCCCAGCTTGAGTCTGGTCTGCAGCCGGGGCAGGACCTGCTGCCCATGCCTGACCGTGTCTCCCCCAGCCTGGTCTCCGCAGCTGGGACCCAAGCTCACTGAGGCCTGGGCTGGCAGAGCTGGGCTGCAAGGAGGAAGCCCTGGTGCCAGGACCCACTGCCCGGAGCGAGAGAGGCAGGAACGTGCTGTCACCCACGGGGGTGGCCATTCCTGGTGCTCAGCTCGGGGTGGGCAGGGATCGGGCCTGGCTGGCCACGTCCCATACGCTAACTCTGACCTGTGAGGAAGGGGTGGAGAAGCTGCCTCTAGCGAGGGCACAGTCAATGGCCCAGCACAAAAGCCAAAGGGTGTAAGGGTCCCTGAGGGCCACAGCCTCAGGACAGTGCTGGGCCTGGGTCCTGAGCCCCGTGGCTCATCCCCTCAAGGGAGGACGTAGACCTGAACCTCCCCGTCACAGCCCCAGCCAGGGAGCTTCCAAATGGGGATAAATGCGGGGAATGTCCTGGCCCCCCAGGGCCCCTCCGGGCCAGTGCCCCCCCACCCCAGCAAAGGGCACTCAGCCAGCGTGGAAACAAAAGGCCCCTGTGAGGCCAGGGACGAGCGCTAGGAGGGTCCCGCCACGGCGGGCTTTGCTTGCGCCACGCCACACTCGGTTTTGAAAATGATCAAAACACCGAGCAAAGCAAATATTTATTAAATGAAACCACTTTTGTGACTCTTGGGCTTTGAGAGAAGCTGAAAAAACAAACAGGGCGCCGAGGGAGGTTTCGGGGCAGCCCGGGCTCCGAGGGCCGGCCACTCCCTCTTTTTCCATGAAACACGTCGTGCTTTCAAGAGCCCGAGTCTCCCGCCACTGCCCTGGAGACGGCTGCGGGACAGCAGATTTTCCAGTTGGAAAGTGGGCTGAAAGTGAGCGGGGACTGGGTGAGCAAGAGCAGGCCGCCTACCTCATCCCTCGTGTACACGCAGACTGGGGTGGCCCCGCCGGGGTGCTGCAGGCACTCCCTGGGAGGAGAGGAAAGAAACCATCAGGTACCCCAGGGCAGCTCAACCAGTGCCACGGAGGCCCTGGGGCAGGAGACTCGGAAAGCAAAGGTGTGGGGCCCTCACCCAGCACCCACCCAGGACAGCGTCCCAGGCCCAGGCCCAGGCCACAGACCTCAGCCCCACTGCGCCCCACAACCACCAAAAGGAGGCACCTGACAGCCGGGGGCGCTCCCAAGGACCCTGGCCTGTGGTGCGTGGCCTGGGGGCTCCCCCCGAGACCTCCAGTCTCGGGGCCGCTGGCAGGACGTGGAGCTGCCGGCAGGGCCCAGGGACCGCACAGGAGGGGCGAGCAGCACTGGCTCCGGAATGCGGCTCACGGACACCTGTACTCAGGAGCCTGAGAGTCAGGGTACCGACGTCTGGGCTTTCATCTTAAGCCGCCCACTAAGAGGAGGTGCCCCTGTCTCCACCGCCTGATGTCCTCCTTCAAAGCCGACGCCTGATGTCACCGAAGCATGGAGGGAGGGGCGCTGCACTCCGCTCACGCCCGCTTGCCTGTGGCCGGGGAGGCCGTGCTTATAAGTCCATGTCGGACTCTGCCACCAGTGTCTTTCTGAGCCTCGCCCCGCAGGAGGCACAGCTGGACCCGTGCATGGGTGGGCAGGTATATGCAGCACGCCTCCCACACATGCCTGATGTGCATGGCAGCCCGGGAGACGGGCACATGCCGTCACATCCAGCCCCAGAGCATGTGAACTGCTGGTGGCACCTGCTGCATGAGGCGGGCTTGCCTCTGCGTTTCCAACTCCCCACCGTGAAATCCTCCCCACTGAGAAAAACAAAAGCCCTTCTCAGGCCTTCCTTGCAGATGCCCCTCATCAGTCCCTCTCCAGGGAGGGGAATCCGAGAGGAGGGGGCAGATGGCCAGAGCCTAGGCAAAGGGGAGGCCAGGGCCGGCCTCAGGTCATGCAGGTGCCCTGCCAGGCCCTATGGCCAGTGTGCCTTGCAAGGGCTCAGGTGGGACAGGAAGACACAGGCTGAGCTGGTGACCAGAACACAGGGGATAAAGATTAGGTAACAGCTGGGCTGGAAACTGCTTGCAGCAACCCTCCGGGATGGGGGGTACTGGGAGGGTCAGAGGGCAGGGTGCTGCAGTGTCCAGGTCGAGACATACGTGCACATCCATGCACAGAGCGGGATGCTGGGACAGGAACTCTCGGCCTCCGCCTGAACCCACCTGTGTGCTTACAGGGCCGCAGGGGTCCACTGTGCACTCACCGTGCCCCGACCCTGGGATCTGCTGACCTACTTGAAAGAGCAGGACTCAGCCGGGCGCGGTGGCTCACGCCTGTAATCCCAGCACTTTGGGAGGCCGAGATGGGCGGATCACGAGGTCAGGAGATCGAGACCATCCTGGCTAACACAATGAAACCCCGTCTCTACTAAAAATACAAAAAATTAGCCAGGCGTGGTGGCGGGCGCCTGTGGTCCCAGCTACTCGGGAGGCTGAGGCAGGAGAATGGCGTGAACCCAGGAGGTGGAGCTTGCAGTGAGCCGAGATCGCGCCACTGCACTCCAGCCTGGGCGACAGAGCGAGACTCCGTCTCAAACACAAACAAAACAAAACAAAACAAAAAAAAGGGCAGGACTTGCCTCCCTGAAATGAGAACAGACCAAGCAGAAAAGCCCAAGGTGCCACACCCAGGACAGGCCCAGCCCCGACACCTGGGGACTCGGCCACGTGTGTGGGTTTGACGTGTTTTCTTTTGTTTCGTGGCCTTTATTTTTCACGTCCTCAATCCTGGGGGAGGGGCATCCCTTTCCCACCCAGGCCCCGACTCTGACAGCCTGGTCTGGCTGCAGAGGCCCCACAGGGTCGTGGACTTAGCCCCATGGTCTCCCTGGGTCCACTGCCTACAGGGGAGCCCCTTCCCCAAGGGCCTCTAGCCTGTGGAGCACGTGCGCACCACACACACGGCGGGTGTCCTCTGCGCACAGGCTGGGACACACTCCCTAAGCTCCCGTCCCACAGAGCAGCCAACAAAGGGCCTTGGATTTGCCTTCCCTCCAAATGGCTGGAGACTCGGCCCAGAGGCCCCGAGACGCAGGGCTCAGGAAAACACAAGGCCTCAAAATGCGCCGGAGCAGAACCCGGACAGAGGCAGAGAGAGGCCTCAAGGAAGCACAGCCCCCAGGGCCAGGAAGGGGGACAGGGAGGGCCCAGGGTCCCCGCTCCCCAGCATGACACAGATGGCCAGGGGTCCGGAGATGGTCATGAGGCCACTTCTCTACGGCTGGGGAGGCCTGGGCTGAGGGGTGGCCAGAGTCCCAACTCACAGTCCTTCCCCGGCACTGACCGCCAGCTTGGGGACCTCAAATCACAAACAGGGACAGAGCACAGCAGCGTGACATCAAACGCCAGCCCGGCTTTGATGTGCGGCTCCTCCAGAGGGATCAGATTCCCTCCCTCATGCGGGATCTCAGGGAGGGGTGGTGGGCAATCGGTTCCAGACCTTCTACGCCGGCCCAGTGTGCAGGACGCCAGGGCCCGGGGGAAATTCCAGCGCCCGAGGAGACACAGCCCCTACTCCCCCTCCCCCACGCAGACCTCTGCAAGTCCCAATGTCCGCAGGGGCAAGACCCAGGGCCTCCCGGGGACCCCAGGCCAGGCCAAGCCACCAGACACCATGCTCCGAAGCCAGAAATGCAAGAAGTGCTTTGGGGCGCTTCCGCGGGTGCCTGCTCGCAGCAGGGTACTGGCACACTCTCACACACTCTCCAGCCAGCAGAGCTCCCCACCCGGCCAGGGCCAGAAGCCAGCGGGACGGCCAGGAGGGCAGACACGCCTCTGCTGCTGGCTTCGAGGGCATATTCTTTATGCACCACAAACCCCGCCCCGCTGGGGCCCCGCTCCGGCAAGGCGCGGCTGTGTGCTGGGGACAAGGCAGTGAGTCTAGAGCTCTCTGTGTTCATGTCCTGTCTGGGTATGACAAAGCCGGGCGCAAACACAGGTGCTGACGAGAGCCCAGGCAGCAGCATGCGCCCTGCCGGGAACAGAAGCTGTGGCTGCAGGCCAGGAGCCACTGGGCTCAGGGAGGCCCGCAGAGGGCATCACCCACCACATGACAGCCCAGCCGCCAAGCGGCTAGACAGAGCCTGGGAGAGCCTGGGGCAGGCTCCGGCCTTCTCAACCCAGCCAGGTCCAGACAGGGATGGACAAGGATGGACAGGGATGGACAGGAATGGACAAGGACGGACAGGGATGAACAGGGACGGGCAGGGATGGACAGGGACGGGCCGCAGAGCTCTGAGCTGGCCCAGCAGCATGCACAGACCCACCCTGAGTGTGGCCACAGGCCAGTGCTCCACCTGGCAGAGCCCTGTCCTCACCAGCAGCCCATCCCTACACCCCAGCACACCCAGAGGGCTGCAGAAATCACCCAGCTTTCCCGGAGCCACGGCTTTACCTACAGAAGGAGGAACAGGCTGAGATGCACTCAGCCAGCCCCCAAGCACTGAGTCAAGGCTGGGAGCAGAGGGCTGGGGGCCTGGGAAGAGATCCAGCCAGGGGCCGGGCACACTGGGGGCCACTCCCACCTGGGGTGCCCACGCCAGCACAGCCCGGGGGCACCTCTGAGAGAGGACAAATCCCCTCCATGGCTGAGCTCATGAATCTGATTTACAGAAAGCCCACCCTGCTCCCTCACGGTCTTCAGATGGAAAGCGGCTCAGCTGCTGTGTGAGTTCCCACGGCTCACCCTTGGCATCGTTCCACGGCAGGTCTCGGTCACCCACAACAGTCCCCGGTTCTCTTCCTGCTCCCAGCAGCTCAGCATGGTCCATCCACACCCCTGCCTTTCACCACTTGGCAACTAGGTCCTTACGGGACGTGGGATTCAAACTACGGGACTCGCCCGCCTGCCCTCGTGGACTGCCCAGACGTGCTACAGTATCCCCCGAGTCACAGTATGACCTCCTGGGGCTAGTGCCTGCTGGCTCTAAACCCATGGAGAGAAACTCCTCATAGGAAACCCGTTAGCATAACAATCTGTACCCCAGCAAAGATGCTGGTCAGAAAGGTACTCCCTTTCCTCCTCCGGGTGCCTCCAGGAGGGCCGTGTACCCCCAGGGCCCGTAGGCCATGAAATCCTCATTTCCATCTCATGCGTCTCCTATCACGGAAGGCACACTCCCCGTAATAAAGATCTCAAACTAGACACAGGCCCACCAGGCAGGCAGAGAGCAGTGTCCCCCAGAGCTCGGCGTGGAAGATCCCAAACTCAGACACAGGCCCACCAGGCAGGCAGAGAGCAGTGTCCCCCAGAGCTCGGCGTGGAAGATCCCAAACTCAGACACAGGCCCACCAGGCAGGCGGAGAGCAGTGTCCCCCAGAGCTCGGCGTGGCTGTTCACACCCCTCTGTGCTGGGCAGAACCTTCAGACTATAGGGAAAATGGGAAAGCTCGAAGCCAGCAGTGTGCAGCCTCTGTCTCCTGACGCCCTCCCTGCAGCAGAGCCTGAGAAGCAGAGTGGAGAGCGCCCAGTCCACGAGGACCCGGCCCAGACCGAGATGCTCCAAGTGCACCATACATGCAGGTCTCAAGGACTCTGCACAACAAGAGCATGAGACGGCTCACTTTTCTACTGACTACGTGTCCAGGAAGTCGTATTTTGGGTATACTGAGTTAACTACACGTATTACTAAAATTAATGACACCTGTTTTTATTTCTTCTTTAATGCGGTTACAAGAAAAAGTGAGTGATTGGCCAGGTGTGGTGGCTCACGCCTGTAATCTCAGCACTTTGGGAGGCCGAGGCGGGCTGATCACCTGACCAGCCTGGCCAACATGGTGAAACCCTGTCTCTACTAAAAAAAATACAAAAATTAGCCAGGCGTGATGGCGTGCGCCAGTAATCCCAGCTACTCAGGTGGCTGAGGCAGGAGAATTGCTTGAACCCGGGAGGCGGAGGTTGCAGTGAGCCAAGATCGCACCACTGCACTCCAGCCTGGGTGAAAGAAAAGAAAATGTGAGTCACCTCCATGGCCGACGTGTGGCTCGCTGGTATCCCTGAGGCCCCTGCTGCTTGAGACGCTGGTCGGGCCAGGGCTGCGTGCTACAGTGACACCCTCGCAGTGGAGCTGCAACGTTTCAAACACGTGGCAGTGTCCATCCAAGGAAATCACCCAGGGGTCCCCAAATACACAAAGCAGGCTCTGTCCCAGGGCAACTCCTGGGCACGCTACAGGCCTGCAGCCCCCAGCCTCAGAACGCCCCTTCGAAGCACAGCGCCTACACTGTCCCTGGACTCAGACCTCCTCCGAAACACATGAAAGAAGAAACATCAGCTTCCCGCCCGTCCCACTCTGCGGACACCTGGACTTCCCAAGGCCTCCCCAAGCCTCCTGGGCCAGTGCAGGGACACTAGGCACGAGAGCCTCCCTCCCTCATGCAGACCTGCTGGGGACCAGCTCCCAGCAGAGAGCCCACCAGGCACTCCACCCTCACCGTGGGGCTGGCAACGCCACCCACTATGAAACCTCGTCCATATCCTGCTCCATGGTTAGCAAACTCCAGCTTCTGGGACAAAGCTTGGGTCTGAGCTTTTAGAAATTTATTTAATATTTATTTCTGAGACAGAGTCTTGCTCTGTCGCCCAGGCTGGAATGCAGTGGTGTGATGTCGGCTCACTGCAACCTCCACCTCCTGAGTTCAAGTGATTCTCCTGCCTCAGCCTCCCAAGTAGCTGGGATTACAGGCCCTCACCACCACACCCAGCTGCTTTTTGTATTTTTAGTAGAGACGGGGTTTCACCATGTTGGCCAGGCTGGTCTCAAACTCCTGACCTCAGGTGATCCATCTGCCTCAGCCTCCCAAAGTGCTGGGATTACAGGTGAGAGCCGCCATGCCCGGCCTGGAAATGAAATGTGAAGAAGCCCTATCTTAAATTCCACCTCTGGAATTTAGCCCACAGGAGAAGCTGGGGTGGGTGACCAGGTGCAAAGGCCTCCAGCTGCACACTCTGCTGCAACCCTGCCCGGGATGCCCTGAGACACAGCCAGATGCCCCGCAACACCCACATGACACCCACACGACGGAAGAGCATGGCTGTGAGGAGTGACAGGTGCGGGACCCTTCAGGAAGATGTCCACAGCATATTCACCAGCAACAACAGTCAGCCACAAATCACTCTCCACCACAGGTGTGAGTGTTCATCAAATGAGGTGTACGTGCAGACACACCCGCAGACAGACCCACACTGCCACACAGACCAGGGCCGCAGGCTGGGGGCTCCGGGCTTTACCACCAACGGCCCCACCACCTCCTGCTGTCCCTGGTGTCTCGAAAGAGCTGCCCCACTTGCTCTTGTTTTTTTTTTTTTTTTTGAGACGGAGTCCTGCTTTGTCACCCAGGCTGGAGTGCAGTGGCGCAATCTCAGCTCACTACAACCTCCGCCTCCCGGGTTCAAGTGATTCTCCTGCCTCCTGAGTAGCTGGGACTACAAGCATGAGCCATTGCGCCCAGCTAATTTTTGTATTTTTAGTAGAGATGGGTTTTCACCATGTTGGCCAGGCTGGTCTCGAACTCCTGACCTCAGGTGATCCACCCACCTCGGCCTCCCAAAGGGTTG
Organism: Homo sapiens; assembly: GCF_000001405.40. NCBI lineage: Eukaryota > Metazoa > Chordata > Mammalia > Primates > Hominidae > Homo > Homo sapiens. The sequence goes on along the minus strand of NC_000017.11, from coordinate 81,988,209 downwards.
GAATTACAGGCGTGAGCCATCACGCCCAGCCACTTCTGTTGTTTCTTTTTTTTTTTTTTTTGAGACAGAGTCTCGCTCTGTTGCCCAGGCTGAGTGCAATCTTGGCTCACTGCAACCTCCACCTCCTGGGTTCAAGCAATTCTTCTGCCTCAGCCTCCTGAGTAGCTGGGACTACAGGAACCCACCACCACGCCCGGCTAATTTTTGTATTTTTAGTAGAGATGGAGTTTCACCATATTGGCCAGGCTGGTCTCGAACTCCTGACCTCGTGATCCACCCGCCTCAGCCTCCCAAAGTGCTGCGATTACAGGTGTGAGCCACCGTGCCCAGCCTTGTTGTTTCTTTTGTTTTTTTGTTTTTTTGAGATGGAGTTTTGCTCTTGTCACCCAGGCTAGAGTGCAATGGTGCGATCTCGGCTCACTGCAACCTCCTCCAAAGCGCCCAAACCCACCCCCACAGCCACCACCAAAGCCAGCTCCAAAGCCACTTCCAGAACCACCACGCCTGGCCAAGCCTGTTGTTTCTTAAACTAAGTTTCACACGAGGTTTACAAAGTCTGTTGAAGAGGCTTATGCTACCACAATGCCGGCCCCACCTCTCCAGACACCCTCGGCCCCTCCCCAGTGGCAGCCCCAGGCCACTCTGGGCCATTTCCTTACCTCCATCCCCATCTGAGGACTGACAGCACAGCCAGGGAGGACGGCCCTCACCAAGCACCTGTGCCTGTGGGAGCACTGGATTCTGTTCACGCCCGGGGGCACCGCCCGGCCCAGGGGCATTTCCTTCCAGACGTTCATCTTTCCTGACTTCTGTTCCCCGCGCTGTTTGGTTTTCTTCTTGCCCTCTGCCACTCTCGTCTCAGGAAGCAGCACAGAGCCAGGGCGCCGGGATCCCTGCTTCTCACCCAGTGCCCACACAGCGCCTGGGGCTGCCTGCCTCCCTGCCCGGCGCCACTCCTGGCTCGGGTCCCGCTCACCCCTGCCCGTGGCTTCGCTTTGCTCTCAGGCTCCGTCATCTCCTGCCTCGGGTCCCGCTCACCCCTGCCCGTGGCTTCGCTTTGCTCTTAGGCTCTGTCACCTCCTGCCTCGGGTCCCGCTCACCCCTGCCCGTGGCTTCGCTTTGCTCTTAGGCTCCGTCATCTCCTGCCTCGGGTCCCGCTCACCCCTGCCCGTGGCTTTGGCTTTGCTCTTAGGCTCCGTCACTGTTGTCTGAGTTCCGTTTTGGGAGGGAGAATTCCGTGCTCGTGCTTAACCCGCTGCCATCTCCAGGGGCCTCCATTCACCCCGACAGCCACTGGGGTGGCTTCCATCCCCATGACCACTGAGACCCGACGTGCAGACCTCAGCGCTCTCACCCACGAACGCAACACCCGTGCCATGCAGCGCGGCACTACTGTCAGACGGGAGCAGGCCCAGCCCTGGGGCCACCAAGCGCGCCCAACGCACAGTCACCTTCCCAGCGCCCGACGCGCGGTCACCTTCCCACAGGCCCTATGCTCGGTCCTCAAGACATGAACTCACCCCATCCACACACCAGCCGGGGCACAGGTGAGGAAACTGAGGCCCGGGGAGGGCGAGAACCCCCTGGCTCACAGCAAACCCCAGCCCCAAGTCCCTTCCATTCTGCTGAGCCTTTTACTGTGGACAGAGACTTCCAGCCAACGATGAAAAGACCCAAATTGACAAAGCACCAATTTTTACACATTCAGGAACAACGTTTAAACCATTAACCGACAGAAACTGATACACATCAATTACTTATTTTTATTTATTTATTTTTTTGAGACAGAGTCTCGTTCTGTTGCCCAGGCTGGAGTGCAGCAGTGCGATCTCGGCTCACTGCAACTGCCTCCACGGCTCAAGTGATCCTCCCACCTCAGCCTCTGGCATAGCTGGGACCACAGGCACGCACCACCATGCACTATGCCTGGCCTAACATTTCTATTTTTTGTAGAGAAGGGGTTTCACTATGTTGCCGAGGCTAGTCTTGAACTCATGAGCTCAAGCGATTCGCCAGCCTCGGCCTTCCAAAGTGCAAGCCACTTTGCCCAGCCACTGTGCCCAGCCACTGTGCCCAGCCATCCAATTACTATTAGGAAGATTTTCTGGTGGGGCACAGGAGCTCACACCTGTAATCTCAACGCTTTGGGAGGCTGAGATGGGAGAATTTCTTGAGCCCATGGGTTCAAGAGCAGCCTAGGTGACCAACATAGTGAGACCCTGCCTCTTAAAAAAAAGAGACCTTATGATCCCATCCAGGGGAATCAAGCATGGGGAGCCCTGCCCCCAGCACCGAACGTCTCCCCTTAGTGCTCACCAGGCCCCCACAAGGACAGAAGCACATTCCTGCTCTTCTAGGTGGGCAAGGCTGGGCCGCTGGGCCCAGGAAACTCAGAACGATGAGCTGTGACCAGCCATCCCCGAGGCTGCTGCTCATGAACCGGCAGCCCACACACCCCTCCTCTACAAAGGACTGCAAAGTGCCAAGAGGCACCACAGGCCAGCACAGAGCTTGGGTGTCCAGCTCTGAACCAGACCCAGTAACCACAGCAGCTTCCCCAGCAAACAGGGTAGGGAAGAGCCCCCAGCCCACTGATGCTCACCTGATCTGTGGAAAATGGCTGAGAAGCTCCCAGAGGGTCTGGCCTGAACAGAAAGAGTCCTGCAACCTCGAGCCATCGTCCAGCTGCAAAGCGATGCGAACCTGGAGGGTATAAGACATGAGAAACTTCCTTAGGAAGAAAAGCAACTATTCCTTCTAAATCCCAGACTGATTCTCCAGACACAGAGAGGGTGACTGCCCCGCCCTGGCCTCCAGGGAGAGGCTGACCCCCACGGAGAAGGCTACCCTCCTATTCACTCTGGAGTGAGGGCCTTGGAGGCTCCCCGGCAGGGCTGCACCAGCATGCGTGTGTGCATGTGAGTGTGCAGGTATGTGCAGGTGTGCGTGCGTGTGTGCATATGTGTGTGTGGGTGTGTGCGGGGGTGTGCAGTTGTGTGCAGGTATGTGTGTGGATGTGTGCATGTTGGTGTGTGGGTGTGTGCAGGTGTGCGCATGTGCGTGCAGATGTGCGTGTGTGTGCATGTTTACATGCAGGTGTGTGCGGGTATGTGCGCAGATGTGTAGGTGTGTGTGTACAGGTGTGTGCGTGGGTGTGTGTGGGGGGGAGGTGTGTGCATGTTGGTGTGGGCGGTGTGTGCAGGTGTGTGGGGGGGTGTGCACGCAGGTGTGTGGGTGTGTGCAGGTGTGTGGGGTGTGTGCGGGTGTGTGCGGGTGTGGGGGTGTGTGCACGTTGCTGTAGGGGTGTGTGTGGGTGTGTGTGGGGGGTGTGTGTGCGGGGGTGTGCAGGTGTGTGTGGGGTGTGTGCAGGGGTGTGTGGGGGTGTGTACGGGTGTGCGGGTATGTGGGTGTGTGGGGGTGTGTGTGGGTGTGTGTGGGTACATGCAGGCGCCACAGGAGTGAACTGTGTTGGAGACAGTCCTCGTGTCCCAGTGGGGGCTTCAAAAGATTGCAGCTCCACCGAACCTGACTGCAGCCTCAGGACAGACACTGAGCTAAGCTGCTCCCAGATTCCTGACCCTCAGAAGCCACATGAGATGGTAAATGTTTGCTGCTCTTTTTTTTTTTTTTGAGACAAAGTCTCACTCTGTCGCCCAGGCTGGAGTGCAGTGGCAGCACAATCTCGGCTCACTGCAAGCTCCGCCTCCCGGGTTCACGCCATTCTCCTGCCTCAGCCTGCTGAGTAGCTGGGACTACAGGCATCCGCCACCACCCACGGCTAATTTTTGTATTTTTAGTAGAGACGGGGTTTCATTATGTTGGCCGGCTGGTCCCAAACTCCTGACCTCAGGTGATCTGCCCGCCTCGGCCTCCTAAAGTGCTGGGATTACAGGCTGCCCTTGCGGCATCCATGCAGCGCTTTCGGCTCTAACATTCTGGGCAATTCTATGAGCAGGTGGTCAGGCTGGTGGGTGAATGCTGCTGACACCCTGAGCCAGGGAAGGCACAACTGACCCCAGAAAGAAAGAAAAACTTCCACATGAAGAATGACGTGGGCGGGGCGCAGAGGCTCACGCCTGCAATCCTTTGGGAGGACTTTGGGAGGCCGAGGCGGGTAGATCATGAGGTCAGCAGTTCCAGACCAGCAGGCCAACATGGTGAAACCCTGCCTCTACTAAAATACAAAAATTAGCCGGGTGTGGTGGCGGGCACCTGTAGTCCTAGCTACTCGGGAGGCTGAGGCAGAATGGTGTGAACCCGGGAGGCGGAGCTTGAAGTGAGCCGAGACTGCGCCACTGAGCTCCAGCCTGGGCGACAGAGCGAGACTCCAGCTCAAAAAAAAAAAAACATGAGATGCTCATTTTCAGTTGCCAGTTATCAAAAAACAGGAAGCTGTTTGGGCCCAACCCAGGGAAGGCAGAACTGGTGCTAAGACTCATGTCCCTCCTTCCCCAGCACCCCCCACTGTCCCGTCCCCCGTCCCTGGCCAGCTGAACGATCCTGTGCCCCACACAGTCAGCCTCCCCCAGAGCACGACCCACCATGTTCTCAGGCCCCTCACGGCTCCGGGAAGCGGGCACCATCTCCAGCTTGGCATTGTTGGGCAGGTTGGCAAATCTCCACTGGAGAGAAAGGTCGAGCACGCTCCTCTGAAACCTGCAAGACAGACCAGAGCACACTTGCTGCCCTGCAGAGCCTGACACGCCCTGCCATCCACGCCCCGCCATCCCCGTCCCACCATCCACGCCCCGCCATCCACGCCCCGCCATCCACGTCCTGTGGCAGCTCCCCAACAGCGGGACGTCATGACCTGCAGAGGCACAAGGCGGGTCCCCGATCATATGGGGCCTCCTGCAAGCAGAAGGGAGCAGGAAAAAGGGAGATGTGGGCCTCGGTGCACGCCGAGGGGGCTGCTCCTTCAGAGTCTGGGGTGCTGACAGCCCCAGTGCAGACGCTCGGAAAACACAGAGAGAACGACTGGGGCGTGAACACTGCTGCACTCGCGGAAGCTGGAGTGTCACAGACCCCGGCCGTCACGGCTGGAGCCACCACAGAAAACCTGACTGCCCGGGCGCAGTGGCTCACGCCTGTAATCCCAGCACTTTCGGAGGCCGAGGCAGGCGGATCACCTGAGGTTCAGGAGTTTGAGACAAGCCTGACCAACATGGTGAAACCCCGTCTCTACTGAAAATACAAAAATATCCCATCTCTACTAAAAATACAAAAAAATAAGCTGGGCATGGTGGCTCAGGCCTGTAGTCCCAGCTACTCGGGAGGCTGAGGCAGGAGAATCGCTTGAACCCGGGAGGCAGAGGCTGCAGTGAGGCAAGATCATGCCACTGCACTCCTGCCTGGGCAACAAGAGCAAAACTCTGTGAAAGAAAAAAGGAAAGGAAAGGAAAGAAAAGAAAAGAAAAGAGAAAGGAAGAAAAAGAAAAAGAGAAGAAGAAAGAAAGAAAGAAAGAGAAAACAAGAAAGAAAAAGAAAGAAAAGAAAAGAAAAATCTGAATATACTCAAAGTGGTTGGCCTCACTTTGGAAATGCAAGCTGCTGTCGGAGACAACTAGTGAAGAGAGTTCAGACAGCCCAGGGGCATCTGGAAGAATTAAGAGAGAACAAACTTTGCTATATCAACACTGGCCAGAAAAGTGAGTCTGGAAATTGCCACATGAAATGTCTACGTCAAGACAGGATAGCAGATCGGGGGATCCCGAGGGCAGGCAGGCTGGGAACCTTGGAGCGGAGGGCACTGTTCACGCCTGGGGCTGCATTCCTCTGCACCGGCTGCACTTTGTAAGCAAGTGGTACCATTAGCAGAGGAAAAGGGCACCTGAAAACATGGCTATGGTATTGCAGGACCTGCCTCAAAATCGCACTCACTGGTTCCCACCAGACACCACCACACAGACCACGGGCAGGTGAACACTGAGAAGTAACAATGCGCTGGGCGCGGTGGCTCATGCCTGTAATCCCAGCAATTTGGGAGGCCCAGACGGGCAGATCACTTGAGGTCAGGAGTTTGAGAGCAGTCTGGCCAATGTGGTGAAACTCCGTCTCTACTAAAAATACAAAAATTAGCCAGGCATGGTGGCACAGGCCTGTAGTCCCAGCTACTCGGGAGGCTGAAGTGGGAGGAGTGCTTCAACCCGGGAGGCGGAGGTTGCAGTGTGCCAAGATCGCGCCATTGCACTCCAGCCTGGGCGACAGAGCGAGACTCCGTCTCAAAAAAAAGAAAGAAAAATGAGGCCAGGTGCAGTGGCTCACGCCTATCATCCCAGCACTTTGGGAGGCCAAGACGGGCGGATCACTTGAGGTCAGGAGTTTGAGACCAGCCTGGTCCACATGGTGAAACCCCGTCACTACTAAAAATACAAAAATTAGCCAGGCGTGGCACGTGCCTGTAATTCCAGCTACTCAAGACGCTGAGGCACAATAATCGCTTGAACCCGGGAGGCAGAGGTTGCGGTGAGCTGAGATCATGCCACTGCCCTCCAGCCTAGGTGACAGAGCAAGACTCTGTTTCAGAAAAATGGCCAGGCACAGTGACTCATGCCTGTAATCCCAACACTTTGGAAGACCAAGGCGGGCAGATCACCTGAGGTCAGGACTTGAAGACCAGCATGACCAACATGGTGAAACCCCGTCCCTACTAAAAATACAAAAATTAGCTGGGCATGATGGCGCACGCCTGTAATCCCAGCTACTCGGGAGGCTGAGGCAGAAGAATCACTTGAACCTGGGAGACAGAGGTTGCAGTGAGCCGAGATAGCGCCACTGTACTACAGCCTGTGTGACAGAGCGAGACTCCACCTCAAAAAATAATAAAATAAAAAAGAAATAAAAATGAAACCCTAAGCCCCCCCCAACCAACTGAACCAGCCTCCTCTTGGCCCAGGGGACCCCAGAAACCTTGAAAGCTGAGTTCCTGGCCATGGCTGGGTGGGAGATCAGACACATCTGCAGGCTCTCTTCCCTAAGGGATAAACAGAAAGCAGCCCTTTCCAAAGACCCCTGGGCTGGTATCTGACATCAGCCAACCTCCCGCCAGGCCCTTCTCTCTTGCGGTTTCTTCAAAACAACCCACAGGTATTTCCTGATAAGAAACCACCAACCATGGAGTGGTTCTGGCACAGTCAGGGTTTTCGTGGCACAGTCTTCATGTCCTCTGATTTGCCATTTATTTATTTATTTACTTATTTACTTTTTTTGTAGAGACAGGGTCTCACTATGTTCCCCAGGCTGATCTCGAATTCCTGGGCTCAGGCAATCCTCCGCCTCGGGCACCCAAAGTGCTAGGATTACAGGCATGAGCCACTTCACCCAGCCTGCTTCACCTCTGACTTCAGAGGCCAAAAATTCCACCCTCAGGTCATGCTGGCACTGCCATTTTTTGCACATAGGACCCGTGAAGAGGCAGGAAGCTCAACTGTGTGCACAGTTCTCCTTTCATGAATACTCATGATCCTCCTACAGCGTATTAAGTACGTCTGTATCAGCCACCCCATTCGGTGTAAATCCCTGTCTTATTCTTCCCTCTCTTGAAGTGTCTGTTTCCAGCTTCTGGCTGGAGGCTACACTTCCCAGCCTGTTAGAATGGCCACCCTGCAAGCTGCAACCGGTTATGAGAAATAAAGCCCTCCTTTCCAAACATATGAACCGCATTCTTCAGTTGACAAGAGAGACTGGAGAAGGATGGTGTGAAGGTCTGGGGCAGAAAGCCCAAGACCACCTGGCATTCAGAGCACAGGTCCTGGGATTCTCACGTGGTCCAGACACAAGGTAGAAGACTGGAATGACTTGGCAGGTATCACCCCTAAGAAACTCCTCCCAGGAGAGCCTCGTAAGGCAGGGTGGGCAATGCCAGGAGGGCAAGCTCCTGCCCTCTGCCCCCAGTGTTAGGACAACAGTACTGTAAAAACAGGTCTTCAAGGGCAGGCATGGTGACTCATCTCTGTAATCCCAGTACTTTGGGAGGCCAAGGCAGGCGGATCACAAGGTCAGGAGTTCTAGACCGTCCTGGCCAATGTGGTGAAACCCCATCTCTACTAAAAATATAAAAATTAGCTGGGTGTGTTGGTGAGCACCTCTAATCTCAGCTACTCGGGAGGCTGAGGCAGGAGAATCACTTGAACCTAGGAGGTGGAGGTTGCAGTGAGCCAAGACCGTGCCACTGCACTCCAGCCTGGGCGACAAGAGTGAAACCCTGTCTCAAAAACAAAACAAAACAAAAAAAACACCAGAAAACAGGACTTTAAAGTGAAAAGCTTCGCGTGTGGGATAGACACGCACATCCTATCCATATGAGGGCTCTGACCCTTCTGCTGTCTCAGACTCCTTGAGAGTCTGGCAGAAGCCCTCTCTTGGGAACAATATCCCCACACAGAAGCGTACGTGTAATTCCAGGGGCTGTGAGACTGCAGGGATCCACCTGCAGTTTTCAAGGCATCCTATTTCTCCACGGCCAGCTCTTTCCCCTCAGAGCCCCACTGGGAACTTATGCAACTCAATGCAATAAAACCTACAGGGGGTTGAATGGTGGCCCCCCCAAAAAAGATGGGTCAATGTCCTCACCCCCAGGACCTCTGAACATCTTACTAGGGATCCTGGTCTTTGAAGATGTAATGATAAATCGTTCTAGATTATCCAAGTGGACCCTAAATCCAATGACAAGGGTCTTCCTGAGACACAGAGAAAACAGGAAAAGGCCACAAGAAATCGGAGGCAGAGAGCAATGCGGCCACAAGCCACAGAACGCTTGGAGCCATGAGAAGCTGGAAGAGGCAGGAGGGATTCTCCCTTAGGGCATTTGGAGAGAGTGTGGCCCTGCCAAGGCCTTGGGTCTCCAGAGTTGGGAGGGAATATATGACTGTTTAAAACCACCTGGGGGCTTTTCCAAGTGAGAGCCAGTATGTTCAGGGGGCAGGGGCACAGATATACTCAGACCCTGCTGCTGAGCTGGAGCAAACTCACTTCAGATCATATTCACAGGGGTTGAAGTCCTGCCGCCGGCACGTGTCCTCCAGAACCTGGGGGTGAGATGAAAGGATGGTGAACTGCTGAGTGTGCAGGGCTGGCGGGCGCAGTGGGCCAGGTCAGCCAAGGGCATTCAGCTTCCTGGTGAGCCAGGTGGCTCTGCCCAGGCAAAGCCAAGCACAAGACCACACTATGGACGGTCCCCGCAACAAATGCAGGCTCTCACCTGCAAATCCTGTCCACTCTCCCTCCCTTCTTCACCATCCCCTCAGTTTTGTAGGAAAGCTCCACTCAGAGTTCCCCTGCAGTACAGCAACACGGGCATCTTCCTGGCACACACCCTGGGCTCTCCTTCAAACCCTGTAGTTCTGCAACCTGCCTTAAACTTGCCTAGCACAAGCTACCCCCTGGCTCTGGCACGGTTCTGTGCACCTGCTGCCACTGCCTGCACCGCCTCCGCCCCTCTTCTCCATAAAAAGCCAAAGCCGTGGCCTTGCACCAAGGGGTCCCGCGCAGCCTCTGCGGGAGCGCCCCACTTCCGCACTCTGCACGCCTGGCACCAACAGCCTCCTGGCTGCGCCCTCCACCTGCCCAGGCCTGGGGACCCCACGCCGTGGGCTGCTCCCGCAAACTCCGAGTCGTGTGCACCTTCGGATCCTCACGGTCCCCCACGCAGCAGAGGCTCAATAAATACTTTTTTTTTTTTTTTTTGATATGGAGTCTCGCTCTGTCTCCCAGGCTGGAGTGCAGTAGCGCGATCTCGGCTCACTGCAAGCTCTGCCTCCCAGGTTCACGCCATTCTCCTGCCTCAGCCTCCCGAGTAGCTGGGACTACAGGCGCCCGCCACCACGCCCGGCTAAATTTTTTTGTATTTTTTTAGTACAGACGGGGTTTCACCGTTTTAGCCAGGATGGTCTTGATCTCTTGACCTCGTGATCCACCCGCCTCGGCATCCCACAGTGCTGGGATTTACAGGCGTGAGCCACCGCGCCCAGCCAATACTTTTACATTTAATTGATTCGCGGTCACAAGGTGCCCAAGTAAAAGTGCAGTGAGTGACTCGGCAAAAATCGCTTCCAGGCCCCACGGCCGGGACATCTGCCACCGCGCAACCCGGGCTCCCGCTCCGGGGGACGCCCCGGAATGGGAACGCGGGTCTAGGGCTCCACTCCTCCCTCTTCCCGGCGCCCTCGCGAGCTGGGCTCGGCCGGGCGCCGAGTACTCGATGCGGGTGACACGCGGCGCCGTTCTACCTCACCCCTGGGAAGGCTCGCCACCGCCCCGCCCCCACTCGGGACCCCCGGGACCCCCGGGACCCCAGCGGAAGCGCAGGTGACGGCGAGCAGGGGGCGGGGCCGCCGCTCAGGAGGCCGCTCATTGGCCGCCGAGGCCCCGCCCCCGAACACCGGGACGCCGACCGCAATGGGCGGGGCCTCGGCGCAGCGCCCCCCGCCCGCCTACCCGTCCGCCCCGGGCGGGCGGCCGCACCTGAAGCAGCACGGTGCTCGGCGTCACCTTCACCGTGTGGCGCCGGCCGTTCGGGGCCAGCACCGACACCGCGGAGCCTCCGCCGCCTGCCGGGGCCGCCATTTTCCGCTCACGTGACCCGCCGCCGGGCCGGCGTCAAACAACTTTATCGGCAACAGCCAGGACGCGCAGCCACGCGGCCAGGGGGCGGGGCCGCAGCGCACTTCCGGGTCCTGCCAGGCCCCGCCCTTTCCCCACCCACGGCGCCCCGGCCCCGCCCTTGGGCCGCCAAAGCCCGCGCCAGACCCGGAAAGCGCGGTCGTCCTCTGCCTCCGGGAAGCGCGGCTTGGATGGGCTCGCCGGGGCCAGGCTGGGCCGGGGCTGGGCGCGCGGTCACCCCCGGTGAGCGGCACTGAGCCCCGGGGTCCCAGCGGTCCGCGCTCGCCCACCCTCGCTTCGTCCCTGACACGTCCCCAGCTCGGTGCCCTGCTCTCCCCCGACCCTCCCGGCTTCCTCCACTCCAGCAGCTGAGCCTCTTCCCTGCCCACCTGTCCCTGTGGTCAGCGTCCACCTCCTGACCTTATGGTTTGGGGCAGTCCCCCCGCCCCTGTACGGATCCTCCCTGGGTGTTGGGACTCGTGGCCCTCAGTCTAGACCTGATTTCTTTCATCCTAAAATGGGAGTGCAGAATCTGGCAGCCCTAGGGCTGCCGCGACGGTCCCTAAACCTGAGGGTAGGAAAGGCGGGAGACCGGTTTCAGAACCGTGGGGTGAGCGAACTTGAGTCTCACCGGAGCTCCTGCCGACCCACAGGCACTCAAGGACTTCCCGCACCAACCCATGCTGAGGAGGGGCTTGGTGGCAGCCTCAGGAAACACTCCCATCGCCAGCCACCGCAGCAGGGAAAGCACCTGGCCTCACCAGCTCCAGGCTTCCAGAAGGAGCTGCCCTCCTGACTCGCAGCCGTCGAATGTGCTTAGCTCCCAGCACCTGGGCCACTCATGGACAGCACTCGCACGTGTTCCGCCCCGCCCCCCACCTCCATGGCTCAGCCGGGCCTTGGCACTCCTCTCTCCATGTGCCTGCCTGTCTCTGCGGACTCCTGGCTAGGGCTCAGCTGCCCAGTAGCCTGTGGAAGGGGGAACTGGTGCAGTTATCAGTCAATCCTCCCACAGGGCTGGGATTACACACGTGAGCCACCGCACCCGGCAGTCATTGCTGAGTCTAAGGACATCTCTGCATGGGTGCTGTTGTGCCTTCCTGTCGATGACATATCCATGTCACCCACACACACCTGTATGCTGACAAACACGGACATCTATGTACATTGGAGAAACCTGGGGAAAGCCCCAGGCTAGCCATAGCCCTCCCATCCAGCCAGCCAGTCCCATGCTCTGTGCAACCTCAGAACCTTACTGAGCCACACATCACCTGGTGGGTTTTAATTCTTTAGTGGCGTTTTTGAAGAGTCTGTTCCTATTTTCCTTAGACTGTCCCACAGTCTGGATCCTTGGTTAAACGTTTGGGGCAATGATGAAGGGAGGTGACAAGTCAGCAGGAGGTGCAGGACATCAGCGTGGCCATGAGTGAGGACGTGAAGTTGAACCACTTGGTCAGCTTTGGGTCTGCTGAATTCCTCCATGGTCAAGGTCCGTGGCTCCTTGTGGAGTAATTAAGGCATGCGTGAGGTCATTCTCTGAGACCACAAGCATCAAGTTTTCCCAATAACCATTTGCCCAACAGTTTTAGCATCAGTTAATGAGTAGATTCAGTGTTAAACCGTAAAGCTGCAAAATCATGGCTTCCCAAGTTTATTGTTTCTTCTACATTTATAGTCACTTTCGGTCAAGCTTCCCCTTCTTTAAAAAGTTATTAAATATTTGGGAGGCTGAGGCAGGAGAATGGCGTGAATCCGGGAGGCAGAGCTCGCAGTGAGCTGAGATCACGCCACTGTACTCCAGCCTGGGAGACGGAGCAAGACTCTGTCTCAAAAAAAAAAAAAAAAAAAAAATTAAATATGGCCAGGCGCGGTGGCTCACGCCTGTAATCCCAGCACTTTGGGAGGCTGAGTTGGGCAGATCACAAGGTCAAGAGATTGAGACCATCTTGGCCAACATGGTGAAATCCTGTCTCTACTTAAAAAAAAAGTACAAAAATTAGCCGGGCATGGCGGTGCGTGCCTGTAATCCCAGCTATTCGGGACACTGAGGTAGGAGAATCACTTGAACCTGGGAGATGGAGGTTGCAACGAGCCAAGATCGCACCATTGCACTCCAGCCTGGGCGACAAGAGTGAAACCCCATCTTGAAATATATATATTTATTAATATGAATTCATGTATTTTTTTCATTCAGTCAGCATTCTTTTTGATGCTCAAATTGGTCCGAATTTGGCCAGTGAGACCTCCTTTAAGCTGGCTCCTATGCTTTTTTTGATAGGAGGGATGATCTTTTATCCTGATATTATTTCAAACTTAGCCGAGCAAGGTGGCTCACACCTGTAGTCTTAGCTACTCCGGTGGCCGAGGCAGGAGAATTACTTAAGTTCCAGCCTTAGTGAACCACTATTCATGCCTATGAATAACTACTGCACCCCAGCCCGAGCAACGTAGTACGATACCGTCTCAAAAAAGGAGAAGGAGAAGAAAGAAGAAGAGGGAGGAGGAAGGAAGAAAGAGAAGAAAAGTTTGCAAAAGCAAGAATTCCTGCTGTATATCTTTTTTTTTTTTTTTTTTTTTTGGAGATGGAGTCTCCCTCTGTCGCCAGGCTGGAGTGCAGTGGCGAAATCTCAGCTCACTGCAACCTCTGCCTCCCGGGTTCAAGCGATTCTTCTGCCTCAGCCTCCCGAGTAGCTGGGACTACAGGTGTGCAGCACCACACCCAGCTAGTTGTTGTTTTGTTTTGTTTTGTTTTTTGAGACGGAGTCTCGCTCTGTTGCCCAGGCTGGAGTGCAGTGGTGCAATCTCGGCTCACTGCAAGCTCCGCCTCCCGGGTTCACATCATTCTCCTGCCTCAGCCTCCCGAGTAGCTGGGACTACAGGCACCTGCCACCATGCCCGGCTAATTTTTTGTATTTTTAGTAGACATGGGGTTTCACCATGTTAGCCAGGATGGTCTCAATCTCCTGACCTCGTGATCCACCCGCCTCAGCCTCCCAAAGTGCTGGGATTACAGGTGTGAGCCACCACGCCCAGCCTCCTGTATATCTTTTAGCCAGATAAATCAGTGTTTACATGTCACCCCATTTGTTTTATCATATTCTCTTTCTCTCTCTCCATATACATGTAAAAACTTTTTCTGGCCAGGCACAGTGGCTTACACCTATAATCCCAGCACTTTGGGAGGCCAAAGTAGGAGGATCATTTGAGCCTAGGAGTTTGAGACCACCCTAGGCAACATAGTGAGACCCCAGCTCTACAAAAAATACAAAGGTTAGCTAGGCATGGTGGCATGTCCCTGTAGTCCCAGCGATTTGAGAGATTGAGGCAGGAGGATCACTTGAGCCCAGGAGGTCGAGGCTGCAGTAAAGACATTGAGCACCTTCGCCACTAAATACTTCAGTTTTTCTCTTTCCTAAGAATAAGGCCAGTCTCAACCAGGTGCAGTGGCTCACGCCTGTAATCCCAGCATTTTGGGAGACCAAGGCGGGTGGATCACCTGAGGTCAGGAGTTCAAAACCAGCCTGGCCAACATGGTGAAACCCTATCTCTACAAAAAATACAAAAAGTAGCTGGGCGTGATGGCAGGTGCCTGTAATTCCAGCTACTTGGGAGGCTGAGGTGGGAGAATTGCTTGATTGTGGGAGGTGGAGGTTACAGTGAGCCAAGATCACGCCATTGCACTCCAGCCTTGGCGACAGAGTGAGACTCAGTCTCAAAAAAATAAATAAATAAAATAAGGCCAGTCTCTTATATAGCCACCATAATTTCATACAAAATTGGGAAATCTAATGTTGGTATCATACTCTGAGTTAATCCACAGTTAATTGTCCAAGTGTGGACATCTTTCCTGCATCCTTTTGGCATTTCCATTATTCTTTGGGCATCTCCTCTCTGCCCAAGCCCTGAAGTCAGCCATTTTTCAGAGAAACCCCAATCCCTTTTACAAGGAAATGGGATTTAGAGACCAAGTTCTGGGTGCTGAGTGTGCTCATGGCTACTGGGATGTCACTGCTTTCTGGGCCCTCTCAGGGGACACAATTAGTGTGATGAATTCATCTGAATATTTCTAAGCCACACCTCAGCCTTCTCCCCCTTCTTCCCTCATTCCATATTTGTATTTGGTTGAATTCTATTAAATTGCCCTAGTTAACCTTTTTTTATCTTCTTTTTTTTTTTTTTTGAGACGGAGTCTCACTCTGTCACCCAGGCTGGAGTGCAGTGGCGCAATCTTGGCTCACTGCAAGCTCCACCTCCCAGGTTCACGCCATTCTCCTGCCTCGGCCTCCCGAGTAGCTGGGACTACAGGCACCGGCCACCACACCCGGCTAATTTTTTGTATTTTTAGTAGAGACAGGGTTTCACCATGTTAGCCAGAATGGTCTCAATCTCCTGACCTTGTGATCCGCCTGCCTCGGCCTCCCAAAGTGCTGGGATTACAGGTGTGAGCCACCGCACCCAGGCTTTTTTTTTTTTTTTTTTTTTTTTTTTTGAGACAGAGTCTCGCTCTATTGCCCAGGCTGGAATACAGTGGCACGATCTCGGCTCAGTGCAACCCCCATCTCCCGGGTTCAAGCGATTCTCCTTCCTCAGCCTCCTGAATAGCTTGGATTACAGGCGCTTGCCACCATGAGCAGCTAATCTTTGTATTTCTAGTAGCGATGGGGTTTCACTGTGGTGGCCAGGCTGGTCTTGAACTCCAGACCTCAGGTGATCCTCCCACCTCGGCCTCTCAAAGTACTGGGATTATAGATAGGCATGAGCCACTGCGCCCAGCCGATCATTTTTGATCTACAAAAAAATGACAAAACCTACATGGTTCAACCTAATACCTCCTTTGTCCGCAGTGAGAACCCTAATTGTCAGTAAATCAGTATATTTATTCATTTGCTTTGTTCTAAAATGCCCTCCAAATAGTTTCAGAGGTACTGCGGCAATCTTGCTATTAACAACAGATCTACTGTGGAAATTTCAAGATGTCTTTGTAGCTATTTTTGTCCTTTAGAGTATGTCCCATTAAAGAAACATAGAGTATTGTGTTCAAAAGTTATTTGAATTAATTTGCTTTTCTGTGTTAGGTTAGGTTAGTGTATTATAGGGTCCTCCAGAGAAACAGAACCAATAGGATATGCACAGATATATACAAGAGACCAGCCTGGCCAACATGGGGAAACCTCATCTCTACTGAAAACACAAAAAATAGCCGGGTGTGGTGCTGCACACCTATAGTCGCAGCTACTCGGGAGGCTGAGGCAGGAGAATCACTTGAACCCGGGAGGTGGAGGTTGCAGTGAGCCGAGATCACACCACTGTACTCCAGCCTGAGTGACAGAGTGAGACTCCATCTCAAAAAAAAAAGAGGAAATGTATTATGGGAATTGGCTCAAATGATTATAGAGGCTGAGAAAGAAGTCCCATGGTCGGTTGTCTGCAAGCTTGAGACAGGAAAACCAGTGTATTATAAACCAGTGTATAACTGAATACTCAAACCAGTGTATAACTCAATACCCAAAACCAGTGTATAACTCAATACATTGGTTTATAATATAATTACAATATAATTTAATTCAATCCAAGTCTGCAGGTCTGAGAACCAGGGGAGCGAGAGGTGTAACTCCCATCCTGAAGCCCCAGAAGTGTAGGATGGGCGGCTGGTGTAAGTCCTGGAGTCCAAAAGCCTGAGAAGCAGGTTGCCCTTCTCCAATGTCCAAGGGCAGGAGGATGGACGTCCCAGCTCAAGAAGAGAGAATGTGTCCTTCTTCCACCTTTTTGTTCTATTTGGGCCCTCAACTGATTGGATGATTCCTGCCCGCTGTGGTGAGGGTGGATCTTCTTGGGCCACTGATCCAAATGCTAATTTCTTCCAGAAACATCCTTGAAGACATACCCAGCCATGAGGTTTTACCAACTCTCTGGGTATCCCTTAGCCTGGTCAAGTTGACACATACAATTAACCATTATAGGTAGGTTAGGTCCGTTTAACAATTTGATGCACGGTTAGGTTACATTTATTTATTTTGTTTTTTACTAAATTTGGGGTTTTTTCTTCATCCTTTTTTATAGTGCTATATTTTCATTGTTCAAAAGGTTTATTTGATTCAGGTGCGGTACGGTGACTCACGCCTGTAATCCCAGCACTTTGGAAGGCCAAAACGGGTGGATCACCTGAGTTCAGGAGTTCAAGACCAGCCTGGCCAACATGATGAAACACCACCTCTACTAAAAATACAAAAATCAGCCGGGCGTGGTGGTGTGTGCCTGTCATCTCAGCTACTCTGGAGGCTGAGGCAGGAGAATCTCTTGAACCCGTGAGGTGGAGGTTGCAGTGAGCCGAGATGGTGCCGCTGCACTCACACTCCAGCCTGGGTGACAGAGCAAGACTCCGTCTCAGAAAAAAAAAAAAAAAATCTACATATGTGCCCACCTGGCACCTGACACAGGAATTTGCTCATCTTTGCAAAAAGAAAAACAAGCAGGCTACCCTAGAAGTTAACGAAAATGGTTTTCTTGGCCGGGCACAGTGGTTCACACCTGTAATCCCAGCACTTTGGGAGGCCAAGATGGGCAGATCACAAGGTCAGGAGTTTGAGACCATCCGGACCAACATGGTGAAACCCCGTATACTAAAAATACAAAAATTGGCCCGGCGTGGTGGTGCACACCTGTAATCCCAGTTACTGAGGAGGCTGACACAGGAGAATTGCTTGAACCCAGGAGGCGGAGGTTGCAGTGAGCCAAGATAGCACCACTGCACTCCAGCCTGGGCAACAGAGCGAGACTCTGTCTCAAAAAAAAAAAAAAATTGGCCGGGCGCAGTGGCTCATGCCTGTAATCCCAGCACTTTGGGAGGCTGAGGTGGGTGGATCACAAGGTCAGGAGATCGCAACCATCCTGGCTAACATGGTGAAAGCCCGTCTCTACTAAAAAAAAAATACAAAAAAATTAGCTGGGTGTGGTGGCGGGTGCCTGTAGTCCCAGCTACTCAGGAGGCTGACGCAGGAGAATGGTGTGAACCCAGGAGGCAGAGCCTGCAGTGAGCGGAGATCGAGCCACTGCAATCCAGCCTGGGCAACTGAGTGAGACTCTGTCTCAAAAAAAAAAAAAAAAAATTAGCCAGGCGTGGTGGCGTGTGCCTGTAGTCCAAGCTACTCAGGAGGCTGAGGCCGGAGTTTGAGGCTGCAGTGAGCTGTGGTCACAACACTGCACTCCAGGCTGGGCAACAGAGCGAGACTCCATCTCTAAAAAGAGAAAAAAAAGAAAATGGTTTTCTATGAGGATGAGTGGGAGAAGAAACAGGTCAGGCCATGTCTTTATACTTTGGAATCAAATATATATATATATATATGTATATATATATATGTATATATATGTATATATATATGTATATATATGTATATATGTGTATATATATGTATATATGTGTATATGTATGTATATATGTATATATATGTATATATGTATATATATGTATATATATGTATATGTATGTATATATGTATATATATATTTTGACTGAGTCTCACTCTGTTGCCCAGGCTGGAGTGCAGTGGCGTGATCGCGGCTCACCACAACCTCCACCTCCCGGGTTCAAGTGATCCGCCGACCTCAGCCTCCCAAAGTGCTGGAATTACCGGCGTGAGCCACTGCGCCCAGCCAGATGTAGATTCTTAACCTATCTTCCTCCTTATACAACAGGTGACCACAGGATATCACAGTCTCTTTTGCTGTTATCACTGCAGCCCACCCACGTTTTCAAAGATTTACGCATGACCCCACTCTGCGGCCACCTATGACTCCACTCTTCTCCACCATGCACTAAGTCAAAAGCACAAAGTGCTCACTGCTGGACATTGCATGGGAGGCCACAGTGTCCAGGCGTGGAATGGTCCAGGCACCAGGTCCAGCCCCCTACCTGCACCGAACTGAACTTTGACCTGGTCTGTGCTGGCCTCCAACATAGAGCCTCGCCTGCCCAGGCCTCAGATCCTCACCTGTAGCACCCTCCAGGCAGGTGAGTGGACCCTGACTTGGCACAGGAAGGCCAAGAGGTCATTGCAGGCAGTGAGTCCCCGGTGGGCTGCAGGAAGCCTGAGCCAGGCCAGAAGATGAGTTTGGGTTCCTCCCCGAAGGCTGCACAAAGTCAATCCCAGGGCTGGCCCAGGCCCTTGCCAGGCCCACTGAATGCCCAGCACAGGGGCTGTCTTCTGCCTGGCTTTCCTGTCTTCCCTTCCCCTGTCACCCTGTCAGGGAGCTCCTTGAACAGCTACTTTTCAGCATCTGCTTCCTCCAGAAGACAAGCCCTGCAAAGGTGCACCTGCCATCCCGGCCCCATGTCCCCGTGCCTGGGACAGGGCTCAGGCAAATGAATGGGAGGTGGTCAGGGAACCTTCCTGTGGCTCATGGAGCTGCCTCACTTCCAGCCTCAGTCAGTGGCCTCTAGGCAGGACAGACACCTGGGCAGGTTCACAATCCCACCTCAGGGCCAGGCAGGGTGACATGCGGCTGTAATCCCAGCATCTAGGGTGGCTAAGGGGGAGGATCACATGAGCCCAAGAGGTCAAGACCAGCCTGGGCAACATAGTGAGACCCCATCTCTACAAAAAAAATTAAAAAGTAACCGAGTGTGGTGGTGCAAGCCTGTAGTCCAAGGTACTCAGGAGGCTGAGGCAGGAGGATCACTTGAGCCCGGGAGTTCAGGGCTACGGTGAGCCGTGATCACACCACTGCAGTCCAGCCTGGCAACACAGAGTGAGACCTTGTCTCTAAAAATAATAATCATAAAAGAATCGCAGCTCATACATAAATGTGCGAGAGGGCTCACACTATTTATTTCATTAAACGAATCTAGTTTCTACCTTGCTGCCGTCTGGCCACTTGGGACCTTGTCAGCCTCAGTTCTAAGGGCGGCATAGTGCTGGTTCTTCTTCTCCGTCCCCACCCCTCTCCGGTTTAACTAGTTTTTTTTTGTTGTTTTTTTTTTTTGAGGCAGAGTCTCACTCTCTCACCCAGGCTGGAGTGCAGTGGCGTGATCTCAGCTCACTCTAACCTCCATCTCCTGGGTTAAAGGAATTCTCGTGCCTCAACATCCCAAGTAGCTGGGATTACAGGCACGCGCCACCACCATGCCTGGCTGATTTTTTTTTTTTTTTTCATCCCATGAGTTTTCTTTCTGTAATGATTTTTGTGTTTTTAGCAGACAGGGTTTCACCATGTTGGCCAGGCTGGTCTCGAACTTCCGACCTCACGTGTTTTCCCTGCTTTGGCCTCCCAAAGTGCTGGGATTACAGGCTTGAGCCACCGCACCCAGCCTGGTTGAACTAGTTCTAAGGAGCAACTGCAGCCAGGTCTGGAGAGGGCTCGGCTGCCACCTTCCCTCCCAGACAGCAGCTAGACAGCTGCTCCCAGGATCTGCTTTGAATTAAAAGTGGCGTGGCCCTTTAAGAGAAGCATCCGCCGGCCGCCCCCGCCGCCGCCGCCCCTCTTTGATGTCGCTGGCGCTGAAAGGTTCCCAGTGGCAAGATCTGAGGGTTTGTTTCTGCCTCCCCAGAGGCCACGTGGGGATCACAGGGAGGGAGGGAGGGCGAGCGAAGGTCACATGGCCTCCCTGGCCTGCTGCCGCTGTTGCGGCAGGAGCAGGAGCGTGGGGACCAGCAGGCTGGACGGGTGGGGGCCGCGGCCTGCAGCTCGTGAGGGCGGTGGAGCCTGGCAGCTGGGAGGGCAAAGGACCAGCCTCTCTGCCCCTCCCCTTGGCACCCGGGAGCCTGACCTCCAGCCTCCCTCACCTGTCCAGGAAGGAGCCACACACTGTCTGCGTGATGTCCCAAGAGGCGGCATCTCCACTGATGAGCTGGGACTCCCCCATCCCCATGCCCTTCCTCCCCCAGCTTTGGAGGGTGGCCTTTCCCTGGTGGCCCTGCCACTCCATGGTTAGCCCAGTAGGCTGCATGTTGGCACCAGCCGGGTGAAGCCGTAGGGAGGAGGCGGGATGGGGCGGAGCTCAGCTGCAGGGGTGCCAAGAGGGGCAGATCCCGCCAAATACCTGGGTCCAAAAATGACAGCCTCGGCCTCCCCGCTGGGCTCTAGGAGCTCTCACCTGGGTGAAGGACATCCTAGGGCAAGGCCGATCCTTTCCACCAGGGAATCCAGAGGCCACTCACTCCCAGGCACTGGGGCCAGGGAGAGGGCAGCCCCAACACCAAGCCCAGGAGCAGCCGCCCCGCCCAGGGGCCCCCCTCGCCCCTCCAAGGACCTGGGCGAGAGCCACAGCAGCTCCTGACAAGGGACTTGGCTCATCAAGGTCCCAGGATATGAGGCCAAGAAGGGTCCTTCTGATGGATGGGGTGACCAGAAAAGGAGGTTGGGGGAAACCAAAAAGGGGCCATGCTCTGCGACGGCACCGCCTGGCCTCGGCACCTCCCCCACTCTGAGCCGGTTGGAGAGCAGGGCCTCCCCCAAGAGCCAGCCAAGGGGGAAGCGGCGGCCTCCCCCAACAGCCAGCCACATGGGGAAGCGGGTGGCCCGCCTCACTTCCCTGCTCACTTGGGCCTCAGAGGCCAGCAGCTGGGGCGCAGGGCAGCCCAGGTGGCCAGGCGGGGCGGGGCGGCCGAGGCCAGCACACAACAGCTGGGCCCCAGACGGCTGGCAGCAGCTGGAGCCCAGAGCGGCCCTGGCGCTCAAGGCCCTGGGGGGAGGGGCCCGGGATGTGCGGCAGGGAGCCGCCTCCAGTATGGACAAGGAAGCCGGGTCTGGGGCTGCCTGACATGCTGTGTGCTGGACGCTCATATCACCAAGTTCCAGGGCCCCACGCGAGGTCTCGAGGGGACCCCTGTACCGCCAGCTGCCCTCCATCACACCTTCCTCCCTCTCCGACTGCGCCTGCCCGCCAGCTTGGGCCCTTGCTTCCTGAAATGTGCTGTCTTGACCCCTTTTTCCCAGGGGGGGGGCTCCGGCCCCCCAGCACAGCCGTGACCCCGGCGGATTGACTCAGAACCACCTGTGCATCCCCAGCTCCCTCCCCAGGGGAAGGCGGTGAACAGAACCCTCACCCCGTCCTGTCTCGGGGTGCCTCTCCTGAAGCACAGAGTCCCCTCTGGGCCTTCGTTTCCCCAGCTTTCCTGCCGCGGGGCACACAGAGTCTAGGCTCAGTCAGAAGCCCCGGCGCCACCTGAATGGGAGCCTGGGGAACCCTGTATGGTCCTCCCTGAACAGGACAGTGGGGATGGGGCAGGGCCAGGGAAGCAGAGAAGGGCACACCCTGTGAGGGACACCACACGCAACCATGCAGCCTGGGATGGGCACTGTGGTGCTCTCGTCGCCAGGCCCCCATGTCTGCCCTCGCAGTCAACCTTGGTCCCTGGGGGATCGCCTGCAATCCCACGACGCCTGGGCAGCATAACTGTCATTTATCACATGGTCATCGCCGGAGACGCCGAGCGGAGCCCCCAAACATCCTGCACCTTTGATGTTCACGCGGACTCTGTGAGGCAGGTGCTGTTCTCATCCCGTTTTACAGACGAGGAACCTGAGACGCAACTGCAGGCCCCGCAGCAGCCGGTACTTGGCTGTCCTAACCCATCCGCTCTGGTGCAGACAAAGTGGATATCTGTCTAACATGCAAAAGGAGGGTTCTGAAACACCCTACCTGCCAGGAAGGTTTCTAGAGAGGAGCCGGCCCACTCCACCCCAAGCTGGCCACTCCGCTCACGGGGCCTCAGGCCTCATCCCCGCCACCTGGTGCCCTGTGCCCAGCCTGATCGTTGTTGGTCTTACCCACTGATTCTTTTAGATGGAAGCGGGATCTTGCTGTGCTGCCCAGGCTGGTCTCGAACCCCTGGGCTCAAGCAATCCTTCTTCCAGGACTTCCCAAAGTGCTGGGATTACAGGCGTGAGCCACCGTGCCCAGTCAGAACTAACTACTTTAAAATATCAGGGTGGGTGCCATGGCTCATGCCTGTAATCCCAGCACTTTGGGAGGCCAAGGCAGGTGGATCACCTGAGGTCAGGAGTTCGAGATCAGCCTAACATGGTGAAACCCCGTCTCTACTTAATACAAAAAAAAAAAAAAATTAGCTGAGCCTGGTGGCGCATGTCTGTAATTCCAGTTACTCAGGAGTCTGAGGCAGGAGAATCGCTTGAACCCGGGAGGGAGAGGTTGCAGTGAGCTGAGATCGAGCCATTGCACTCCAGTCTGGGCAACAAGAGTAAAACTCCATCTCAAAAAAAAAAAAAAAAAAATCTAATCACATGACAGAGTACATTCAGAAAATTGTGCAACCATTACCACAATCCATTTTAGAACATTTTAATCACCCCAAAAAGAAACCCCGTACCAGCTGGGCACAGTGGCTCACGCCTATAATCCCAGCACTTTGGGAGGCCGAGGTGGGTGGATCACCTGAGGTCAGAGACCAGCTGATCAACATGGTGAAACCCCATGTCTACTAAAAATACAAAAATTAGCTGGGCATGGTGGTGCACACCTGTAATCCCAGCTATGTAGGAGAATTGTTGGAGCCTTAGAGTCGGAAGTTGCAGCGAGCCGAGATCACATCACTGCATTCCAGCCTGGGTGACAGAGCAAGATTCTGTCTTACAAAAAAACAAAAGAAAAAAAGAAATCCTGTACCCATTAGTAATCACTCCCTGTTTCTCTCCATCTCCTGGAAACCACCAGCGGACTTTCTATCTCTATGAAGTTGCCTCTTCTGGACACTCGAAATGAATGGACTCATACCGCATGTGCCCTTCAGTGTCCAGTTCATGTCACTTGGCTGATATTCTCAAGATTCACCCACAGTGCAGCATATGTCAGAACTTCGTTTGTTTTACGGCTAGAATATATTCCGTTGTATGGCTGTGTTCCATTGTGTTTACCCACTCATCTGCTGATGGACTTTGGGGCTGTTTTCCGCCTTTTGGCTACTGTGACTAGTCCTGCTGTGAACATTCATGAGCCAGTTTTTGTTTGAACACTTGTCTTCAATTCTCTGGGTGTATCCCTGGGAGTGGGCCTGCTGGGTCACGTGTTTTGTGTAACATACTGAGGAGCCACCAAACCGTTTTCCATGGTGAGGGACGTGGCCACTGCACTGTCCATCCCCACAGCGATGCTCTGGGGCTTCTGTGTCACCGCGGCTGCACCCACGCTTGTTAGTTTCTGTGTTTTGATCGTGGTCATCTTAGTGGGCATGAGGTAGCATCTGACCCATTACTGATGGACCTGGGTCCCCCTTTCTTATACCTGTCAGGGCCAGGTTGGTCCCATCTTGATGCAGGTGGCCTGGAAGCAAAGGCCCAGCACCTGCTGGCCCATAGGACCCGCCACGGGAGCTGCTGCCAGGCTCTGGGTGCTCAAAACTCCGGGTGGGGAGTCCCAGGTGCAGAGGATAAAGCTGTCCCAGGGGCTGGGGAAGTGTGAGGACAGAGCCAGTCGGTGTGAGTCAAGAGGAGGACATGGGTGTGAGCAGCTGCTGAGCCTCGGGAGCCCCGTCCCCGGCCGTAGGACTGCAGCCTTGTCAGTCATCCGGTCACGGCAAGGGGCTTCGGAGGAGAGGGGAATGGGGGGAGGTGGAGGAAGGGCAGAGGTTCTGGGGAAGTCTTGGGTTTGAGCCTCTTCTGGCGTCTGCTACCAGTGTTGAATAAACCAAAATGTGAACTCATTTCGGTTCAACATGCAGGCTCCATCGCATTACAGGAGACGTCAGAAACTGTAACGCACATGGTCTTCTCCCGTCCTGGAATTTTCATCGGTGATCATGACTGCCACCCCTACCGCGCAATTTCACAAGTGGGCTCTTATAATCCCACAACAGCCCTCTGACAGAGGCACTGTTATCACCCCGCTTTAAAGGAGAGGAAGCGGCGGGGCACCGTGGCTCACACCTGTAATCGCAGCACTTCGGGAGGCCAAGGTGGGCGGATCACGAGGTCAGGAGACTGAGACCATCCTGGCTAACACGGTGAAACCCCGTCTCTACTAAAAATACAAAAAAGTTAGGCAGGCGTGATGGGACACGCCTGTAGTCCCAGCTACTCGGGAAACTGAGGCAGGAGAATTGCTGGAACCCGAAAGGCAGAGGTTGCAGTGAGCCGAGATCACGTCATGCTCTCTAGCCTGGGTGACAGAGCAAGACTCTGTCTCAAAAAGATAAATAAATAAATAAATGAGAGGAAGCACAGGCATAAGGAAAGGTCACAGGCCTTCCCTGGGATGTCCATACTGCACCAGGAGATGGCTCAGAGCCAGGGCGGTGTGAAGATCAACCCTGTGCAGCCAGCTGGAAGATGCCATCACGCTCCGGACTTGGAATAACAGGTGCCCGGCGGGAGAGGCCTCCTCCGGACAGGTTCCTGCTGGACGCTGAAATCTGCCCTGGGTCAGCCTTCCCCGCCGGGGTGTGGGTGGGAGAACGCCTCAGGATGGGACCTGCGTCTGAAGCTACTGCCCTTGGCCAGCCCCACACTTGGCTTTTAAACTGACCCGACGGCGGAGGGACAGCAGGGGGGA
Source organism: Homo sapiens (assembly GCF_000001405.40). Classification (NCBI taxonomy): domain Eukaryota; kingdom Metazoa; phylum Chordata; class Mammalia; order Primates; family Hominidae; genus Homo; species Homo sapiens. The sequence continues at coordinate 81,963,107 of NC_000017.11, read as the reverse complement.
TTTCTGAGTGAGCAGAGAGCTAAGGGTGAGCCTCAGCTCTTCTGTTAGTGTCCCTGAACCTCAGTTCCCCTCGTCAGGAAAATGCTGCAACCTGCCCTGTGGGGAGAGGGACCTGAGTTTGTGACAGCCTGCCTCCCTCTGAGAATGTCCCCAGGTTAGGCTGACCTCCAGGGCACCCCAGCCTGATCTTAGGCCTTGTGGTTTACACTGGGGTGCCTTACACCCATCGAATGCGCGGGGCAACAGCTCCCAGCGTTTGGTCTCTCTGTTTCACAAGAGCCCAGGTAACTCGGCTGTCTGCGGGTGCAGGCGGCGCTGGGACTTTCTCCCTAAGCTCCTCACTCAGCCCGGGGCTGGCAAGGAGGACGTCCACATGGCCCCGGCCGGCGGCTCGGGGGCATCCTGGCTGCAGGCACCGCCCTGCGCCTCTGCTCTCCTGCCCCACGTGGTGCCGTAGGCTCCCCACTGTCCTGAATTAGGAGGGGCTCTGGAAGCTCTGCTTGTGTCTAGATCGTTGTCCTGAAATGTAAGACCTGGTTGTCCTGAAACGTAAGACCTGTTTCCTATTTTTAAAATGGGTGTCATGGCGCCCAGCAGGCTTCAGACCGGAGGGTGAAGGAGAAAGTCTGCCCGGCCCCGCTGGCCCTGCGTATGTCCTTTCCTTTCTTTTGTCCATCCCACCCGCGCTCACCCCAGCAGGAAACCTCCTGAACCCCTCCTGTCCACCCTGCTCCAGTACTGATTTCCCACAGGAACCTTGTTCTAACCCCACTGCCCAGAGCCTCGGGAGTGGACAGGGGTGCTCTCCAAGGTGAAGCATGGGGCAGGTGCCCTTCGTGGCATGAAGGGCCGCAAGCAGAGGCCTAGCGGGCAGCCACTGGACCCTTGGCCTCCTCCCCCAGTGGCGGCTGGGGCAGGTTCTTGGGGGGTCCTCGGCATGGGGCCAGCAGCCAGGCTGGGGCGGGCGGAGATCCAGGACCTCACCTCTGGCCCCGCGATCTCCTTAAGTCGTAGCTGCTTCTCTGACCCCAGCGCCAGCAGGAGCGCCCCGGAACTGAGCGACTCCCCCGCGGCGCCTTGCTGGGGCGCGCGGTCCCTCCCGCAGGTCTCCGAGGGAGCCAGGACCTCGCGCCCCACCTGTCCGCTTCTCCAGGAGGCCCCGGCGCCACTGCTGCCGGGCCCTCGGCTGGAAGCCCTGTGTCCGCCGCCGCTTTGATCCCGGGGGGCCCTGCTGGATAAAAGTCCCTGGCGGCTCCGCGCCAGCGCCAGAGGGGGAGCGCAGCCGAGCCGGGCGCACCAGCGGGACGGCGCAGGGCCAGGGGCGCTGAGAGGACGGGGCCACTGGGCCGCCCGCGCTGGCCGCGGTGAGAGCGGGGCCCCAGGGCTGCGCGAGGTGGGGCGATGCGGGCCGGGGTCCGAATCCCCCACGGCCTGCTCTGGGCCTGGGCACTGGGGGATGAGAGGGACACTGGCGGCTCCAGGTGAGCGCGCCTGCCCCGCGCCCCCAGCCCGTCGGGCTCGGCCAGCTGCGCCGCGGGCGGAGTTCCCCGCCCCCCACCCCGGCAGGCGCGGAAAAGCCTCGCCCCTCCCCGTCGCCGCCGCCCCTTCCAGCTGCCCCGCGGGGGGGGGCGGCGGCGCCGGGCTGGCCGCGGTGAATGGAGCCGCCGGGGCCGCCCGGCCGCGCTGCCCCCCCACGGAGCCGGGCCGGGAGCGCCTCCGGCGGCCGCGGCGGGGTAGTCCAGGCCCCTCCGTCAGGCTTGCGGTTTGGGAAGAAAAGGCGATGCCTCCGCCAAGAAAAGAGCGAGCGCGGCCCCCTCCCCCCTCCGCCGAGCCCGGGCGGCGGCGGCGGCACATCTAACGCGCGGGCACCCGGGCCGCCGCGGCCCCCGCAAATAAGCCCAGCCTCGGCCCCCGCCGCTCATTGGCGCGGGCCGCAGCCAGCGCACCCAGACCCTGCGCTGCCCTCGGACGGCCGGGCGCGGAGCCCCAGCTGCGGAGGCCGACGGCACCCGGCCCCGAGCGCCTCGACGCCGAGCCGCGCGCGCCTTCTCCGCCAGGCCCGGCGGGCGGGAGCGGGGGCGAGGGAGCAGGAGCGGCCAGTGCCCCCGACACCCCCGGCCCGGCACCCCCGGCCCGGCATCCCCCGCCGCCGCCGCCGCCGCCTCAAGGCCGCCCGCTCCCCGCAGGTGGACGCGGCCATGGGCCGAGGGGTGCGCGTGCTGCTGCTGCTGAGCCTGCTGCACTGCGCCGGGGGCAGCGAGGGCAGGAAGACCTGGCGGCGCCGGGGTCAGCAGCCGCCTCCTCCCCCGCGGACCGAGGCGGCGCCGGCGGCCGGACAGCCCGTGGAGAGCTTCCCGCTGGACTTCACGGCCGTGGAGGGTAACATGGACAGCTTCATGGCGCAAGTCAAGAGCCTGGCGCAGTCCCTGTACCCCTGCTCCGCGCAGCAGCTCAACGAGGACCTGCGCCTGCACCTCCTACTCAACACCTCGGTGACCTGCAACGACGGCAGCCCCGCCGGGTAAGGCCCGCGCCCTGCACCTCCCCGCCCCGCCCGACGCGCCCGGTCTCCGGCTGGACCTTCCCTGCGGGCCGCGGCCGTTCTCTCCCCGGGGAGAAAGGGCTTCCGTCGGGCGCCCCGCGGTCCTGGCCCCGAGGAGTGCCCGGTTCGGTGACTCTCCGCGTGGGGAGCGGAGCGGCGCTGGAAGGGCTGGTCCCCGGCCAGCTCGGGCACTGACCCCTCGGCCTCTGGGCCCAGCCGCTCTGCTGGCGTCCTTCGGTCCCGGGGCGGGGAGATGGCAGCCCGAGAGCGCGCCTGGCTCCAGCGGGAACCGGCGACACCGGGGGGCGGGGAGAGGCCCGCTGCCCACCTCCTTGCAGCCCCGAAGTAGATAAAAGACGTGAGGTCGGGGGTCGGGGAGCGGCGGGGCCGCCCACGCGCTCAACAGGCCGAGGACAGCCGGGGACAGCGGGAGACTTGGGCGTGGGGTCGGGGCTCGGCAGGAAGGCTCCCCCGCCGGGTCGGTGCCGCCCGCGCCTCCCGCGCTCCCCGCGGCGTCCCGTTCCCCCGCCAAGCGCGCTCCTTCAGTGCGGACGCGTTTCACGCTTCAAGCGCCGCCGCGCGCCCCGGGAGGACCGCCGCCCGCGCCGAGGTGACAGCGGGACCCGCGCCGGGCGGAACGTGGGGATTTTCCACGGACCACAGCCCCGCGCGGCCCGTTCCCCGCCCCGCGAGCGCCACCTCCCGGGACCGCCGCCGTCCCTGAGCTCCCCGTGGGCCTGGCCGAGGGCGCCCCCGTGCGACCGTCGCGCGCGGCCGGAACAGGTGGCGCGTTCCCTCCGCCGGAGCTGGGCGCGCGGGGCGCGGCGGGTCGGCAGCCCTGGCCGACCCCCCGCGGTGCGTCCTCCCCCGCAGCTACTACCTGAAGGAGTCCAGGGGCAGCCGGCGGTGGCTCCTCTTCCTGGAAGGTGCGTCCAGGGCTGAGGCGGGGGGAGGCCGGGGGTCTGTGCGCGCGGGCCTGAGCGGCGGTCGTGTCCGCAGGCGGCTGGTACTGCTTCAACCGCGAGAACTGCGACTCCAGATACGACACCATGCGGCGCCTCATGAGCTCCCGGGACTGGCCGCGCACTCGCACAGGTCAGCGGCGGGCCCTGGGGAAGGCGTCTCGACGTGAGGCCCGGGAGGAAGCCGCGCCCGCCTCCTGGAGCCCCAGCCAGGCCCCCACCCCGCACATCATGCCCAGCCTGGCGCCCGGGTTTACTAAGAGCAAGGGGCGCCCTTCACTCTTGCCTTTTGGGGCCCATTCCACATTAGCATTCAGGCGCTTACCCAGCGGCTCTGGCCCTCCCCAGGGTCAAAGCAGGGCAAGGGGTTGAAGTCAAGGTCAGACCTGGTGTCCAGCCTAGCCGGGCACCGTGGCCATGGTGGCTTCCCGGGGGTAACTAAACCCAACTGTCCTCCACTTTCCCGGCAACCTTGGTTCGGGCTAGCAACACCAGCACACCTCCCTTCCTGGGGCCAAGTAGGAGCCCCAACACCTCACCAGGGTTCCCAGACCCGACCCTACACAGCCTCCTCCCGCTAGAAAGACCCACCGCCTCTGTGTCCCCAGGCACAGGGATCCTGTCCTCACAGCCGGAGGAGAACCCCTACTGGTGGAACGCAAACATGGTGTAAGGGGGCACAGGGTCTTGCCTGGGAGTCCTGCCTGGAGGGTGGTTCTTCCCGGGGGGTCCTTCCTTGGGAAGTCATATTCTGAAATGGTCTTTCCTGGGGGTCCTGTTCTGGATGGTTCTTTTGGGGAGGTCCTGTCCTAGAGGGGTTCTGGAGGTGTTTCTTTCGTGGTGGGGAGGAGGTCCTGTCCTGGGATGGTCCTTCCTGGTGGGGAGGGGTCTATCCTGAGATGGTCCTTCCTGGCAGGGTCCTCTCCTGGGATGGTCCTTCCAGGGGGATCCTGTCCTGGGATGGTCCTTCTTTCCTGGGGGGTCCTGTCCTGAGTTGGTCTTTCCTGGAAAGGGTCCTGTCCTGGGTTGGTTCTTCCTGAGGAGTATTACGCTGGAGGTCTTTCTTGAGGGGAAGTTCTATCCTGGGATGGTCCTTCCAGGGGAATCCTGTCCTGGGATGGTCTTTTCTGAGGGTCCTGTTCTGGGGGTCCTTTCTGGAGGCTGCCGGGCGGCAGGCGCTGTGACAGGCTCACTCTGTTCTGTGTTGCAGCTTCATCCCCTACTGCTCCAGTGATGTTTGGAGCGGGGCTTCATCCAAGTCTGAGAAGAGTGAGTCTCGGCCTTCCCAGGGCATGGCAGGGCAGGGACGGGGCCGGATGGCAGGGCAGGGAGGAGGCAGGACGGCAGGGCAGGGATGAGGCGGGACGGCAGGGGTTCTGGGGAAAAGCTGACTCTCAGCCTTGTCGTGCTTTCAAAGCCCTTGACAGTATGTCCCAGGGTGCCTGCCCCATGCTCCCACTGCCTGCTTGTCCACAACTGTAGGAGGTCCTTATTTCTGAATATTCCCTGGGGAGGAGGCCCCAGCATGGCCTGGTGCACCCGCCTTCCTCCAGTCCACCCAAGCCCCTGACCCCTTCTCAGAAGATTCCTCCCAGTCCCCCAGTGGGGCAAGAACTTCTCTGCCAGCCATTCTGGGGTAGGAGGTGGTTCTCTCTGTCCAGGCCCCTACCTGAGGCCACCCCCTCCCTCTTGCAGACGAGTACGCCTTCATGGGCGCCCTCATCATCCAGGAGGTGGTGCGGGAGCTTCTGGGCAGAGGGCTGAGCGGGGCCAAGGTGCTGCTGCTGGCCGGGAGCAGGTGGGCAGGGCGGGGCAGGGCTGGAGGTGAGGGGTGAGGACGGTGTGCAGGGTGCATGGAAGGGGTGTGGGGTGGGGTTGTATGAGAGGCGAGGATGGAGTGGAGCCTGTGCAGATCTTGGCAGGTGGCTAGGAGGGTGAGAGGCTGGAGCTGGGAGAACCCGCATCATTGGAGACGTCTCTGAGGCCTGGCTTCAGAGTGCTGGGTAACCAGACACTGTCCAGAGGATGCTTCTGGACGCCATGGTTGTTGGATATAGGGGAAGGTTTGGGCTGCAGGGACCTAAGTCGTTGGTTAGGGGTTGGCCATGGACTAATGCTCCTTCTCCAGGGCCCGGTAGATGAGGATCACCCCTGTGGGTTCCTGTATCCCAGCAGGCATACAGGAGACCAGGAGACAAATGGGGAATAGATGATGGGGCCTGAGGCCACATAGTTTATCTTCATTTTCAGATAAGGAACCTGAGGTAAAGAGACAGAGAGAGGAAGGGGAGGAGGAAGGGGAGAGCCTGGCTGTGTCAGGGAAATGTGGCCTGCCAGCCTGAGCCCTGGCCTGCTCTGGAGGGGACGGCCATGGGTCTTGCACGTGAACAGAGAATGCAGAATGCATCCGCAGTTCAGAACGCATCAGGACTCCTGCCCCCCTCGGGGCACGGGCTGACGCTGAGCAGACTCGGGGGAGGTGAGTGCCTCTTCCCAGCCACCTGGCCTCACGTCTGGCCCTCCTTGCAGCGCGGGGGGCACCGGGGTGCTCCTGAATGTGGACCGTGTGGCTGAGCAGCTGGAGAAGCTGGGCTACCCAGCCATCCAGGTGCGAGGCCTGGCTGACTCCGGCTGGTTCCTGGACAACAAGCAGTATCGCCACACAGACTGCGTCGACACGATCACGTGCGCGCCCACGGAGGCCATCCGCCGTGGCATCAGGTGCCGCAGCGGGGAGGGCCCGTCCTCGTGCTGCAGCTTTGCCCCAGAAGGGCCTGGGTGGAGTGGCATCTGTGGGTGGGGAGCCCCGGGGGACGAGACCCACGGCAGCCTAACCTGTGGCTGTGGCTCCAGGTACTGGAACGGGGTGGTCCCGGAGCGCTGCCGACGCCAGTTCCAGGAGGGCGAGGAGTGGAACTGCTTCTTTGGCTACAAGGTCTACCCGACCCTGCGCTGTGAGTGGGCGGCAGAGCGGAGCACACAGGGCAGCAGGGGTGGCCACACTTCCTTGCTTCTGAAAATCCAGCGTGGACTCCAGTCTTCTGGGCTGGGCTTGGAGACCACGGCCCTGGTCCAGGGAGGAGTCCGGCTGTGTACCAGGGAGGAGGCCGGCTGTGTACCAGGGAGGAGGCCGGCTGTGTACCAGGGAGGAGGCCGGCTGTGTGCCAGGGGGCCTAGTCGCTGCGGCATGCCTGGGACTTGCCTGCCCTCAGCACTGACACCCCTCAGTCCCAGGCAAAGTGGGACAGGTGGTCACCCTGCCTATACCGGTGGCTAGTGTGCTTTGGAGCTCATCCCCATGCTGCCCCTCCCTGCTGCAGGGTCCTGGGCTAGTTCCTCCCCAGCCCCACGCTCTGAGGAATGGTGAGGTTATATGCAAGGGCATCATCACCATATTTAGGTGAAAGTGGAGTCGCTGAGAACCAGGCCAAGGTCATGGAGGGGTTAAACAGAGCCCGTCTTCAAGGAAAGGCAGTTTATTGATTTAGTTGTTGATTTAGTTATTGATTTAGTTATGAAGCTGTGGATTATAAAAAGGCTGGTTTGAAAGAAGGAAGCCACATTCTGTGGGGGCCTATGACTGACACCCCTGGGGAGAGTTGGGCCAAGGCTAGCTGGCCTGTGAGCCTCAGCAGCACTGCAGGGGGCCTGGGAGGGTGCTGAGCTCTGCCTGGGGTCGGGGGCAGCAGCGGGGACCTGGGGGTGCTGAGCTCTGAGCCTGGGATAGGGGGCACTGCAGGGGCCTGGGGGGTGCTGAGCTCTGAGCCTGGGATGGGGGGCACTGCAGGGGCCTGGGGGTGCTGAGCTCTGAGCCTGGGGTGGGGGACACTGCAGGGGCCTGGGGGTGCTGAACTCTGAGCCTGGGGTGGGGGGCACTGCAGGGGCCTGGGGGTGCTGAGCTCTGAGCCTGGGGTGGGGGGCACTGCAGGGGCCTGGGGGTGCTGAGCTCTGAGCCTGGGGTGGGGGCACTGCAGGGGCCTGGGGGTGCTGAGCTGTGAGCCTGGGGTGGGGGCAGCAGCGGGGGTCAGGGGAGGCCGAACTGAGCCCCGCCGCCCGCAGGCCCTGTGTTCGTGGTGCAGTGGCTGTTTGACGAGGCACAGCTGACGGTGGACAACGTGCACCTGACGGGGCAGCCGGTGCAGGAGGGCCTGCGGCTGTACATCCAGAACCTCGGCCGCGAGCTGCGCCACACACTCAAGGACGTGCCGTGAGTGTGTGGGCCCCGGGAGCCCCACGCCGGGTAGCTCCCTCCTTATTTAAAAATAGAGGTCCTGAGAAAACAAAAGAAGAAAAACCAGAACAAAAAAAAATAGAGGTCTTGTAGGCCGGGCGCAGTGACTCACACCTATAATCCCAGCACTTTGGGAGGCCCATGCAGGTGGATCACCTGAGGTCAGGAGTGCGAGACCAGCCTGGCCAACATGGCAAAACCCTATCTCCACAAAATATGCAAAAAATTAGTCCGGTGTAGTGGCAGGCGCCTGTAATCCCAGCTACTCAAGAGGCTGAGGCAGGAGAATCACTTGAACTGGGAGGTGGAGGTTGCAGTGAGCTGAGATTGTGCCACTGCACTCCAGCCTGGGTGACGGAGTAAGACTCTGTCTCAAAAAATACATATATAGAGAGAGAGAGAAAGAGAGAGAGGAGAGAGAGAGAGAGAGAGAGAGAGAGATCGAGATCGGTCTTGGGCCTGGCACACTGGCTCACGCCTATAATCCCACCCCTTTGGGAGGCCGAGGCAGCAGGATTGCTGGAGGCCAGGAGTCTAAGACCAGCCAGGGCAACATGGTGAAACCGTGTCTCTACTGCACATACAGAAATTATCCAGGCATGGTGGCATCACCTGTAATCCCAGCTACTCAGGAGGCTGAGGCAGGAGGATCCCTTGAGCCCAGGAGTTCAAGGTTACAGTGAGCTAACCTTGCCTGTGGGAGGCAAGCAAGCTTCGATTGTACCACTACACTCCAGCTGGGGCGATAGAGCCAGACCCCGACTCAAAATAAAATGAAAATAGAGTTCTAGATAGTAGCAGAATATTTGCCTGTCTAGGGCAGCCTCTTGCCATCACCTGGGAGGGCCTGCCTGGAAGAGGTGGACTCTGAGCAGGGATTTGAGGCACAAAGCGATAAGGGTCAGCCGGGAGCTGGCCAACTAGGGGGAGGCCCGGGCCAGAGGAACAGCTGGCAGCCATAGCAACAGGAAGGGGTGATGGCCAGGCGGGGGACAGCTCTAGGGGAGTGGGGGTGGAAAAGGGGCTGAGGGGGTAAGGAGCTCACAAGCCACTGTCTCCTCTCCAACAGGGCCAGCTTTGCCCCCGCCTGCCTCTCCCATGAGATCATCATCCGGAGGTCAGTGTCCCTGCTCCGGGCAGCTTGCGTCCATGACATCAACTTCAAAAGTCCACATGCTCCCCAACCGCACTTGGCCTCCCATGGGCCTCTTCTTGGCGCTTCTAGGGGTGGGATTTCCTTATAGGGGTGCCAGAGCCACTTGTACCAACAGCTGTATGGCAAGAATTAAGACTCAGGCTGGGTGCGGTGGCTCACGCCTGTAATCCCAGCACTTTGGGAGGTTGAGGCAGGTGGATCACCTGAGGTCAGGAGTTCGACACCAGCCTGGCCAATATAGTGAAACCCTGTCTCTAGTAAAAATACAATTAGCTGGGCGTGGTGGCGGGTGCCTGTAATCCAGCTACTCCGGAGGCTGAGGCAGGAGAATCGCTTGAACCTGGGAGACAGAGGTTATGGTGAGTCGAGATTGCAACATTGCACTCCATCCTGGGGGCAACAAGAGTGAAACTCCATCTCAAAAAAAAAAGAAAAAAAAAAAAAGACTCAGGCTGAGCAGTGGCTCACACCTGTAATCCCAGCTACTCAGGAGGCTGAGGTGGGAGGATCACTTGAACTCAGGAGGTTGAGGCTGCAGTGAGCAGTGATCACACCACTGCATTCTAGCCTGACAGGCAGAGGGAGACCTTGTCTCAAAAAACAAAACAAAACAAAAAAACCCAGGCTAGATACGGTGGCTCACGCCTGTTATCTCAGCACTTTGGGAGGCCAATGGGGGCAGATCACCTGACGTCAGTTCGAGACCAGCTTGGCCAACATAGTGAAACCCCATCTCTACTGAAAATACAAAAAATTAGCCAGTCTCGGTGGCACACGCCTGTAATCCCAGCTACTCGGGAGGCTGAGGCAGGAGAATCGCTTGAACCCGGGAGGCGGAGGCTGCAGTGAGCCGAGATCCTGCCATGGCTGGTCTCAAAAAAAAAAACAGCTGCCTCAGTGTTGATGCCACTCCGCACATGTGACCCCCTCCCCCGGTTTTCCTCTGCAGCCACTGGACGGATGTCCAGGTGAAGGGGACGTCGCTGCCCCGAGCACTGCACTGCTGGGACAGGAGCCTCCATGACAGCCACAAGGCCAGCAAGACCCCCCTCAAGGGCTGCCCCGTCCACCTGGTGGACAGCTGCCCCTGGCCCCACTGCAACCCCTCATGCCCCACCGTCCGAGACCAGTTCACGGGGCAAGAGATGAACGTGGCCCAGTTCCTCATGCACATGGGCTTCGACATGCAGACGGTGGCCCAGCCGCAGGGACTGGAGCCCAGTGAGCTGCTGGGGATGCTGAGCAACGGAAGCTAGGCAGACTGTCTGGAGGAGGAGCCGGCACTGAGGGGCCCAGACACCCGCTGCCCCAGTGCCACCTCACCCCCCACCAGCAGGCCCTCCCGTCTCTTCGGGACAGGGCCCCAGCCGTCCCCCCTGTCTGGGTCTGCCCACTGCCCTCCTGCCCCGGCTTTCCCTGCCCCTCTCCCACAGCCCAGCCAGAGACAAGGGACCTGCTGTCATCCCCATCTGTGGCCTGGGGGTCCTTCCTGACAACGAGGGGGTAGCCAGAAGAGAAGCACTGGATTCCTCAGTCCACCAGCTCAGACAGCACCCACCGGCCCCACCCATCAAGCCCTTTTATATTATTTTATAAAGTGACTTTTTTATTACTTTAATTTTTTAAAAAAAGGAAAATAAGAATATATGATGAATGATATTGTTTTGTAACTTTTTAAAAATGATTTTAAAGAGACAAAAAAGAACCTCACCCTGCCCGCGTGTTTATTTGCTTCACACTTCCCCTCCTCCTCTCCCTCCCCTCCCTCCTCTCCCTCCCTTCCTCCTCTCCCTCCCCTCCTCCTCTCCCTCCCCTCCTCCTCTCCCTCCCCTCCTCCTCTCCCTCCCCTCCTCCTCTCCCTCCCCTCCCTCCTCTCCCTCCCTCTCTCCCCTCCTCTCCCTCCCCCACCTCCCCTCCCCAGCCCCACAGCAGCAGGGAGACAAAGGGAGGGGCCGTGGGGACTCTCCAACTCTGACCCCTTCTTGGATGCACAGACTCAGAGCAGGGTCTTCTGGAGGGGCCCTGCTTCCCTTCAACCCTTCTGCAGATACCCACTTCCCAGGGCGGATGGCACCAGCTGCGTTTCTTTTTACTTATTCATTTATTTAGAGACAGGATCTCATCGTGTTGCCCAGACTGGAGTGCAGTGGCACAATCACAGCTCACTGCAGCCTTGAACTCCGGGGCTCAAGCAATTTCCCCACTTTGGCCTCCTGAATAGTTGGGATTACAGGCACGCGCCACCACACCCGGCTACTGTTTTAATTTTTTGTAGAGATGGAATATCCCTTTGTTGCCCAGACTGGTCTTGAACTCCTGGGCTCCAGCAATCCTCCCTGCTCAGCTTCCCAGTGTGTTGAGATCACAGGCATGAGCCACTGCACGTGGCCCCTTTTCATTTTATTATTTTTTTTGGGAAGAAATTCGCATAACAGGATGAGCCATTTCCAAGTGAGCGACTCGGCATCTGTCGCACTCAGAGTGCCGTGTGACCCCCGTTTCTGGTTTCAAAACTCTTGCCAGGCGTGGTGGCTCACACCTGTAATCCCAGCACTCTGGGAGGCCAAGGCAGGCAGATCACAAGGTCAGGGGTTTGAGATCAGCCTGGCCAACATGGTGAAACTCTGTCTCTACCAAAAATATAAAACATTAGCTGGGTGTGGTGGCATGCACCTGTAATCCTAGCTACCCGGGAGGCTGAGGCAGGAGAATGGCTTGAACCCGGGAGGCAGAGGTTGCAGTGAGCCGAGATTGCATTGCACCACTACACTCCAGTCTGGGCAACAGAGCGAGACTCCGTCTCAAAAAAATAAATAAATAAAAAATAAATTTTTTTTTTTTTGAGACGGAGTCTCGCTGTGTCTCCCAGGCTGGAGTGCAGTGGCACAATCTCGGCTCACTGCAACCTCTGCCTCCTGGGCTCAAGCGATTCTCCTGCCTCAGCCTCCTGACTAGCTGGAATCACAGGCATGTGCCACCACGCTCAGCTAATTTTTGTATTTTTAGTAGAGATGGGGTTTCGCCATGTTGGCCAGGCTGGTCTCAAACTCTTGACCTCAGGTGATCCACCCGCCTCAGCCTCCCAAAGTGCTGGAATTACAGATGTGAGCCACCACGCCCACTCCCTAGTTTCAAAACTCTTTATCAATCCAGAACACTTCCTACCCAGCTGACAATTCCTTAAACATTTGCATTTTATTTCTTTCTACTAGGTCATTCCTGCACATGGTTCAAAATTCAAAAGATGCAGAAGATATGAGGGCGAATGCCCATTTCCCCCACAGCTCAGGTTCCCTGGCTCTGCTTCCAAGGGCAAACAGTGTTACCTTGTGGATATTCCCAGAGATCATTTCGTGAAAATTCCGGTAAACAGGTGCACACGTTGACATACATGCATTTTTTTCTTTTACACAGATGGCTACACACTACACACTGGTGTCTCCTCCTCTTGACACTGTATTTCGGGGCGCGCAGTGAGCTGCCGCAGGTGTGACAGTCCAGGGCCTGCGGAGGGCTCTGCGGCACACGCAGGTGCAAAGGGTGCACGTGCATAGCCTTGTCGTGTGGTCATCACGTTGCATGAGGGCAAGTATGTCTGTGGACTAAACCCCAGATGTGGGATTCCTGGGGCAAAAACATGAAGCTCTAGCCTGTCACCCCAGCACTTTGGGAGGCCAGCGTGAGATGATCGCTTTGGCCCAGGAGGTTGAGACCAGCCTGGGCAACAAAGGGAGACCCCGTCTCTAAAAAAAAAATTAAAACATTAGCTGGGTGTGGTGATGTACACCTCTGGTCCCAGCTACTCAGGAGGCCGAGGTATGAGGATCACTTAAGCCTGGGAAGTCACAGCTGCAGGGAGCAGTGATCGCGCCAGTGCACTCCAGCCTGAGTGACAGCAAGACCCTGTCTCAAAAAAAAAAAAAAAAAAACAGACCAGGTGCGGTGTCTCACACCTGTAATCCCAGCACTTTGGGAGGCTGAGACTGGTGGATCACTTGATGTCAGAAGTTCAAGACCAGCCTGGCCAACATGGTGAAATCCTGTCTCTACTAAAACTACAAGAATTAGCAGGGTGTGGTGGTACACACCTGTAATCCCAGCTACTTGGGAGGCTGCGGCAGGAGAACTGCTTGAACTTGGAAGGTGGAGGTTGCAGTGAGCCGAGATTGTGCCACTGCACTCCAGCCTGGGCAACAGAGCAAGACTCTGTCTCAAAACACACACACAAACGTACCCATGAATCTCTGTAGTTTTGATAATACCAAGGTCACACCAATGCCAGCCTTGGGCATGGTTGTGGGTGGAGCTTTCTGAGCAAAGCATTCCATGCCAATTGTATGTAGCCCTACGAGGTGGGTTTCATTATAAACGCCAGTTTACAGGCCGGGCGCGGTGGCTCACGCCTGTAATCTCAGCACTTTGGGAGGCCGAGGTGGGTGGATTGCTTGAGGCCAGGAGGTTGAGACCAGCCTGGGCAACATGGTGAAACCCCATCTCTACTAAAAATACCAAAAAAAAAAAAAAAAGGCCGGGCGCAATGGCTCATGCCTGTAATCCCAGCACCTTGGGAGGCCGAGGCGGGTGGATCACGAGGTCAGGAGATCGAGACCATCCTGGCTAACACGGTGAAACCCCGTCTCTACTGAAAATACCAAAAAATTAGCCGGGTGTGGTGGCGGGTGCCTGTAGTCCCAGCTACTCGGGAGGCTGAGGCATGAGAATTGCTTGAACCCAGGAGGCAGAGGTTGCAGTGAGCTGAGATCATACCATTGCACTCCAGCCTGAGTGACAGAGCAAGATTCTGACTCAAAAAATAAAATAAAATAAAATAAATACTCCAGTTTACAAAGAAACAGGCCCAGAGAGGCAATGTGACCATAAGGGTCAGAGGACACGGGGCCACGTCAGCCTGAGCTTCACACCTGCCCTGCGGCCACGGCTCCATTCCCAGAGTGGCCAGGACCGTAGGACCCTGTGCCTTGGGGACATGTCCTGGGGTCTGACTCTCTGTGCCAATGAGTCAGGGCTGCCCTGGGCCTGAGAATACCCAGACAGGACTGGTGCCCGTGGGCAGGTGTCTGCCACCCCAGGCAGAGCCAAGTGGCCTGTCCACGATCCCCCTGTGGAGCACTCCTATGTGGTCTCTGGAGGGAATCCATGGAGTCCCAGCAGCCAATGGAGACGACAAGGTCAGAGATGTGGAGACCGAGGGCTGGAGGTGAGAGAAGGGGTCCGGGGGAGTCTGGTGGCCTCCTTCTCGGGGCCTCCAGAGCCAGACCTCCAGGCAGGGCCTTGGACAGGACTCCCCACAAGGACAGAGCTCGGGAGGGAGAGGGGGCTGGGGAGCCCGAAAGAGGCCTGGCTGTCACCCTGTCTGGGGAGACTTTGCTGGGACCCCTGCCGTGCTGTGGGAGCTGGGGGAGCCACATGCGAGGTGCTGGCTCTTGGCCAACTCTGGCTTGAGCACTGCAGTCTGGCAGGCGTGATGTTTGCTCCTCTGAGGTGGCTGAAAGGGACCTGAGGGCGGATGGTGGTGTGTGTCTGGGGGGACCAGGCTCACTGAACAGGACACTTGTGGGTTGGGCCCAAAGGGATTTCACCGACAAATAAACCCTTTCTTCCCACATTTGTGCCGAAAGAGAAAGAGGCGCAGCTCACCTAATGGTCAATCGGTCAATCGCTGCCATGCTGTCCTGCAGGACCAGGGACAAAACGAGCCCTAGGACACGAAGAGGACGCTGGCCTGTAGCTCCGCAGTGACGGTGACCCCAGGCTGTCCTGCAGGACCAGGGACAAAACGAGCCCTAGGACACGAAGAGGACGCTGGCCTGTAGCTCCGCAGTGACGGTGACCCCAGGCTGTCCTGCAGGACCAGGAACAAAACGAGCCCTAGGACACGAAGAGGACGCTGGCCTGTAGCTCTGCAGTGATGGTCACCCCAGCTTGTCCACGCTGACTTCTCACCTTTCCCAGGACGGTTGGCGCCTTTCATTCTCTGGGGCGAAAACAGTCAGGACATTCATCCAACACTGAGCCGTGTCTCTTCCAGCAGCGATGGCCAAGGCATAGCCTTTGCTATTCAGGGACTGAAAGCAGGGAACTTCCACTGTGTGACAACATTACAAATTTAAACTCTGTACTTAAAAAAAGAAAGCCAGCTGGGCGTGGTGGCTCACGCCTGTAATCCCAGCACTTTGGGAGGCCGAGGCAGGTGAATCACGAGGTCAGGAGATTGAAACCAGCCTGACCAACATGGTGAAACTCTGTCTCTACTACAAATAGAAAAATTAGCTGGGTGTGGTGCTGCGTGCCTGTAATTCCAGCTACCCAGGAGGCTGAGGCAAGAGAATCTCTTGAACCCAGGAGGCGGAGATTGCAGTGAGCTGAGATCATGCCACTGCACTCCAGCCTGGGCAACAGAGCGAGACCCCATCTTCAATAAATAAATAAGTAAAAATAAAAATATTTGTTAACGTTTGTGAATGTATACCACAGCAGCAACAAGCGTGCCTGGCCCCCATGTCTTGGTCTCTGATGCCATTCCCCCAACACAAGGAACCAGGTTCCTGGGAGACACGGCTGACTCCAGGGCTGGGCTGGTGTCTGAGACAGGAAAAAAAAACAGTGTTTTCCCTGCTCTCACACACTCAACAGTCAACATCCAACATGGAATACTTCATCTCTGGTCACCAAAATGTGTGTGGGGATTTTCCCCAAACACCAAGCAAGTCTCCAGTGGACACCTACTAGGCATCCTCCAACCCTGCTCCAGCGAGTCTCCGCAGGCACCCACTGGGTGTCCTCCAACCCTGTTCCATCCAGTCTCCGCGGACACCCGCTGGGCGTCCTCCAACCCGGTTCCATCCAGTCTCCGCGGACACCCGCTGGGCGTCCTCCAACCCTGTTCCATTGTGACGCTTTCTCCCTGGAGACAGTACCCGATCCTGCAGGCTAAGGTCTCAGTCCCACAAGAGTGTCCTCCACTTCAGATGCCAGTCCCAAGTACAGCTGTCCCTTTGTATCCTTGGGGGATGGGATCCAGTACCTCCAAAACACCAGAATCCACAAGGCCAGAGTCCCTGATACAAAATGGCATGTTATTTGCATATAACCCCCTCCTCTGGACTTAAATCACCTCTTGATTACTTATAACACCTGGTATGTAAATTCTATGTAAACAGTTGTTACATAGTATTGCTTTTTAAATTTGTATTATTTGTATTATTATTACTATTATTTTGAGATGGAGTCTCCCTCTGTCACCCAGGCTGAAGTATAGTGGCATGATCTTGGCTCACTGCAATCTCCGCCTCCCAGGTTCAAGCAAGTCTCCTGCCTCAGCCTCTGGAGTAGCTGGGATTACAGTCACATACCACCAGGCCTGGCTAATTTCTGTTATTTTTAGTAGAGACGGGATTTCACCATGTTGGTTGGTCAGGCTGGTCTCAAACTCCTGACTTCAGGTGATCCACCCACCTCCGCCTCCCAACAGTGCTGGATGTACAGGCATGAGCCACTGCGCCTGGCCTTATTTATTGTTTTATTTATTTATTTTTTGTATTTTCTTTTGAGACGGAGTCTTGCTCTGTTGCCCAGGCTGGAGTGCAGTGGCGCGATCTCGGCTCACTGCAAGCTCTGCCTCCCGGGTTCACGCCATTCTCCTGTCTCAGCCTCCCGAGTAGCTGGGACTACCAGCGCCCACTGCCACACCTGGCTAATTTTTTGTATTTTTAGTAGAGACGGGGTTTCACCACGTTGGCCAGGATGGTCTCGATCTCCTGACCTTGTGATCCGCCCGCCTCAGCCTCCCAAAGTGCTGGGATTACAGGCATGAGCCACCGCGCCCGGCCTTTTCTTCTTTTCGAGACTGAGTCTTGCTCTGTCGCCAGGCTACAGTGCAGTGGCACGATCTCGGCTGACTGCAACCTCTGCCTTCCGGGTTCAAGCGATTCTCCTGCCTCAGCCTCCCAAGTAGCTGGGACTACAGGCACCCACCACCACGCCCGGCTAATTTTTGTATTTTTAGTAGAAATGGGGTTTCACCATGTTGGCCTGGCTGGTCTCAAACTCCTGACCTCAGGTGATCTGCCTGCCTCAGCCTCTCAACGTGCTGGGATTACAGGCGTGACCCACCGCGCCGGGCCAGTATTTTTTGTATTTTCAGTCTGAGGTTTGTTGAATACTTGGGTGTGGAACCTGAGGACAGATGACCAAATGTAGCAGGTGTCACCCGCCCTCTGGCCAACCGAGGTTCCCATGGCCCCTCCTCCAGTTTTGTGACTTTGCTGGAGTGGCTCACAGAACTCAGGGAAGCACTTTCCTCATTTTATTATTTATTGATTTACTTTTGGAGATGGGGTTTCATTGTGTTGCCCGGGCTGGAGTGTGACGGCATAATCACAGTTCACTGCACCCTCAACCTCCTGGGATTAAGCAGTCCTCCCACCTCAACCTCCCAAGTAGCTGGGATTACGGATGTGCACCACCACGCCCAACTCATTTTTTTTTTTTTTTTGAGATGGAGTCTCACTCCGTTGCCCAGGCTGGAGTGCAGTGGTGCAATCTCAGCTCACGGCAACCTCGGTCTCCTGGGTTCAAGCGATTCTCCTACCTCAGCCTCCCCAGTAACTGAGATTACAGGCATGTGCCACTACACTTAGCCAATTTTTTTTTTTTTTGAGACAGAGTCTTGCTCTGTTGCCCAGGCTGGAGTGCAGTGGCACTATCTTGGCTCACTGCAAGCTCTGCCTCCCGGGTTCACGCCATTCTCCTGCCTCAGCCTCCTGAGTAGCTGGGACTACAGGCGCCCATCACCACGCCTGGATAATTTTTTGTATTTTTAGTAGAGATGGGGTTTCACTGTGTTAGCCAGGATGGTCTCGATCTCCTGACCTCGTGATCCGCCCACCTTGGCCTCCCAAAGTGCTGGGATTACAGGTGTGAGCCACCGCACCCAGCCAATTGTTTTTTTTTTTTTAAATATAGACAGAGTTTTACCATGTTGGCCAGGCTGGTCTCAAACCCCTGACCTTAAATGATCTACCTGCCTCGGCCTCCCAAAGTGCTGAGATGACAGGCGTGACCTACTGCGCCCAGCCAATTTTCGTATTTTTTGTAGAGATGGGGTCTCACTATGTTGGCCAGGCTGGTCTGGAACTCCTGAGCTCAAGTGATCTGCCTGCCTCAGCCTCCCAAAGCGCTGGGATGACAGGCGTCAGCCACCGAGCTCCGCCAACACTTTATTTATGTTTCCCCATGTGTGACAAAGGACCCAGATGAACAGCAGATAGAGGCAATGCTGTTCATCTGGAGGCCTCTCCAGGGAGCTTCCAGGACCCTCCAAGCATTCCGCCACCTGGAAACCTCCCAACCCTGTCCTTTTGGGTTTTATGGAGACTTCATTACGTAGGCATGACTGATTACATCATTGGTCACTGGTGATCAGCTCAGCCTTCAGCCCCTGTCCCTCCTGGAGGCTGCAAGTGGGGCTAGAAGCTCTGCCCTTCTGATCACATAGTAGCTGCCACCAACCCCCCACCCCAAGGCTGTCCAGGAGCCCACCAGGAGTCGCCTCATTAGAACAAAAGACGCTCCTGTCACCCAGGAAATTCAAGGGGATTGGGAGCCCCATGTCAGATGATCCTATGGGTTAGGAGATTATAAAGGTTTTAGGAGCTCTATGTCAGGAACCGGGGTCAAAGACCAAATACCACAATAAAAGACTCCTCCTGCCTCTGTCTGAAAGGGTCTTAGAAGTTCTGTCTCAGAAACCCAGGGCAGAGATTCAGTAGGCATTTCTTTTTCTTTTTCTTTCTTTTTTTTTTTTGAGGAGTCTCGCTCTGTTGCGATCTCAGCTCACTGCAAGCTCCGCCTCCCAGGTTCACGCCATTCTCCCACCTCAGCCTCCCGAGGAGCTGGGAGCTGCCCTACAGGTGCGTGCCACCATGCCCAGCTAATTTTGTTTTTGTATTTTTAGTAGAGACGGGGTTTCACTGTGTTAGCCAGGACGGTCTCAATTTCTCCTGACCTTGTGATCCGTCTTCCTCGGCCTCCCAAAGTGTTGGGATTACAAGTGTGAGCCACTGCGTCCGGCCCTTTTTTTTTTGAGACGGAATCTAGCTCTGTCACCCAGGCTGGAGTGCAATGGCGTGATTTCGGCTCACTGCAACCTCTGCCTCCTGAGTTCAAGCGATTCTTCTGCCTCAGCCTCCTGAGTAGCTGGGACTACAGGCACGTGCCACCACACCTGGCTAATTTTTTTGTATTTTTAGTAGAGATGGGGTTTCACCATGTTAGCCAGGATGGTCTGTATCTCCTGACCTCGTGATCCATCCACCTCAGCCCCTCCCAAAGTGCTCGGATTGCAGGTGTGAGCCACCGCGCCCGGCTGGATTTAAGTTTTTCTAACTAAAAAGTCCAGGAAATACATACAAGGATATACCAGAAGATGTTCAAAGTGGTTGAATCCAGGTGATGGAATTACAGGCAATTTTTCTTTCTCTTTTTAGTAACAAAGCTGGGCGAGGTGGCTAACGCCTGTAATCCCAGCACTTTGGGAGGCTGAGGCGGGCGGATCACGAGGTCAGGAGATCGAGACCATCCTGGCTAACATGGTGAAACCCCGTGTCTACTAAAAATACAAAAAATTAGCCAGGCGTGGTGGCGGGCACCTGTAGTCCCAGCTACTCAAGAGGCTGAGGCAGGAGAATGGCGTGAACCTGGGAGGCAGAGCTTGCAGTGAGCCGAGATTGCGCCATTGCACTCCAACCTGGGCAACAGAGCGAGACTCTGTCTCAAAAAAAAAAAAAGAAAAAAAGAAAAAAAAATTAGTAAGAAATCATTTTTTCCGGCCGGGCACAGTGGCTCATGCCTGTAATCCCAGCACTTTGGGAGGCCGAGGCAGGTGGATCACGAGGTCAGGATATCGAGACCATCCTGGCTAACATGGTAAAACTCCGTTTCTACTAAAAATCCTAAAAATTAGCCGGGCGTGGTGGCAGGTGCCTGTAGTCCCAGGTACTCGGGAGGTTGAGGCAGGAGAATGGCGTGAACCTGGGAGGCGGAGCTTGCAGTGAGCAGAGATCACGCCACTGTACTCCAGCCTGAGCAACACAGCAAGACTCCGTCTCAAAAAAAAAAAAAGATATCATTTTTTTCCTTTTTAAAAACATTTCATATTTTAGCTTAAAAATGGAAGAGGTGGAAGTGAGTGCAAGTGGTTAAATAAATAAATAAGTAAATAAATAAAAAGGCTGAGGCAGGAGGATCACTTGAGCCTGGGAGGTCGAGGCTGCAGTGAGCTGTGATCTCACCACTGCATTCCAACCTGAGCGACAAAGCTAGACCCTATCTCGAAAAAAAAGAGGGGCCGGACCTAGTGGCTCACGCCTATAATCCCAGCACTTTGGGAGGCCGAGGCAGGCGGATCATGAGGTCAAGAGATCAAGACCAGCCTGGCCAACATGGTGAAACCCGGTCTCTATTAAAAATACAAAAAAATTAGCCAGGCATGGTGGCTCACGCCTGTAATCTCAGCTACTTGGGAGGCTGAGGCAGGATAATTGCTTGAACCTGGGAGCCGAGATCGCGCCATTGCACTCCAGCCTGGGTGACAGAGCGAGGCTCCATCTCAAAAAAAAAGGGAAGAGTTGAGTGTTTTTCTAGGTGTTTAATGTGAAGGACAAGTGAAAAGCCCCAGAATGGCCCCTGCAAACAGTAACAGTAACTAACAGTCAAATGTCTCTGCCCCAGGCAGGTTAGGGACGAGACAGAATGAGGGTGGGGAGCGGGGCTCGGGGAGCAGAGGCCACGGTCTCCATGCTCTGCTCCTCTGGCCGCAGCAGAACCCTGTGAACCCCAGGCAATGACAGCAGGATCCTGAAGCCCATGCAGGCTCTGAACCACGCGGCCATCCAGAAGGGGTGAGATAAATGTTGGGGAAACCATCCCCGACCCCCGCGAGCCCCAGGAGCCCAGGCTGCCGCCTCCTGCCTCCTACACCCCTCCCCCGCACAGCTGGCCCTGGAGGCTGCTGGAGCTGGGGTTACCCCGTGGGGACCCTCATGCTCTTTGCTCCCCTCCTTCTCCCTCCCCCTCCCCCACAAGCGTGAAACCAACTGACCGGATTGACAGATGCAGGTGCGCGGGAGGCGGAGGTGGGGGTGGTGCCAGCAGCCAATGGGTTAATGGTCCCGGCAGGGGCTCCACAGGGGACCAGGGGTCAGATGTCTCTCTAAGATGGGGACAGGCACGCAAGCTGCTATTCCGGGGCTCTGATCACGGCTGTCTATTTATAGCGCTGGGGGGAGCCGCCTCACATAGACAGCAGAGAGGCTGCCCTGCTGCAATGTCACCGTCGTCACTGCCTCTGCAGGCTGCAGGCACCTGCCACTACCGCAGAGGACTGAGGGGCCTTGGCCCAGCAGGGACCCCAGGGCCTTGGGGGACTGTGTGAGCTGGAAACGTGGCTGGCCAGATGGGCAGCACCATGGAGCCCCCTGGGGGTGCGTACCTGCACCTGGGCGCCGTGACATCCCCTGTGGGCACAGCCCGCGTGCTGCAGCTGGCCTTTGGCTGCACTACCTTCAGCCTGGTGGCCCACCGGGGTGGCTTTGCGGGCGTCCAGGGCACCTTCTGCATGGCCGCCTGGGGCTTCTGCTTCGCCGTCTCTGCGCTGGTGGTGGCCTGTGAGTTCACACGGCTCCACGGCTGCCTGCGGCTCTCCTGGGGCAACTTCACCGCCGCCTTCGCCATGCTGGCCACCCTGCTATGCGCGACGGCTGCGGTCCTGTATCCGCTGTACTTTGCCCGGCGGGAGTGTTCCCCCGAGCCCGCCGGCTGTGCTGCCAGGGACTTCCGCCTGGCAGCCAGTGTCTTCGCCGGGCTCCTCTTCCTGGCCTACGCTGTGGAGGTGGCCCTGACGCGGGCCCGGCCCGGCCAGGTGAGCAGCTATATGGCCACGGTGTCGGGGCTCCTCAAGATCGTCCAGGCCTTCGTGGCCTGCATCATCTTCGGGGCGCTGGTCCATGACAGCCGCTACGGGCGCTACGTGGCCACCCAGTGGTGCGTGGCCGTCTACAGCCTGTGCTTCCTGGCCACAGTGGCCGTGGTGGCCCTGAGTGTGATGGGCCACACAGGGGGCCTGGGCTGCCCCTTTGACCGGCTGGTGGTGGTGTACACCTTCCTGGCTGTGCTCCTGTACCTCAGCGCCGCCGTGATCTGGCCAGTCTTCTGTTTCGATCCCAAGTACGGTGAGCCCAAACGGCCCCCCAACTGTGCTCGGGGCAGCTGTCCCTGGGACAGCCAGCTGGTGGTGGCCATCTTCACCTACGTCAACCTGCTCCTGTACGTCGTTGACCTCGCCTACTCCCAGAGGATTCGCTTCGTGCCCAGCCTGTAGCCCACAGTGGCAGCCCACCCACCTCTGCTCTCTGGCCACCAGCTCCAGGCTCTGCGAGGGAAACTCAGGTGAACCAAAGTGTCAAGTAGCGAGCAGGAGGGAAGCCGCGGGCTCAGGGGAGATGAAGTACAACGGGAGAGGTCACTCCCCGACTTCCAGACTGGGCTCAGAGGGACAAGGGCAGGACAGTAGGGCAGAGGCCCTGAGCAGACGCAGGGGAGAGCCTCACCTAGGCCAATCCCCAACTCACTCTCTCTCACCATTTCCCAGCGCTCCTGGGGCTCAGTGCTGGTCACTGGAACATCATAAGGGAAAACTTTAAAGCAGCTGCTGTTGTGACCCATTTTGCAGCTGGGGACATGGAGGCTAGAAGCATTTGCGAGGCACCCAGTACCTCCATTAGTGTCTGGAGACCACAGTCAGGCTGGGTAAGGCAAGCTGAAAGAGGAATGACTTCCAGAGGAGACGAACCCAGGAGAGTAGCTGGGCCAGGCAAGGGGAGGGAGGGGCGTGGGGAGCCGGAACCACTCCTGGTTCAGAGAGGCAGCTCCCAGAACCCTGGGAAGAGAGCCCTGCCTGGGGAGCTGTGCCAGCTCACAGAGAAGGAGCCAGAAATCTGGACCAGCCTCTCCCACCCACGTCCGGGAAGCCTCTGGGCTGGTAGCCACAGTGTTTGGAAGCAGGCTTCCTCCGGAGTCTCCGCAGGCTGGAGGTGGCGCGGGTGGCCTGGAAGAGCCTGCAGAGCCCGGCGGCACCGAGTGCACAGTGGACGGGGAGGACCTGGTTCCGCCATAGCCACGGAGCCCCACCTGGACACTCACCATTGGCTGTGACGAAGCAGCTTCAGCAGTGCCCGGCGGGCATCTGTGCACTGTGGGCATCTGTGGCACTGGGAGGGAGCCCGGCTGAGGGCGGCCGCTGGACACAGAATCTGGGTACTGCTTGCCTCTGCTCAAGGGTCCAGTTGCCGAAACTCCTGACGCCGGGGCCATCATCCTCCAGGCTCCAGCCAGCTTCTCCTGCACAGAAGCCCAGCCTGGTCCAGCCAGGAGCTGACCCACTGGCCACCCCTGAGTCCAAGCCGGGTGGGCAGTGGCACAACAGCCCCTCAGCCCATTGACTGGGCCCCATTGACGTCCTTGAGCAGGAAATAAATGCTGACATTTATACGTACCCTGCCTCTGGACCAGCAGTCTCTTCTGAGGGGACTGTGGGCACTTGCCCCTCCTGGCGGCCCCTCCTAGCGTGCTCTGGGGGAAGGCTGAGGAAGGAAGTGGCCTGGGATCACAGTCAGGGCAGGCTGGGCTCCTGAGGGTCTGAGCAGCCTCCTGGGGAAGGGGCAGGCAGCGTCTTCTGCCTCACAGGGGTGACAGGCCAGCCTGGCTCCGACGGGCCTGTGGCTCATGCCCGTCCCTCCCAGAGGCCCGCAGCACTCACCTCCTCCCCCACGCCCATCTGGGGGTCTCGAGAGGCCCTGGACACAGCGATGGACAGACGCACTGTTGCTCCTTTTAGACGGCGGTCCCCACAGCCAGGCCTGTGCTGCTGCCATGAAGAATGTGAGGAAGGGGCCTCACTGGCCGCTGAGGAGGGGTCTCGCTCACGTTAGCCAACAAACAGGGTCCGGCCGACATCCTTTACTCAGAGGGGGTGGGTGTTTTGGGGTCAATGGCAGATCCCAGATGAGGGCAGTCAGCTGTTCAGGGCCTGCCGCTGGCTGAGGGCGATACAGAGGGGGCATAGGGATCACCTGCTTCCTGACTCAGGGGAGACCTGGGCACCAGTCTTGGAGAGGACCCAGCCTCCTTCTCTCCTTTTTTTCATGTGGCCAGAATTCTGAAACGAGTTAATTGTCACCAACTTCCCAATTTCCTCCCTGTCCGGTGGTCCTCTGCCACCTTCGCAAAGGTCCTGAGGGACAGAAAGGAAGGGGAGGGGACCCAGGGCTGGGAGACTTCCTTCAGAGTCAGTCCTTTTGACAGTGTATCCCTGGCCCAGAGGGCTGTCCATTTTGGGTTTTTGGGTTTTTAGGTAAAAGTGTTACTTGCTGTTATCACTTGGGGAAAAGTGATTTTGTAACAGCCTGGGGAGCTTGGCTCTCAAAGCGCCTAGGCGATGCTAGCCTCCGTGCCCCAGGTTTGAGCTGTCCATCTGGACAAGCTCTTCCCATGGCCACCACAGAGCAGCCTCCCAGTGTTGGTGGTGGTCATTACGTGTTCACGGTGGGGGGACCAGGTAGACAGATAGCCAGAACGCGTGGCCCTGCCGCTGTGGCAGAAGCATCCCAGGCCTTCTGAAATGATGTGCTAGAATAGCCTGTCATCATCTAAGATACAGCACAGAAAAAATAAGGCAGCTCCTCTCACCCCTTGGCAGGGGAATGGGCTGCCAGTGATCCCTTCTGACTTCGCCCTTAATCTTGGCCACCGACAGGGACCCTGACTATCCAGAGCCCCAGATGCAGGCCCGAATCAGATGAACTCTGAGCATGTCCTCAGGGGGAAGTGACTGGAGCTTCACTCCCCCTAAAACCCAGGCAGGCGAGAGGTTTGGGTATTGGAGGATGCTCCGGGCTGCGTGGGAGTGGGGGCATGATGGGGTGGGCTTCCTTCGTTTGCTTAGTGGAGCACCGCTGCGTGCCCAGTTAGAGGAACACCTGTGGCCGCACTGTCATGCCTCTTTCTTTTCTTTTCTTCTTTTCTTCCTTTCTTTCTCTCTCTCTTTTTTTCAGATGGAGTCTCGCTCTTGTTGCCCAGGCTGGAGTGCAGTGGCGCAATCCCGGCTCACTGCAACCTCCACCTCCAGGGTTCAAGCGATTCTCCTGCCTCAGCTTCTCGAGTAGCTGGAATTACAGGCACCTGTCACCACGCCCGGTTAATTTTTTGTATTTTTAGTAGAGACGGGGGTTTCACCATGTTGGTCAGGCTGGTCTCGAACTCCTGACCTCAGGTGATCCGCCCGCCTCGGCCTCCCAAAGTGCTGGGATTACAGGCGTGAGCCACCGCGCCCGGCCCAAATGGTGATATATTTAAAATGCTTCCACTTGGCAAATTATTTTCAACTCTGCCCCCAAGGGAAAAAAAAAAAGGAAAGAAAACGCTGTACAGCCGGGCTTCTCCAAACTCGATGACAGTAGAAGGGACTGATTCCCAGAGAGAGCCGGCCGCGCGCCCAGGGACGCCAGCTGGACGCGTCCGTGTCCGGGTGGCCCAAGACAAAGCCCTGCGTGGAGGGCCCCTCACAGGCCCCAATCGGGCCGCCCCCTCCGCCCGCGTCCTCGGACCCCACGTGTAGGTCCCGGGAAGCGCGACCAGGAGGAGCGCGGGTCAGGGGACCGCGTGCCGGAGAGGGTGTCTATCCGGGGGCCGGGGGATCCCGGGGCGCGAGAGAGGCGAGGGCCGGCGGTCGGCGTGGGAGGGGCGCGCAGATGATGCAACCGCTCTGGCGCCGCCGCGCGCTCTGATTGGCCAGCGCCTGGCGGCCGCGCCCGGATTCGCTGGCGCGACGGGGGCGGGGCCTGGGTGCGGGTGCCGCGTGGCGGCCGCAGCGCTGAGGGGTGGGTACGACCCGCGCACGGTAGCTGGGTTGGGGTCGGGCTCCGGGAATGGTGGGCGGCGGTCGCCGGGTGGGGCGCGACGGTAGCCCAGTTCTGGGCGGGGTGGGAACCCAGACGGGGGACCCCTAGGCGCCGGGCCCTCCCTCTCCCCGTACTTTTCCCCCTTCCCAGTCATTTCTTCTGCGGAACCTCCACCCCTCCAGTGGGTGCGGGACCCTAGGCAGCAGGCCAGGCACCGCCGCTCTGACTGGGGGCCCCGAAGCAGTTAACGGGCCGGACAGCAAAGTGGAAAGTTAGACCAGCTGGGACCAGGGGAGGTGGGCACCCGGCTGCGGGAGGAGCGGCCAGGCTGGCACTGCCCCCCTAACTTGCTCTCGATCCTGCCGGTCTCGTCCCGCAGAGCCGGTGCCATCTGTGGGGGCTTTGGGCCAGGGGTCTCCGGACAGCATGAGCGTGGGCTTCATCGGCGCTGGCCAGCTGGCTTTTGCCCTGGCCAAGGGCTTCACAGCAGCAGGTAGGCCCCCAGGTGGGGGACGGTGAGGCCCAGTGGGAGAGACTGGCCTCTTTCCACTTCTGCAGGGCTGGGGGCTGAAGGTGGGTGCTGGGTCACAAGGCCTGAGTCCTGCGGGAACTGGCAACTTCTGTGTGTTTGGGGCTTTACCTGTGCTGTCTCACTCTTCTTCCTGGGAATGGGGAGGGAGGGAAGCCAAAGCTAGCCATGAAGAGGAACTGTTTCCGGCCGGGCGCGGTGGCTCACGCCTGTAATCCCAGCACTTTGGGAGGCCGAGGCGGGCGGATCACGAGGTCAGGAGATCGAGACCATCCTGGCTAACACAGTGAAACCCCGTCTCTACTAAAAATACCAAAAATTAGCCGGGTGTGGTGGCGGGCGCCTGTAGTCCCAGCTACTCGGGAGGCTGAGGCAGGAGCATGGCGTGAACCCGGGAGGTGGAGCTTGCAGTGAGCCGAGATTGCGCCACTGCACTCCAGCCTGGGCAACACAGCGAGACTCCGTCTCAAAAAAAAAAAAATAATAAAGAACTGAAGAGGAACTGTTTCTCCCCTCAGGCGTCTTGGCTGCCCACAAGATAATGGCTAGCTCCCCAGACATGGACCTGGCCACAGTTTCTGCTCTCAGGGTAGGTGCAGATGAAAGGGAGAAAGGAGACTGAGTCCCTGTGGGGCTGGGTGTGAGAGGCAGGAGTGTGTGCTGTAGCCCCCACCCCAGTGAGGGCAGGGGCCCTGGGCTGGGGTCTCATGGACCCCACCTCCTCGCCCTGCTGATTGCTCTTGGGACCTGGGTGGTGGGCGTGTGTACAGCTGATAGGAGGGTGTTGTTCTGGAATGGAGTTCCCTGCACAGGGTTAAAGTTTCGAGGGGTCCTCTGGGGGCCTGGCAGGTGGGGCCACAGCCTGGCAGCCAAGGAACACACCTGGGGGCTGCTTGAGACCACCACTCCCACGTGGAGAGCCCGGTCTGGAGGACGGCAGTCCCAGGCTGGGGGCAGATTGGTGGCATGGATGGAGGGTCCTTTTCTGTCTGCAGCAGGGACATATTCCACACAGAGTTCTTCCTCCATTTCTGGGTGGGAAGGGTCATCAAGGGGGTGGTCAGAGCCCTGAGCCCCCAGCCCTGCCCACCCCCAACTCCAGCATTCTCTGTGCCATTCTACCTGTGGGGCTCTTGGCTTGGTGGGGGTACAGACAGCCACGGGACCAGGCTGAGCCCACCTGTTGCCCCTGCAGAAGATGGGGGTGAAGTTGACACCCCACAACAAGGAGACGGTGCAGCACAGTGATGTGCTCTTCCTGGCTGTGAAGCCACACATCATCCCCTTCATCCTGGATGAAATAGGCGCCGACATTGAGGACAGACACATTGTGGTGTCCTGCGCGGCCGGCGTCACCATCAGCTCCATTGAGAAGGTAGCACCGCAGGCCCAGTGGGGTGTGGAGAGGGGCTGTCTAGAGCCCGGGCCCTCAGTACTTCAGTTTTCATCTGCAAAAGGGTTGCAGCGTCCCGGCCCACTGGGAGAGCTCGGGCACTGCTTGGTGGGGTGAGTGCATCTAGGCACTGCGTCCATGGCCAGACGGACACGCTGGTTTCTCTTCCAGAAGCTGTCAGCGTTTCGGCCAGCCCCCAGGGTCATCCGCTGCATGACCAACACTCCAGTCGTGGTGCGGGAGGGGGCCACCGTGTATGCCACAGGCACGCACGCCCAGGTGGAGGACGGGAGGCTCATGGAGCAGCTGCTGAGCAGCGTGGGCTTCTGCACGGAGGTGGAAGAGGACCTGATTGATGCCGTCACGGGGCTCAGTGGCAGCGGCCCCGCCTACGTAAGGACTGCGGGGGAAGCTGGCGGCGGCGGGCACTTCCCGGGACCACCGGGCACATCTGTCCCTGCTCCCCCTGGGAGGGCCAGGGTGGAGGGCTCCAAGGCTGTGGGAACTGGAGCTTGCCCAGAAGGGAAGGAGGAGAAGCCCAGGAGAGAGGCTCAGGGTGCCTTCTCCCCACAGGCATTCACAGCCCTGGATGCCCTGGCTGATGGGGGTGTGAAGATGGGACTTCCAAGGCGCCTGGCAGTCCGCCTCGGGGCCCAGGCCCTCCTGGTCAGTGTGTTTCCTGACCCTCTGGTGGGGCCACTCTTTGCGGGGCCCTGGGGCTTCACTGGGAGGAGCCAAGTGGGGCGTCAGTGTGTGCTACAGTGGCTGGGGCAGTGCCCCGCAGAGGCAGGTGCGTGCCCACAGCCGTCAGCCTTTCTTCTGGCTGCAGGGGGCTGCCAAGATGCTGCTGCACTCAGAACAGCACCCAGGCCAGCTCAAGGACAACGTCAGCTCTCCTGGTGGGGCCACCATCCATGCCTTGCATGTGCTGGAGAGTGGGGGCTTCCGCTCCCTGCTCATCAACGCTGTGGAGGCCTCCTGCATCCGCACACGGTGGGCCCCCGCGCTGCCCGCTTCCCTGGTCTCCAGTCCTTGCATGGCAGAGGCCTCTCTCACACACATCTGCTCATTCACGCACTCAGCAGATACGTATTGAGCTCCAGCCCAGTGTTGCGCAGGACACAGGGGGCCCCGAGGTTCCCTGGGTTACTGTGGGCAGTGCCCCTCCCCACCTTCCGTTTCCTGCGAGGAGGGAACATCCATAGAGGGACCCGGATGCTGTGCCCTGTGCTCCCCACATAGGTTCACCATTGTCATAGCTAGGAGTGTCATTTGAGCCAGGGGCCACACCAGTGGGGTGGCGGGGTGGCCAGCCACATTAGGAAACTTCTGTGGGGGCCCACCTTCCTCCTGCCCTCGCTGTGGGATTAAGTTAGACCAGTAGGACACGCAGCAACATCCAGGCACAAGGAAAATTCCATGGAAGGTGAAAGAAGCAAAGAGCAAGAGAAAGACAGAGTTTGCTGTTTGCCTGGGATCCCACAGCTGGTCAAAGGCAGAGCCAGGCTGGGAGCCGCTGTCCCCAGTTCAGGTCTGCAGGGTGGGTGAGGACGTCTTTCTCGCCACACTGCCCACTCTCCAGTCCAGACACCCTCAGACTCTGCGAGTGCCACCCTGTAACAGTGAGGGGAACACGAGGGGCCTGGCCTCACCTCCAGCCTGCAGGGGAGACAGGTGTAAACCCACATCCCGTGGTGGGGCCACGAGAACTCAGGTCTGGGGGGCACTGCGGGGAGATTTGGTGATGCTGAGCTGATTCGAATGAGGTGAGAAGGAGCCCAGCAGCTGTGTGGGGGCGTGTCGCTGGCAGAGGGGAATAAAGGTGCTGAGGTGAGGGTGACAGCATCGCCCAGGGCTGACTGGCACTGGGAGCTGTGGGCTTCACTCCCTCTTCCTGGGTGCACGCTTGTGCTCCAAAGCCAACCTCTCCCTGCCTCTCTAGGGAGCTGCAGTCCATGGCTGACCAGGAGCAGGTGTCACCAGCCGCCATCAAGAAGACCATCCTGGACAAGGTGAAGCTGGACTCCCCTGCAGGGACCGCTCTGTCACCTTCTGGCCACACCAAGCTGCTCCCCCGCAGCCTGGCCCCAGCGGGCAAGGATTGACACGTCCTGCCTGACCACCATCCTGCCACCACCTTCTCTTCTCTTGTCACTAGGGGGACTAGGGGGTCCCCAAAGTGGCCCACTTTCTGTGGCTCTGATCAGCGCAGGGGCCAGCCAGGGACATAGCCAGGGAGGGGCCACATCACTTCCCACTGGAAATCTCTGTGGTCTGCAAGTGCTTCCCAGCCCAGAACAGGGGTGGATTCCCCAACCTCAACCTCCTTTCTTCTCTGCTCCCAAACCATGTCAGGACCACCTTCCTCTAGAGCTCGGGAGCCCGGAGGGTCTTCACCCACTCCTACTCCAGTATCAGCTGGCACGGGCTCCTTCCTGAGAGCAAAGGTCAAGGACCCCCTCTGTGAAGGCTCAGCAGAGGTGGGATCCCACGCCCCCTCCCGGCCCCTCCCTGCCCTCCATTCAGGGAGAAACCTCTCCTTCCCGTGTGAGAAGGGCCAGAGGGTCCAGGCATCCCAAGTCCAGCGTGAAGGGCCACAGCCCCTCTTGGCTGCCAAGCACGCAGATCCCATGGACATTTGGGGAAAGGGCTCCTTGGGCTGCTGGTGAACTTCTGTGGCCACCACCTCCTGCTCCTGACCTCCCTGGGAGGGTGCTATCAGTTCTGTCCTGGCCCTTTCAGTTTTATAAGTTGGTTTCCAGCCCCCAGTGTCCTGACTTCTGTCTGCCACATGAGGAGGGAGGCCCTGCCTGTGTGGGAGGGTGGTTACTGTGGGTGGAATAGTGGAGGCCTTCAACTGATTAGACAAGGCCCGCCCACATCTTGGAGGGCATCTGCCTTACTGATTAAAATGTCAATGTAATCTAATGCAAAAGTCTACAGATTCAAATGTTAGTCTCATGCAACCCCTCCCCACCCCTGCCAGAAACAGAATAATGTTTGACCAAACACTCAGGCACCCTGTAGCCCAGTCAAGTGGACACATACAATCACCCATTCCAGGAGGCCCACAGGATTGGAGGAGCTGCTGAGGGTTGGGTTACAAGGGCCAGGGGTGCTCTGGTTCCTTCAACCAACACATAGTTACTGAGTATGGAGACAGCAAGATGAGGCCCCCTTCCCTCCAGAGGCAGTGCACACTGTGTGAGGGGAGCTGGGCTGGGTAGCAGCAGGGTGTCAGGGTGTGCAGGGGGGTCCCAGGTGCGCCAGGAGTCAGGGTATGCAGGGGGCTCCAGGGTGTGCAGGGGTTAGGAGAGCTGAGCAACTTTCTGGAACTTATCCCGGGAACTCATTTCCAGAGACCCCATAGGCTCACTGCAGAACCATGCTTGGTATATATGGGGCGTGTAGAGGGCGCTTGGGGAACAGAATCCTGCGTTTCCCCCGAGGGAGGGAAGACATGCAGGGGAACAGGGAGGAAACGCTGCGGCAGGGCAGATGGCATGGGTACATCCTCCACCGCCACTCTCCCCCTGGCAAGAGTCCTGGCCACTCCCCATAAAACGAGTACCCACCACACCCAGGCACAAAGGGGACGGTAGGTGGGGTGAGTCCCTGCTGTCTGGCTGAGATCTGGCAGTGCAGGAGCTAAGCGGGGGACACAGATGGACGGTGCTGGGCCGGGAGTCCCTGCAGGCTCCCCTGAAGGCCCCCTCCTGTATGGGTGGATGTGGGCATCAGGGCGGGTGGGGAATGCCCTTGTGTCAGGGCTGTGAGCAATAGAATAACCCCCTGCCCCAGCAAAGCGCCTGGCAGTGCTGGGAGACCCTGGCAACTCCTCCCACCTGGGCAGAGGTGCCCCCAGAAGAGATTGTCCCACAGGCCACACGCCTGTCCCAGGACCAAAGCTGCCCCGACCATTCCCCTCAAAGCCAGTTTCCCTGCTAGCGCCCATTCTCAGGTGCTGACGCAGAGCAAGACGAGGGGCGCGGGGCTGCCAAAGGTGCTTCTGGTCCGGGGACACAAGGGAAGCCAGCAGGCGACGCGGGTTTCAAGTGAGGCAGACTGGTCTTGGGCTCCAGAGGAAGCACAGGGAGGTGAGGAGGTGTGTGGGGGGCTGCAGACGGGCTTTGCAAGGAGGCGTTTGCTTCAGCAGGCGGGCCCTAGGAGCTTTCCCACTGTGGGTTCCTGATTAAGCAGAGGCCAGAGGCAGGTAGAGCCAGAGTCCACAGGAGGCTCCTGACGTGCGTGAGAAGTCTGGGGAGGTAGGTGAGGCAGGCTGTGGGGAGGTGGACACCCAGGAAGCCACAGAGCGTGAGGACGGGCCCACCCCAAGTAGCAACATGTTTTATGTGGGCCTCAGCAGGTCAAGGAGGGAGATGGTGCCGGGGGCCAAGGACCCAAGGATCCTGCCAAGAAGCGTCGAAACGCTGCCAGGCAGAGGAACCCTACAGGGGGCCCCTGGGGGCTGGCCAGATGGTGCTTTCCCTGCTCCTGTCACCAGCAGCTCTGACACCTCTCAGTCCT
The DNA here is from genome assembly GCF_000001405.40 of Homo sapiens. Lineage (NCBI taxonomy): Eukaryota > Metazoa > Chordata > Mammalia > Primates > Hominidae > Homo > Homo sapiens. The sequence goes on along the minus strand of NC_000017.11, from coordinate 81,930,791 downwards.
GGAAAGCCCCCTCCAAAAATGAAGCGGTTTGGAGTGAGTCCCCAGCAGGCCAGGTGGGCCCTGGAGGAGGAGCTGCCCGCCTCTGCTTGGCTCAGCTTCTGCCCCCATTTATTTTTCATTTTCCTTTTTTTTTAGAGAGGTTCTCTGTCGCCCAGGCTGGAGTGCAGTGGTATGATCACAGCTCACTGCAGCCTGCAACCCCTGGGCACAAGCAATCCTCCCACGTCAGCCTCCTGAATAGCTGGGACAACAGGTGTGCACCACCATGCCCAGCTTTTTTTTTTTTTTTTTCTTGTAGCGATAGGGTCTCTATGTTACCAATGCTGGTCTCAAACTCCCGGGCTCAAGCGATTCTCCCACTGCCTCCCAAAGTGCTGGGATTATAGGCTTGAGACACTGCACCCGGCCTGCCGCAGTTTCTTGGTTGGAATTGCCCTGACTCCAGCTTGCCAGCTGGGGCCCTTGCCCTGCCCAATTCTGCCACGCCTCTTCAGTGCCCGGCTGACCCCTGTCCATGGTACTTGTGCAGGACAGGCTCAGACTCTGGAACCAGTGGGTCAGCAGCCCCTGGCCAGGCAGAGATGGGCAATGTCCACCCTGGGAGGGCCCTGCCTGGAGACCAGGGAGAGCAGGGCTGGACTGGACCCGTCTGGGTGTGGACGCTAGCACCTCCCTCCCGGCAGCATCTGGCTGAGATCTGCTGCTCTCAGGAGGAACCGATGGGGTCTTAAGGTCAGTCCCACAGAAGCTGCAGCCTGGGGCGGGAGGATGCCGGGGAAGTGCCTGCGGGGCTCAGTCCCACAGAAGGTGCAGCCTGGGGCGGGAGGATGCCGGGGAGGTGCCTGCGGGGCTCAGTCCCACAGAAGCTGCAGCCTGGGGCGGGAGGGTGCCCGGGAGGTGCCTGCGGGGGCCAGTCCCACAGAAGGTGCAGCCTGGGGCGGGAGGATGCCCGGGAGGTGCCTGCGGGAGGAGGCATCCAGCTGTGACGGGAAGTGAGCTCCTGGAGGTGCAGAGAAGTCCAAACAGGGAGCCAGGCCTCAAGGCCGCACTTAAAGCCGGTCGTGGAGATGAGTGTGCGGAGTGAGAGGGATGCTTGGAAACCTGTGGGCCTCTCTCGCAGTATCCCTCTCAGTACAGTAGCCTTTCGCGGTTCTGGTGGCCTCATGGTTTGGCCCAAGCATGGCTGCACCACTGTGTCCAGGGACAAGTGTCCTGGGCTCTCCGTGGGGAGCTGGCCAGGAGCCGCTGGGGAGGTGAGGAGATCTTCGTGCAGAGCCAGTGCCAGCCCTCACTGACCACGGAACACCTTCAGCTCTCTAGGAGGACAGGGAGACAGGTCCTAGGGGTTTGGCTTGGGCTGTTTCCACGTGGCACCTCCCCTCCCTCGATACTCTTTCTACAAGCCACCGTATGCTACTCTGCAGGTGCCTGGGACCCCACCCACCCCAAGAAGATTCTGGGGTGAGGGGCAGCAAAGGAGCCTGGGCAGCTCCCTGAGTGTCCTCCCCAGCCCGTCCTGCCCATCTCTATGACAGTGCCCAGGGAGGGGAGGACTGAGGCTCCTTCCCAGGAGAAGACAGCACCGCAGTGAGGACGATTCATAAATCCGTTCCAAATTCGCGCGGAGGTGCAAATGAGAGCGGGCTCGACCCTGTGAGGAGGAGTTGGGGTGTGGGAGTGAGTGGGGACAGCCTGGTGAGCGTCTGCCCGCGGGGTGGGGGCTGCCAGCCCCAGGGCCAATCACCCCTGGCTCCTGACGGCACCGTGGCTCCAGCTCCCGCTGTGTGGCACGGAGGGCGGGTCCTGAGGAGACTCGGGGGCCCGCCAGGTCCCCGCTGTGTGGACCTAGCCCTCACCGCCCAGCAATGCACGACTTCACCCTCCCGCGGAGCAGGATGCCCAGCGGCTCAGGGCGCCCTCCCCTCGCCAGCCCAGTGTGGTGTGGTAGGATGAGGACGCGAGCAGGGAGGAGAGGCAGGAGACGGAGCTGCACTCCTGGCCTCAGGGCCCCGTGTGCTGTTTTGTACACTAAGGTTGAGGCCTCGGAAGCCACGCCAGGACCATATCATGCCCCTAGAGCCTGTGAGACTCGGGCTGTGTCCAGAGCAGGGGGAGCAGGTCCCCGACGACTAAGGACACCACCGTAAGAACCACACGCAGCCCCACAGCGCACACGGCGACAACGTGCTGTGGGGCTCGGAGGAGTTCCTGGGGTCTGGCAGGGACAGGCGGAGGGACGCTTCTGAGCCTTACACCTCACGGCTTCGGGACTTTGGGGCCGGCCTGTTCATGGACGGAGCCCAGGAGGACCCCACAGCCCGTCCCCGCCCCTTCCTCCCCGCTCACCTGCTGGCGGGGCGGCCACCCTTCCCCTCCCAGGATTCACAGCTGCGAAGGGAAGAGGGTGGAGGAGAAAGTCCAGACACGGGATCCCCCGTTTATCTTCCTCCCGAGTCCTCGCCCCCTACCGCTGGGCATCTCCAACAAGCAGCGAAGTCTCCCCCGGGCGGAGCTCTGGGTACACGTGGCGCAGGAAGGGCCTGGGCAGCTCGGGGTCTGCTGCGCGGGCGGGGATCGCCCCTCGCTGCTGGGAGCTGCCAGGCCGTCCCCGCCCCGCGCCGCTCCGGGACCCCCGAGTTGGAATCGCGGGGCCCCGGCGGCGCCGTCCTGACGCAAGAGCGCCTCTGCCTGGCAGGGCCCAGGCCGGCACTCGAGGGGGCGCACGCAGAGCCTGCCCTAGGCTGAGCACTCGAGCTGGAAAACGCCGCCGGCGTCCGCGAGCTTGGACAGGGGCCCTGGACGGCGGGCGCAGGAGCCAGGCGAGGCAGGCTCCGGCTGCAGGACGCCGGGGGCTGGGGGTGGAGACCTGGCGCTTTGGCCGTGCGCCCAGGCCCGCCCGTGAGACCCCGCCAGGCGCTAGAGCAGCCAGTGTTGCCAGGGACGACGGCGCGCGGGTTGCGCATGCGCAGTTTGCCCTCCCGCCGCCGCGCCTTCCCCTTTAAGCGCCGGCCGGCCGCGTCGCCGCTTCATGAATGGAGCCCACGTGACCAAACATCATGTGACGTCTGTGGAGCGGCGGCGGCGGCGGCGGATCCCGAGCCTGGTCCGGCCCGGCCTTCCCAGTGCGCTCGGCCCGGCCCGCGCAGGCGGCGAGTCCTCCGAGCCCCGGGCCCGGACCCCTCGCGCCGGTCCCTGCCCCGCGCGGCCTCGGAGCGCGCGCGGCCCCGCCCCGCCCCGGCCTCGGCCCGCCGGGCCCGCAGTGTGGTGAGTGCGGCTGCGGCGGCGGGCCCGGGCGGTGGGGGCGGCGCGGCGGGGGCGGCGGGGGCCGAGGGGGCGCGCAGGCAGGGCTCCTCCCGGAGCTAGGCGGGCGGTTGGGGGCCCGGCGGCGGGGGCCGCTGGTTTCGGGTCTGCCGCGCACCCTGCTGGCGGCCCGTGCCTCGATTTCCCCAGCGGTCAGGAGCCAGCTCCTCCTGCCCCTGGCGCCCGGGTACTGGAGGTGGGCCGCGGGCGGCGGCGGACCCGCGGAGCCGGGCGAGTGCGGAGCGGACTCGGAGACCCGGGCGTCCTGGAGGGAGGGGCACTGGACGGCGGGAGGAAAGGGTGGGGTCGAGCGAGGCGCCCGGGGGTCCGCGCCAGGGCCCGGCGGCCCGGCCCGCAGCTGCTGATTCATCCGGTGGCCGCGTCAGCTCTCCCCGGCGCGGGGGTCCGCGGCGAGCCCGGGAGGAGGGGCGGCGATGGGGGTGCTGCGGGGAAGACCCTGCCCCTGGCTGGGGCTCGGGTTCCGTCAGTCGCGTGCCAGAGCCCGGAGGGAGACTTGCTGAGTCATCAGCGTGAGGTCACTCGGTGCTCAAGCTGATACCGGAGGGGATTCGAGCGAGGGGCCTCGGGGACTAAAAGGCCGCCAGCGGGAGGTGGGAGGGAGCCGTGGGGATGTGGGAGGGGGCCAGGCCCGGCGCCTTGGGGTGCCTGTTTAAGTGAGCGCCGAGCGATCCAGTTGAAGGCAGGGGTGCTTGAAGAGGAAGTGGGGGTGGCTCGCTGCAGGTGTTCTCCCGGGGTCAAAGGTGAAGCCCCGGGCGGTCCACCCCTTCCCAGGCGGCTCTTTTCCGGCAGCTGGTCCTGGTCCCAAGTCTGGAGCAGTTTTCCAAACTGGGAAATAGTTCCCTGAGTGAGGGAGGGGAGGAGCTTCGGTGGGCCGAGCTAGCCAAAGGGGAAGTCGGCTTTCCCTGGGACTGGCCTGGTTGGACAGCCCCTGGCCAGAGATCGAGGTCCTGGGAGAAAGAGGGGTGTGTGTACCAAGCCCTGGGTGACAGTGGGCTGGGCAGGGAGGAAGCAGGGGCAGCTCTACCAGGAAACGGCAAAGGGGAGGAAGCAGCCCAGCCTCTCTCCCCAGTTGGCCCTGGAGTCTGGGTTGAGACTGTAGGTGGTGGGAGCTTCAGGGTGCCTAGCCTTGGGGTGCAGCAGATGGGCTGGTGTGGATGGCACAGGGTGGCAGAACGCAGCACCCAGCCACCCTAAAGTTGTCGCTACCTGAAGTGGGGTCTCAGCGTTGTGTGAAGTTAGCAAAGGGAGTGGCCCTGTTGGGTGTCTGGCCTGGCAGCCCAGGACGCTTAGAAAGTGGCAGCTTGGGAGTGATGTGGCCAGAGCCACCTTTCCTTGGGTATGTGGAGATTCACGAAGGTTGACTTCCTTTGCCCAGGAGTTCATTTCATGGCTGGGTTAGGCTACTTTGTGGTTTGCCCTCAGGGATGCCCCCCGCCCCCCGCCACACACACACACACACACACACACACACACAGGTCCATTCTCAGTGAGCACCCCCCACACATACACACAGAACACAGGTCCACTCTCAGTGAGCCCCGGGGCTTATAGATTCCAGATGTTTCAATGTTTTAGCTGACCGTTGGCCTGGAGTTTGATGCCCTGGGAAAATTTTGGGGTCCTGGAGGGACATTTATGTACATCTTTTTTTTTTTTTTTTTTTGAGACGGAGTCTCACTCTTTTGCCCAGGCTGGAGTGCAGTGGCGCGATCTCAGCTCACTGCAAGCTCTGCCTCCCAGGTTCACGCCGTTCTCCTGCCTCAGCCTCCCGAGTAGCTGGGACTACAGGCGCCCACCACGACGCCCGGCTATTTTTTTGTATTTTTAGTAGAGACGGGGTTTCACCGTGTTAGCCAGGATGGTCTCGATCTCCTGACCTCGTAATCCACCCACCTCGGCCTCCCAAAGTGTTGGGATTACAGGTGTGAGCCACCGCGCGGCCCATTTATGTACATCTTCTCAGTCACTTATGCATCAGTGGAAACTAAGTTTTAGGTTCTGTTCAAAGAGTGACTTTCAGGAGCTGAGAGCTTATGGAGCAGAGGCCATGACTGCCGGGGAGTTTCGGCCGCTGGGCTTTGCAGCCAGGTGGGGCTGTCTGTGTTCAGGCACGGGAGTTTCTACTTTAGCCAAAGGAGACGGAGCTCCCAAATCTCCCTCCCTTTCCTGGCTCTCAGTGTGAATGGGTGGCCTAGGTACCCTCGCAGGTTGCGGAGCCGTGACCATCTGTGCCTCCTGCGTGAGGTGGGCTTATTAGCCTCTGGGAGCAGAGGGTGCATGACAGGCCCCAGCTCTGCCCAGCCTTGAGGGCTGGAGGAGGGCGGGGGCAGCTTCTCCTCAGTCCAGCTCCTGGGATCCCTGCATGGTCCCTCTCAGCCCAGGTCCAGAGGCCAGGCCAGGAGCCTGGAACGCACTGGCTGTGCTCAGGGCTGCCCCTCCCCCACCCCCCGGCGCACCTTTGATAGGAGGCGATGGCTTGCACTTGTGCTGAGTTCAGGCCTTCTGCGGAGGGCAAAATCTGTCGAGGAGGCACTTTTCCGTGTGATCTCTTCAGGAAGTCACCACTGTCATTGTGCTTAGCAGCAGGGGTGGGGGCGATGGGGGTGGGAGAAGCTGGTGCCAGGGCAGTGTCTCTGCACCCTGACTTGCACTCAAGGCTGGGGGGCCCCTCCATGCTTGGCTGAGGGCCTGTCTCCTGGGGCAGTGTTGTGCCGGACGTGTAGGAAAGGGCTCCTGTGGGCCTTCTGACCTCCAGCTCAGGTCTTCCCCATCCTTTATCTGGAAGAATCCAGTGGCTGGAGCCTCGGGACCTTGCCTCTGAGCTGGCTTGGCTGTGGGGAGGGGTCTCTGGCCTCCCCTCCCTGCTCTGTGCTTGCAGCCTCACCTCCTGGTCCCAGGCTGGGTGAGGTGGAGTCTTGAGCCTGGTGAGGATGTGTGCATCCGCCTGGCCACACTTCAGCTCCCCTGATGAGAGTAAGAAGCCCCCCAGCCCATAATTTCCTGAAGTGATCCTAGCTCCTCTGGAGGAGTCTCCCATCTGTCTGCATCAAACCTGGAAAGTGGGGGATGGAGCATGAGGCGGGGGTCCATGCCCAAGGGTCTGGTGGGAGCTGGGCTGAGCTGGGAATCCCAGAAACATCCTTAGCAAGAAAGTGAGAGCAGAGTGCTGGAGGGACCCCGAGTGGGGAAGAGTTGGTTGTTAAGTCCGGCCACCCCAGCACTTTTGTTTTTGCTCCCTGGCCCTGTGGGCACTCACCCGGGGCAGGGACCAGAGAGCAGGCTGCAGCTCGGAGGGGCTGACTCCGCCAGCCTTCACGTTGGGCAGGCCCGGGGTGGCTCACTGTGGGAGCCCTTGTGAAATACCCTGGATGGGGTGGGGCAGGGGCTGCTTCCTGCAACCCAAAGCCACAGGATGGTTACTCCATCAGTGGAGGAGGCCGACTGGGAGGTCTAGAGGGGCCTCGGGCCAGGCTCCTCCCAGCTGATGGCCTGCCACCTGGAAGGTGGGGGAACTCCCTGGTCAGTCCTGCCAACAGACCAGAGCTAGATGGACGGCCCACCCCCAGCTTTTCAAAGTTAGGAGGCTGGGAGACTCGGGGTTCCCTGTAGCCTCCTCTCTGGCCAGGTCCCCCGTGGGGCCCCTGTGCACCCAGGGAGCAGGGGGCTTTGTCCGAGGCCGGCTCAGGGGAGGTGGCTGTAGAAGGTAGGACCCTGGAAGATGCACACACAGGGTCACTGGCTGGCCCTCACCTGCTATTGGCCAGGCTGGGGGCTGCGGCTCTCGTGGGGCGCTGTTGGCTGGCGGGCCAGGGAGTGCGGGCGCGGCGGGGAGGCAGAGGCAATGTGCTGAGTCAGCGTGACTCGCCAGGAACAGCCGCGCTCTGGGCAGTGCCGGGGTTATTTTTAAAGCTCCCGGCTTCCTTCTAGGCCTGCCTCTCCCGCGTCTTATTCCTTCTAATCTCTCCCCTGCCCCTTGTCTTGCGCCTGCCTTCCTAACAGCCTTCAGTTCCCCTTCTCCCGTCAGACCTTCCTGACCTCCCACCTGGTTCTCTAGGGGCAGGGTGGACAGGAAGCAGCTCAGCCCAGCCTGGGAGAGGCCAAGGGCTGCCTCCTATCAGGTATTGGGGGCTGGGCACCTGGACAGCAGGCTGGGGCGGGCTGTGCGGCAAGGGCTCTTGTGAACTGGGCCGGGGGCGGGGGGGGGGGGGTGCGGCGAGGGTGGTCTCCAGGGTACTGACCTGCTCCGTGTCTTGCAGAGAGCGCCTGCTCGCTGTGCCCCCGGGTTATGACGACCCCCAATAAAGGAAACAAGGCCTTGAAGGTGAGTGGGCAGGGACAGGAGCCTGTGGGCTGGGGTCGGGGGGCACAGTGGGCGTGCCCGCTTGGCCTGTGACCACCTGCACTGTGCCCCAGGTGAAGCGGGAGCCGGGTGAGAATGGCACCAGCCTGACGGATGAGGAGCTGGTGACCATGTCGGTGCGGGAGCTGAACCAGCACCTGCGGGGCCTGTCCAAGGAGGAGATCGTCCAGCTGAAGCAGCGCCGGCGCACGCTCAAGAACCGCGGCTACGCTGCCAGCTGCCGCGTGAAGCGGGTGACGCAGAAGGAGGAGCTGGAGAAGCAGAAGGCGGAGCTGCAGCAGGAGGTGGAGAAGCTGGCCTCAGAGAACGCCAGCATGAAGCTGGAGCTCGACGCGCTGCGCTCCAAGTACGAGGCGCTGCAGACCTTCGCCCGGACGGTGGCCCGCAGCCCCGTGGCGCCAGCCCGGGGCCCCCTTGCCGCCGGCCTGGGGCCCCTCGTCCCAGGCAAGGTGGCCGCCACCAGCGTCATCACAATAGTAAAGTCCAAGACGGATGCCCGATCGTAGGGACGCGCGTCTGCCCAGGCGGGTCTTTGCGGGGCCACTAGGCACATGGCGAATTTGGCTGCCCTGTCCCTCTGTTTCCTTCTCTTCTCTTTCCTCCCTCTCTTCCCCACCCTTCTCTCTTCCCTGCAAAGCACAACCTGTACCCCAGGGGCGCCGGGCTGAGCCCCTTTGATCTCGTCATTGTCGTCGTGTGTTTTGTATGTTGGGATTGGTCAGTTCGGCGGTGACGTGGGGTCGCCCCAACCCCTTTTGTACCAGGGCCATGCAGGCTTGGAGTCCAGAGTTGGTGCTGTGGGAACGGACTAGAGAGAGTTGCGGGAGAGAGAAGGAGCAGGCACGCTGGGCCTCGCGTGTCCCCGAGCAGTGAGGGTCCCAGTGTTCCCTCCACTCCCGAGTGGCCACAGGCTCGCGGGCTGGGAAGGATTCACTCTCTTTAGCCCCAGGGGAGCAGCTCAGCTTAGCCCAGCATGAAGAGATGGGCTCTGCTCTGAGAGTAGGGCGGGCTTGAAGGCCCTGATGGGTGGACCACCAGCCTGGGCGCAGTGGTGCTGGGGGCGTGCAGCTGGGCCCAGGGGCTGTGCACTCAGGCCTGACCCGTTGCACTGAACAAGACCAAATCTCTGGTTGTGCGCTTAACGTGAGGGTGGGTCCAGTGTGCCCTGCGATGGGTCCCGTGTCACTGTTTACATGACCTATTTGTGTGGTTATATAGCCCTTTATTTAAAAGAGAGAAGTTCCTTTTACAAAGTTATTAAATTAATTATATGTTTAAAAGTTAAAGAAAAAAGAGCTGCAGAGTATTTATAAAACTGTCTTTTAGAAAAAAAACAAGCAAGAAGACCATTTGACCATATGAATGGAAAAGGGAAGAAAGTATAATAGAAACTTTGCTAGTTAAAAAAAAAAGAAAAAAAAAGAAAAAAAATCCCTTTCTTGTAAACTTACGGACACCTCTTTGTGGCTGTTGGAGTTTAGTTTTTATATACACAGAGTTATCAGACATTATTTATAAAACTTAGTTTAAAAAAAAGACAAAAAAAAAAAAGCCAAGCCGTGAGCCGACCAGAAGGCCGTCCTCTTTGATATCTTTTGCAATTGTACCGAAAGTGACTTACTCCTCTGCCCTTCCTGCTTCCGTCTCTTGCCGGTGCCGTGGTGTCGTCCGTGCCTGGTGAGGTTTTGTGCAGCGGTAAAGTGCTGGTGCTTCTGGTGACCTTTGACCTGTGGGTGTCACTTCTTGTGTCTGTTTTCCCGTGTTCGTTTTTTGGGTTTAGTTGTGCTTTTGCTTCTGCTGGCTTGCTGGACCTGGGCTGGGGTGCCAAGTGGCGCCTGCTGCGTCAGAGCTCAAGGAATCTGTGCCCACCACCAGCTCCTGGTCCGTAGGAGGTGAGACATGGGGTTCTGTCATGCCCCCCTCCACTGAGCCTTGGCTACATCTGTGTCTAGGGCTTGGGCTGATCTAGTGGCGGGGTAGGTGAAACTGGGGTCCCTTGGGGCGCCCCACGCTGCTTCCACACCCACCACCTCTGGCCTTGGGTGGTGGCATTACAGGGATGAGGGAGTCACTGTGGGTGGCCACAGGGCTATGGCCAAGCGTTCCCTGGCCGTCTTCCTCTGGCCTCAGCTTTGTTCCTATAGGCTGCCCGCGCCGTGGGCTGCAGGTCTCGCCGCCCGCTTGATCCCTGAGGTGTTTCCATGCTGCGGGTGGTGCTTCCAGGCAGAGTGGGTGGGGGCCCACCGGGCACCGCCCTTTCTTCCTTGTCCCTGCCTCACTCTGAGAGCCTTGGGGGTCTCCACCAGTGCAGACAAGGGCTACAGTCTCCAGGGCCGGGTCTTGTCCCTCTTCTCCGCTGGTCCACGCTGGCAGCTCTTGGCTTCGGGCCTGCCTTCTGCCTCCCTTTGGGATCTGTGTCTTCCAGGGATCAGCTGCTTGGCTTCTGCTGGAGGTGCCTCCCTGTGGGGGCGCAGCCTGCCTCCTGCTCTCAGTTCCTCGCCAGAGGCTGCTGCCCTTCCTGGCTGGGCTCAGGAGGCTCCTTGTAGGCATATGATGGGGAGGGGGTGCCCCTACCCACCTCCAAGAGGCTACAGCCCTGTGTCTGGCCATGTGAGCCCTGGCCTTTCACCGGGTTGCTGGTTTCTTTTCTGTGGGGCCCAGACTTCTGTAAAGCACACAGATGTGGGTAAGATGAAAAACTGTGGCCCAACAGGGCTTAACCCTATGGATGGTGGGATTTTTATCCAATAGTTTGGCCTGGTGTGCCCACAGGATGGGAACAGGGAGGCACCATCAACACTTGTCATGTTAATGAGCTTTTCTTTGCTCGAGGTGTTCAGAGACAAGTCCTGTGTCTACCTGCGTCAGCCTGAAAATGGAAATATTGGCTGTTGACTCTTGTCATTTAGTGACTTCATCCCCCTCCCCTCAGTCTGATCTTGTCTAAGTAGAATCCAGGCGTTAGTTGGAATCATATCATAAGTATCCATGAAGAAAACGTCATGATCTGCCTCGGAGTGGGGAGAAACAGGCCCTCCTTGTCCTTGTGCAGCCCCCACTTTTGTCCTGGCTGTGGGTGGCCATCCATTTTGAGCACCTCTGCCAGGCTGCAGACCTGGAGGCGAAGGGAGTGTGGAAGAGGAGGGTGTAAGGGTCGACGCGTGCTGAATGGGAGGTGCAGGTCCTCGGTGCGTTGGCAGAAGAGGCTTCTGGAGTTTCGAGGCCATACCTCCTTTCAAGAGCTTTGGATTTGGGGCGACTTCCCTGGGTCTAGGGGAGTGTTCCTGTCCCCTGTCAGGTCAGCCCTGCGGAGCCACTCCACCCCTCTTCCCCTTCCCCTGGATTTCCTGACATAGATGGTGTGTTCATGTGCAGGTGTGAGTGTGCTGTCCTTCTGATCTCTGTTGATCCCGCTTTCCTACTGAGAGGGTGGTGGAGAGGGTGGTGGTCTCTTCTCACCTCAGTTTTTCTGACACAGCGAATCGAGGGCTTTGGCCAAGGCCAGGTCTCTCAAACTTGTCCGCCAAGTAAACCATGATATATGTCTTCCCTTCCACCTTAACTTTGCCCCAACTCCTCTTTTATCCTAACATGGACGCTCAGATTTCAGAGGAATACCCAGCAGGGACAGGTCAGCTCTCACCAGGAGAGTGAGGCCCCTGGCTGCTGCTCGGGGTGGCACTGGTGTTGCTGGCTCAGCTCTTGGTGCATGTTTCAGATATGTGTGTACACTTCTGACTGGTGATCAGGGCCCGGCCCACGGCCCTGAGCGGCTGCAGCCTGCTTTGGGACGATGGTCAGGTCCCATGTTGTCCCTGCTGCCTCCCTCTGGAGTGGCCACTTGGCCAAAGCGCCCATCCACATCTGGAAAGTCGGAGCCGCAGCCTGCTGCACCGTTTCCGCTCTGGGATCTTGTGAGTTACTTTTTTAGGCTGTGGTTTGGTGAAAGGAACCAACACATTAACGATTTTTCCCCCAGAAGCCACTGAATAATTCTTTTTGGTGTATTTTTGCCTTCCTGTTGGCTGTCTGGCCTTGGAGCAGGTCGGGAGAGTAGAGTACATAATCAGTGCCACACAGAGGCAGGGCGTGTCTGAGAGACTAATGCCTGTCCTGCCTCTGGCCTGTGTCCTGGGTGTGTACCATACCTGCTGGGCCAGTCCCACACATTTCCACCCTGCCCCTGGAGCAGCAGCTTTGATACCATGGGTGTCCCTTGAGTCTGAGCTAGAGTGTGTCCCCGATAAACTGTGAGACCTCCCTGTTCTTGGTGACCCCAGTTGGGCTTTGGCCCCTCCAGCAACCTTGTGTCCCAGCCCTGCCCTTCTTCCCACCCCCTCAATCTGCTAGTCCCTGAAGCCTTTAACCAAACGGGAGTGGGCACAGAAAGCCTTCTCCTGGCAACAGGACAAGGGCTGCCCGCGTGTCCAGCCCTGTTGCTCTCCTGGCGCTGAGAGGTGGGTCCAAGCAGAGTTGATCAGTCCCTGCCTGCCCTGCCTAGGTCTAGCCAGGGGAGGTTGTGTGTGTGGGAGAAGACCCCGGGATCTGCTGGGGTGGGATGGAGGTTATTAAAGATCTAAGTGAGGAGGGGCTGGGGTTTGGATGCGGGGTGAGGCCCGAGCGCTCACACTTCGTGTAGGGCGGGCAGGGGCCTGACCTCTTGCAGGGCAGTGGCCTTGGTGCCCTACCCCTGCCCTGCGCAGTATTTATTGCTAAATTATTGTCCAGGAGGGGCAGCACTGGGCCTGGCCCCCCGGGTATTTATTGCTGTACATAGTGTATGTTTGTGATATATAAGGTTTTCTTTATTTTGTATATGATCAATAAACCTTTTAAAGAGACTGGCAGGTGCTTCTTTGGGGCGACGCGGCGGGCGGAGCCGGAAGGGGTGGGTGGGGGCGGGGCCCATCTTGCGCATGCGCCCTGAGCGCGGCCTGCCGTGTGAGGCGGAAGCGGAAGAGCAGGTCTCCAGGGGAGCGATGGCAGCCGGGGGTCTGAGCCGCTCCGAGCGCAAAGCGGCGGAGCGGGTCCGGAGGTTGCGGGAGGAGCAGCAGAGGGAGCGCCTCCGCCAGGTACGCCGCCGCCGCTCCCCGGCCCGGCCATGCCCGGCCCGCGCCGCCGCTCACCGTCCGCCTGCCCGCAGGTGTCGCGCATCCTGAGGAAGGCGGCGGCGGAGCGCAGCGCCGAGGAGGGCCGGCTGCTGGCCGAGAGCGCGGACCTGGTAACGGAGCTGCAGGGCCGGAGCCGGCGGCGCGAGGGCCTGAAGCGGCGGCAGGAGGAGGCGAGTTCCGCGTGCGGCGCGCGGGCGCCCCCGGTTTCGGGAGCAGCTGGGGCGACGGGCGGTCCCGGGTGGGGCGGCCCGGGGCGGTGACCACCCTGGCGTCTTGGCAGGTGTGCGACGACCCGGAGGAGCTGCGGGGGAAGGTCCGGGAGCTGGCCAGCGCCGTCCGGAACGCCAAATACTTGGTCGTCTACACAGGCGCGGGAATCAGCACGGTAGGGAGGGAGGCGGAGGCGTACCCCAGGACGGAGTATGAGCTCCAGTAATCGCGAAAAACTCGCCTTTAAAGCAGCTCTAAGGTTTTTTCTCTTAAAGAAACGAAATGACCAAAACTTACCTAAGGTAAACGCTTTTTAAACGCTTGGCCTCTGTGTTACAGCCAGTTAAAAAAAACAAGGAGTAGAGATACGAATGGGGTGTAGTAGCCGACTGCTCGCAGGCACCCCCAGGTTATGTGGACAGAGCTAAGCCCAAAGTTGTGATTTTCCACTCTGTTCTGTCCATGTCGAGGGAAGATAAGTAGAAAGTGACACAGTAAGAGCCAGAATACACCAGGTGAAGGAGAGAATTGCATTGTGTTTTGAGAAGTTTCACTGACAAGTTATCCTGGGCTGTGGGACATCACTAGCTTTGAAAGTGTAGCTGGCACCTCGTCCATCTAATTTGATGGGTGTGTGTGGGGTGTTGGGCACGCGTCGGCCTAGCAGATCTGAACCCAGGTGATTTCTGTTCTCAGGAAGCTTTTAGGTGACAAGGATCAGGCATGTGAACAAATAACCATACTGTAAAGCTGGCTGTGCTGGGTCGCTAGAGCAAACTCAGACACACACTCTGCGCTCTTGGAGTTGGGAAACCCACCTGCGTTGGCTTTTTGTGGGAGGTGGCCTTGATTGGGCCTTGAAGGATGGGTGAGATTTACAGAAGGTTGGAATGAGGCACTCCAAGCAAAGAACAGCAGAGGCTCAGCAGCAAGAATGCAAAAAGGGAGTTCACTACTGACTCAAATACCCGGAGCCCTGGGGTTTAGTCTCCTCCCTCCACAAGTCACATGTAAAAGTCCAGTCATGCTGGGCGCGGTGGCTCATGCCTATAATCCTAGCACTTTGGGAGGCCGAGGTGGGCGGATCATGAGGTCAGTAGTTCAAGAACAACCTGGCCAACACGGTGAAACCCTGTCTCTACTAAAAATACAAAAATTAGTCGGGCATGGTGGCGGGCACCTGCAATCCCAGCTACTCGAGAGGCTGAGGCAGGAGAATCACTTGAAACTGGAAGGCGGAGGTTGCAGTGAGCCGAGATCATGCCACTGCATTCCAGCCTGGGCGAAAGAGCTAAACTCCGTCTCTCAAAAAAAAAAAAAAAAAAAAAAGTCCAGTCATGTAATTATGTAACAGTCACGTGACCTGTTATGGAACTTCCAATGGCAACTAAAAGCACATGCAGCTAGTGGATTTCATCGGAGTGTTTGAGGTTCCCGTCTTGAATGTGACTGTCGGAACTACTGTCCGGGGGGGTGGTGCATTTTTCTGAGTTTAAGCAGGAGTCGGGAGTCCCCAAAAGGGAACACAAGACACCTTGATCCTGGCATATCTTGTGTGCCCTCTGTGGGCCTCAGTTTGTTTCACAGGATTGAAAACCTGGGAAGTTAGATGCTCATCTCATCTGAAGAAGTTGTTCTGCCTTTGTTAAGGTGGAGCGGGAATAGTCAGCACTGGGACATGAGAATGGACAGTCGCCTGGACCCACCTAGGGATTCACCATTTGCTAAATGTGTGAGCTGTGGGCTCGGCCCTGGGGGCACTTTAGGAACATGACTAGTCTTCCCCTGCAGTGTGGAGGACACATGTGCCACAGAGCCCAGCTTTGTGCTCGGTGCCAGAGAGGCTTCCGGAGGCAGGCAGGGCTGCGTGCAGCCTGGAAGGATGAGCCAGGCCAGGCGGGAAACGGAAGTCCAGGTAGAAGGGAGGAGCCGAATTGGGGTACACTCCATATGGGCTCAGGCAGGTCAGCCTGTGGAATGAATAGAGGCCAACATGCAGGCCAGCCCGGAATGCGGCAGGAGTGACAGTGGCTTTCCGTTTCTGGGAATTCTGCCAGTACCTACAGTGGTGCCTTTTGACTTGGCTTACCTTTTTTCTCGACATGCAGGCAGCGTCTATCCCAGACTACCGGGGCCCTAATGGAGTGTGGACACTGCTTCAGAAAGGGAGAAGCGTTAGGTAAGCGGGCCAGGCATGGCCTCCCACATAGGCTGGGCAGCGGCAGCACGGGCCTGAGCTCCAGCTCTCCTCACCTTGCCTTCCTTTCTGCCTGGCAGTGCTGCCGACCTGAGCGAGGCCGAGCCAACCCTCACCCACATGAGCATCACCCGTCTGCATGAGCAGAAGCTGGTAAGAGCCCTGGGTGGCTGGTACACTTGCCAGGGACCAGGCAGAGCACCTTGGTGCCCAGTGGGCAACTAACTGCACCCGCCCTCTGTCTGCCAGTTGACTCCCATGATGAGCACCCACCAAGCGGGTTAGGCCGCGGGTTTGATCCTCCTGTGCTTGACTCTCCAGGACAGAAGGGGAGCTCCCCCTCTGAACCATCCCATCCGCAGCCAGCCTCAGCCTCAGAGCTGCTGGTGGCCTTTCCCCTTTGTGATTCCCTTGCATTTTTCTGTGGACCTCAGAAGCCATCCTAGTCACAGGGGAGGCTTATAGGACATCTCTGGGGACCTTCTGCTGAACACCCTCAACCAATGGGGTGTAGTGGTTGATCTGCCTAGGTCCCCAGGGACCTGAAATGTCATGACCCAAGAGAGCATGGATCTGGGGCAGAGTGGCCCTTGCCAAACCCCGAGCCACTTCCCAACCTTGCCGGGACGGTGCAACCTCTTGCCCTCCCAGCCACTCCAGGTGCATCAGGGCTGGAGGAAGGACAGCCCCTCCCCACCACAGGCCCTCTTGACTCCTGGTGGTTGGACCTGTTGTGTGTTTTACTTTCTAAGGCTCTCTGGGGGGACGGAGCTGCCCCTGGTTTTGGGAGCCATCGGCGGGGCTCAGAACAGCCTCGCTGTGGCCGGGTACTGACCTCCCCACCACCACTGGCAGCCATCCCTCCCCTTGCCACCCGTTCTGCCTTCCAGGTGCAGCATGTGGTGTCTCAGAACTGTGACGGGCTCCACCTGAGGAGTGGGCTGCCGCGCACGGCCATCTCCGAGCTCCACGGGAACATGTACATTGAAGTGAGCAGTCCTGCAGGGACCCAGGGTCTCCATGGGCAGGCGGGTCCCACTCACTGTGCCCTCTTGCCTCTAGGTCTGTACCTCCTGCGTTCCCAACAGGGAGTACGTGCGGGTGTTCGATGTGACGGAGCGCACTGCCCTCCACAGACACCAGACAGGCCGGACCTGCCACAAGTGTGGGACCCAGCTGCGGGACACCATTGTGCACTTTGGGGAGAGGGGGACGTTGGGGCAGCCTTTGAACTGGGAAGCGGCGACCGAGGCTGCCAGCAGAGCAGACACCATCCTGTGTCTAGGGTCCAGCCTGAAGGTACGTGCCGATGACACAATGAGTGAACCGAGCCCCTGCCCGCCCGAGGGTGTCCAGCTCTGCGGCCCAGCACTGTACAGACTTGTCCCTTGTGTGTGTGCGGTGTCTGTCTGTCTGCTTCCACAGGTTCTAAAGAAGTACCCACGCCTCTGGTGCATGACCAAGCCCCCTAGCCGGCGGCCGAAGCTTTACATCGTGAACCTGCAGGTAACTCGGGTGCTGAGAGCCACGTCCTTAGATCTGGGTCTTAGAACGCACAGCCAGAGACACCCCACACCCATGCACCAGGGCGGTCTGATAGGGCCCCCGTGGGTGCTCAGGGAGCACCGACTGAGCCCGTAGGGGCCAAGGCTGACAGGCCACCGGGAAGGGTTGGGCTGCTGTTACTCTCACTCGGCTTTCCCTGTCCTCAGTGGACCCCGAAGGATGACTGGGCTGCCCTGAAGCTACATGGGAAGTGTGATGACGTCATGCGGCTCCTCATGGCCGAGCTGGGCTTGGAGATCCCCGCCTATAGCAGGTGAGTGAGCCGCTGCAGCAGCCTGCTTCCCCGCACCTCTGTGTGCTGGGCCTTGTCTGTCTTCTCTCGTGAGCTGAGTGTGGAGGAAGCTCTGAGGTGTTTGCAGTGGTGCCTGAGGCATGACTGAAGCGTGGTGGTCTCCAGAGGGCCTGACCTCGGTGGTTGGCGGAGACCCTGCGTGTGCCACTCCTGCCCTGGCTGATGTGGCACACACAATCCCCGCGGGGAGAGGGATTCTGCCCGCGTGCTCCTGCTCCAGGCCTCCCCGTGGAGCTCTCCGAGATGCCTGGTGGGAAGCATCTGGAGGGGACGAGCACTCGGCAGCTCTGGTCAGACAGAATCTGTGTGCTTGGTTTTGGGAGTTGGCGTACTTTGGGAAAGCTTAAACAAACTGTGCCTTAATACAGAATTTGTGATAATTTAGACTTGGTGTATGTATTGAGTAAAAAGTTTACACTCTCTTTCTCTGTGAATTTTCAGGGTCTTATAGGGGAAATCAATAACTTCTTTTAATCAAAGGGTTCAAGAAATTAAGGATCCCTTCACCTTCTGGGCCTGGCACTTCTTGTATGTTATGTGTGTGGTGTTCTGTGATGTGGGCTATCGTGTACTGTATTTTTTTTTTACATTAACTTAGCTCATTTTCCTTATCAGTGCGTATCTGTATCTTAAGTTATGATCTGTGGTTCTGCATCTCCGTCAGACACATGCTTTCTTCACGGGGTCGTCTGTAGGCCACGCCTCCCTAGTCAGCTGGGAAGGGGGAGAGGGTCTGGTCCACCTGCCCCAGCGGTACAAGTGGAAGGTGGGGCCCAGAGTTGCTAGTGACTCATCCCTGGAGACGGAGGCAGCCCTGGGGCCACTGCTGCCCCACCCTGTGTGTGCACGCCGCTCAGTGGTGGACAAGGACACGGAGTTTTGAGGAGACCGAGCTAGTGTGGGTGCCGACCTTTGAGTCACCACCTAAGAGGTGACCTCTCCCACATCCGTTCTGCAGCTTGGTAACAATGAAGCTGCCGCCAACCAGAGCCCCGCCGCAGTTGACACGGGAGGGAAGGGGATGGGAAGGCAGGGACCGCAGACAGCTTTCCCGAGCTGGGGCAGGTGTGACTGCGAGAGGCTCCCAGGCCCGCCTGATGCCGCTTTCCCTTTTTGGCAGGTGGCAGGATCCCATTTTCTCACTGGCGACTCCCCTGCGTGCTGGTGAAGAAGGCAGCCACAGTCGGAAGTCGCTGTGCAGAAGCAGAGAGGAGGCCCCGCCTGGGGACCGGGGTGCACCGCTTAGCTCGGCCCCCATCCTAGGGGGCTGGTTTGGCAGGGGCTGCACAAAACGCACAAAAAGGAAGAAAGTGACGTAATCACGTGCTCGATGAAGAACAGTTGGCACTTTGCAGATGGCCAGTGTCACGGTGAAGGCTGGGTTGCCCCCACGGGTCTAGGGAGAACGAACTCTTTGGGGATGACATTTTCACCGTGACATTTTTAGCCATTTGTCCTTGAGGAAGCCCCTTGCACTGCTGCGGTTGTACCCTGATACGGCCTGGCCATCGAGGACACCTGCCCATCCGGCCTCTGTGTCAAGAGGTGGCAGCCGCACCTTTCTGTGAGAACGGAACTCGGGTTATTTCAGCCCCGGCCTGCAGAGTGGAAGCGCCCAGCGGCCTTTCCTCGCTCACCAGGCCAGTCTCAGGGCCTCACCGTATTTCTACTACTACTTAATGAAAAAGTGTGAACTTTATAGAATCCTCTCTGTACTGGATGTGCGGCAGAGGGGTGGCTCCGAGCCTCGGCTCTATGCAGACCTTTTTATTTCTATTAAACGTTTCTGCACTGGCTTCCGGTGTCCCCGAGTGGTCGGCGCGGGCTCCCCGGGCTCAGGTCTGCCGCCTGGCAGCTCGGTCGTGGCTTAAAACTCCCTTGGTTGGACAGGGGACAACTGTAGATTATTGTGCCAAAAAATAAGAAAAAAAACTCCCCTGGTTGGGACAGCGCCCCGTGGAGGTTCCCGGAGGTGGCGGCGGTGGGACGGTCCCCACGCCGCACTGCCCCGCCAGCCGAGCGCCAGGTGTGGGCGGTGCGGAGAGGCCAGGTGTGGGTCGGGGGGCGGGGCTCGGAAAGCGCGGCACACGCCATTGGCTGTGCGTTTGGAGGGGGCGGGACTCTGTCAGGGGCTCACGCCATTGGCCGTGCGCGGAGGTGCGGTGGGGCGCGGCCTTCGGGGGGTGGGGCTCGGGGCGGAGGGCGGGAGGCGGGGCGGGGGAGGCGGGGGCGGGGCTCGGGCCGAGCGGCGCACGCCATTGGCCGTGCGCAGCGGGTGAGGCCCGCGTGACGGCCGCTGAGCGTGCGCCTGGCGGGGCGGGCGGCGGCGCTCGGAGTCGCCGGGAGCTGCCAGGCTGTCCGCGCCGCCGCTGCGGGGCCATGATCCGGAACGGGCGCGGGGCTGCAGGCGGCGCAGAGCAGCCGGGCCCGGGGGGCAGGCGCGCCGTGAGGGTGTGGTGCGATGGCTGGTGAGCGCGGGGCCGGGGCGGGCCGCGGGGGCGCCGGGGCCGGCTTCCTTCCGGGGCGCCGCGCCAGCCGTTGCCCGGGGACCGGGCCCGCGTTCTGGGTGGCGTCCTCGTCCGGCATGGGCCGGGGCTGGCAGGCTGCGGGGCTCGCCTGCCGGGAGGGTCGGGCTGCAGAGGCTCCGCGCCCTGCCGTGGGCGACCCCGTCTA
Organism: Homo sapiens; assembly: GCF_000001405.40. Taxonomy (NCBI): domain Eukaryota; kingdom Metazoa; phylum Chordata; class Mammalia; order Primates; family Hominidae; genus Homo; species Homo sapiens. Next base: position 81,911,061 of record NC_000017.11, on the reverse strand, counting down.
CCTCTGGCGGAGGCCCCGCCCGGTCACGCCGACCTCTCCGGTGCAGCCACCGCGCTGAGATCTGGAGCCACGGCCTCCCTGCTTCTCCGTAACCACCAGCAACCAGCTTGCCCGGCTCCGGTCCAGGGGTTCCCCTGGCCTCCGGGCGAGCGTCCCTGTAGGTGGGCATCGGGTGCGACCTGCCTGTCCGGGACCCGCGGTGAAGCCCGCGGGCTCCCGGGTCCTCCTCCGCGGGGCTAGAATGCGATCGGTCTTCCCTGGCCAGTCAGAGGGCATTGTTTTAAGAAAAGTTTCGGGTTGTCAACAAGTGAAAGGAAGACGACCGTTACTGATAATTTGCTACCTCTGACCCTTTCACGTGCCTGCCGGATGGAATCCAGGAAGCAAGCGCCTCTATCTGATTAGCCCTTCCCAGGAGAGCAAGCAGGGCCTTGTCTTCTGTGTCCGAGTCACCTCTGGGAAAAGGAATGTGGCTTTGTGTCAGTGGACTTTGACCTTGCCCTGACCAGGCCCCAGCCCCATTCCAGACTGTGCTCCCCTGGCCCAGCCTCTGCCCCCTCCTCCCCTCCAGCCTGTCCAGTGGGTACATGGGCCCGCCAGATTTTACCCAGCATGTCTGCCGGGCTCCGCGCACTGTGGCAGGGGTGCTGGGAGGAAGCAGTGGTGTGCAGTGGAGCAACTCTGTGCACTGTGTGGGCTGCCAGGGTCACACCTCTCCCTGGAGAGGCAGGGACAGCTTTGTCCACTTGAGGGGATGGGCCGCTGCTGTAAAGAAGTGGCGAAGAAGCCAGGGCAGCGAGGCCCAGTTGGTGGCAGGGCTGTGTAGCTTTGGGCTTGAGAGTTCACGTGTTAGCAGACCTAGATTTGTGAATGAAAACTCTCGAGCCAGGTGGCAAGGCAGTGGCTGTTCACCCTTAGCGTTAAGCCTGCTGAGCTTGAGGCCGTAAGGGAGGAGAGACAGGATTTTCAGGGCCAGTGATTCCCAGGGTTTTATTTTGTGGTTGGATTTGTTTTGGGTTAGCCCCAGGGACTGTTTGCTTGTCTCAAGGTAGTCTAGGATCCAACCCTACCCCAAGAGTTAACATCGGCTTATTTTAAAGTGACTGCCCAGGGCAGTTGATATTTGGTGAGGGGATAGGACACGTGGCCCTGCAGCTTTCAGTGGGCTCCAGTCTGTCCTGCACCCACCAGTCCTCTAGACCCAGCCAGGCCTTGACATCTCTGCCCCTGCCACCCTTTCTAGATCTGGCACAGGGGTCCCACCGTCAGGCCCAGGAGCCAGTGGGGTGGAGAGCTGAGCACCTACATCCTCCGAATCCCAGTCCCAGGGCTCCCAGCAGCAGCTTCTCAGAGCGCTTCCTAAGGAGTCCTCAGAGGAGCAAAGCTCTGCCCCTAACCCACAGGGACACCTGGTCCCCACCCTTGGCACAGGGACCACCCACTCTCTCTGTCTCCACAGCTATGACATGGTGCATTACGGCCACTCCAACCAGCTGCGCCAGGCACGGGCCATGGGTGACTACCTCATCGTAGGCGTGCACACCGATGGTAAGCACAGATGGCCTCGCCCACCCGCGGCCCCCCAGCCCTCCTGTGGGTTGCGACTGTTGACTGAAAGCCTGCAGGCCTGGGGCCACCTTGCCAGGGCACAGCTGTAGGGGAGGGCACTGTAGGCTCACCCAGCCCAGCCCCAGCTGAGGATGGCCTAATGCCTTTCCCATCTTGCATTTCCTGTCCCAGCTAAAGAGAAGGGGCACCTGCTCCCCACCACTGCCAGCGAGGCTCCCAAGCCTTCAGGGGCTGAGCACCTGCTCGTCAGAAGGAATCTCTGCCTTTGCCTGAGACCCTCGCAGGGAAGAGAGCCACCCAGTTGGCCAGCACTAGTGGGCTAAGGGCCAGGGTAGAGAGACAGCCTGCCCCCACCGGCCCTCTTGTGTGGCTACAGCTGGGTGCTGGGAAGGGGCCTCCTACTGGAGGGGCCGGGTGGGCTGGGGTCCCCAGTCTCCCCGTTGTCCTTTTCCTAGAGGAGATCGCCAAGCACAAGGGGCCCCCGGTGTTCACTCAGGAGGAGAGATACAAGATGGTGCAGGCCATCAAATGGGTGGACGAGGTGGTGCCAGCGGCTCCCTACGTCACTACACTAGAGACCCTGGACAAATACAACTGTGACTTCTGTGTTCACGGCAGTGAGTGGCGGGGCTGGGACCTGGGGGCCTGGGGACATCAGGTGGCTCAGGATCAGATCTGCTGGTGGGACATCCGGGAACAGGGGGCCTCCGCCCTTTGAGGATCTGAGACATTTCCGGGCCCCCACCTAGAAATGGGCACGCGGACACTAGGGCAGGCCAGGGGCCGAGAGGGTCCTGGGCTCTGAAGGTTCTGGTGGCTTTGGGTTAAGGATCCTTGTCCTTGTGTGTCACTGCTTAGATGACATCACCCTGACTGTAGATGGCCGGGACACCTATGAGGAAGTAAAGCAGGCTGGGAGGTACAGGTGAGTCTCCACCGCGGGCCTGGCCATCCAGGGAGCTGGACACGGGGCTCCCTCCTGGCTCGTGCTTTGCTATTTACCGGGAGCCCGTGAGGGGAGCGTCCAGGCCCTGGGCCATGTTCCTCACGCCCAGGACTGGGAACTCGAGGGATGGAGGTGCCATTGTGGGGTGGCCTGGAGGCCCTTGCCATTTGGTGCTGCAGACCCATGGCCCCAGGGCTCCAAAGGCACAGCTTTGTGAGGTGGCAGCTGTTGAGCTCGGGGGACGTGGCTGGCACTGCTGGGGAGCTGGCACTATATCTGAATTACCAGACGTCAGGGACATGAGGCCAGTGGCTCCCGCATGAGATGCTGCAGCTGAGAATTCACTCAGCTGCAGATGCTCAGCGGGCAGGACGTGGGTGTGAGGGAGGCAGGAAGCAGAGCTGCTACCCCAGTGCCCATCCTCTCCCTGGCATTGCACACCTGGGCCCCAGCAAGGGTCCTTTTCTGTGCTCCTGCCACTCCCTTCAGTCAATAAAAGCGTGGAGGCCTTCCCCATGTTCCCAACCCAGGTTTTCTGTTATGGCCTTGCACAGGAAGGGGACCCTCAGTCTTTGGGGCAGCCGTGGGTTCTGCCACAGCAGGGCTGCTAGTGTCCCTAGTGGTGGTAGCAGGAGGCAGAGCCTTGCGAGTGTCCCAGGATGAGACCCCACTCCCACTGTGTCCCCCAGAGAATGCAAGCGCACGCAAGGGGTGTCCACCACAGACCTCGTGGGCCGCATGCTGCTGGTAACCAAAGCCCATCACAGCAGCCAGGTGAGTCGGCGGCGGAATCCCCGAGGCCCCTGGGTCGAGGTCTCCAGGGGAAAGGAGGGGCACCTCCCTGCCCTCTCAGGGTCCTCCTGCCCACTGCTCCCCATCCCCAGCCGGTTCTGGGGTGGCCACGCCGGGAGGGCAGGCCCCTCAGCCCTGCTCTGACCTTCTGTGCAGGAGATGTCCTCTGAGTACCGGGAGTATGCAGACAGTTTTGGCAAGGTGAGTGCGGCTGTGCAGGGAGAGCTGAGCACGCAGCTGCAGGGGGCTCCCCCGGCCACCTGTCCCAGCCATCCCTTGGGGAAAGGCCAGCCCAGAGCCTCACCCTCCTCCCTCTGTCCCTGGCACTGACCAGGCACTGACTGCCAGGTTTGGCTCACTGGTGGATGCTGGGAGGGAGGGCAGGCGGGTGGTGGCACCGGCTGGCCGGTCACGGCAGCCACTGCTTGGAGGAGCAAGGATTTGCCTGTGGACAGGTGGCCTCTAACCAAGTGGCCTGGCCCTCTCTCCCATTGTAGCCCCCTCACCCGATACCCGCCGGGGACATACTTTCCTCAGAAGGCTGCTCCCAGGTGACCAGACAGTGGTCTCAGGGTACCAGGTCCCTCCCAAGGGCTGTGTGCACCTGCCACAGGGCTCCTTGCCTCCTCCTGGTGGTCGCTTGCTGGGCTGAAGTGGTGTCTGCTGCGGTGCCTGCTGTGGTTGTGGGGTGGCGCCACAGTCCCACCTGCCACCTGGCCTGGCAGTGTGTCCCCTGCCCGAGATGACTGGCTGGAAATGGGATTGCTGGCAGGTGACAGCTGAGGGTTTGGTGACCTGGTGAGGGCAGCACCTGGGAGGCCTCCCCCGCCAACCTGCTCCCTCTCTTGGCTTGCAGTGCCCTGGTGGGCGGAACCCCTGGACCGGGGTATCCCAGTTCCTGCAGACATCTCAGAAGATCATCCAGTTTGCTTCTGGGAAGGAGCCCCAGCCAGGGGAGACAGTCATCTATGTGGCTGGTGCCTTCGACCTGTTCCGTATCCTCTGGGCCTCTGCTGCTCCCCTACATGTGCCACATGGGGTGGGACCCGGGGGCCTCACTTGACTCCTTGGGGCCCCCAGACTGGGCTGGCTGGTTTGCAGGGGAGCAGCTGTCAGCAGGGAGGATGGCGGGGAGGCCCTTGGGCATGAGCTGTCAGGGAGCTGCTCCCTGTCATCCCCATCCCGACTGCTTCTTAACCTGGGTGCAGACATCGGGCATGTGGACTTCCTGGAGAAGGTGCACAGGCTGGCAGAGAGGCCCTACATCATCGCGGGCTTACACTTTGACCAGGTCACTGCCTTCTTGCTCCCTGGGCCCCTGGGCAGCTGATGGGCCCTCGAGGGGCCCTAAGCGTTGCTGTTAGGTGCAGGTGGTCTCTGGGAAGGGGCCCCAGGTGAAGTCACAGGAGACCCTGGGGGGTGATCGTAGGCTTCTGGGGTCCAGGGCTGTCCTGTCTGGGGCATCCCCACAAGGGCGAGCAACCTCCCCGACTTCTTCCCATGAGGGACAGCCGGGAGGGGCACACCCTGTCCCCCCAAAAAGTCTCCGGGCTGAGCTAGCCGCACTCTGGCCGCAGGAGGTCAATCACTACAAGGGGAAGAACTACCCCATCATGAATCTGCATGAACGGACTCTGAGCGTGCTGGCCTGCCGGGTGAGTGGGGGCCAGGAGCCAGCCCAAGGATGGGGAGACATTCCCACAACATCCCCCCTACTAAGGGCCTCCCTGAGCCAGGGCAGGGGGGCTTGGGTCACTGGCAGAGCTGCACCCAGCACCCCGAGTTCTGTGGCACCTGCCCATACCTGTTTGTTGAGGCATGAGGAGGGGTGGTCAGGTCTCCAGATGCTGTTCCTTCTTGTCTCATGGAGGAGCCCCAGGGGTCCCCAGCCTGCCCAGCCCATCCCTGCTACTCACTGGCAGCCCCGCCCCATGTCTGAGCCGTCTCTCACCACCCTGTGGCCCTGGCTTACCAGTAGCAGGGACCGAGCAAGTCTTTCTGCCCCCACTGTCCCCACAGTACGTGTCAGAAGTGGTGATTGGAGCCCCGTACGCGGTCACAGCAGAGCTCCTAAGTCACTTCAAGGTGAGGCTCCGCATGGGCTCACCTCGTTCCCTCTGTTCACCTCTGTTCCTGCATGGGCTGGGAATGCAGGCTGGCTGTGGGCTCCTAGGCGGGGCCCAGGAGGTACCTGGGCTGAGGAAAGGGCAGGGTCAGCTCTCCCAACCCCCGGGGCCTGTGCTGGGCTGTGGGTGGCGACGGCCGCTGCCTCCCCGGGGAGGGCTCCTGACCCCACTCCTTCTCCAGGTGGACCTGGTGTGTCACGGCAAGACAGAAATTATCCCTGACAGGGATGGCTCCGACCCATACCAGGTGGGTCATGCTGGCCCTTGCTGGGCACAGGGGTTGCCATTGGCACCTCCCAGCCATTTAATGACTCACTGTGCCTGCCTGGGAAACGGGCATGGTGGCGCAGCTGCTCCGACTGCACCACTCCCATGGGACCCTGGGCGCTGGTCTCCCTCTGGGGCAGGGCATCAGATGGGTCTTGGGGAGGTCAGCAGGGACCTTCATCCCGCTCCTCCTCTCTGGACCCCCAGGAGCCCAAGAGAAGGGGCATCTTCCGTCAGATTGACAGTGGCAGCAACCTCACCACAGACCTCATCGTCCAGCGGATCATCACCAACAGGTGCAGTTGGGTGGGGGCACCTCGGAGCCGCCTCATGGGCGCTCTCCGCTAGACTTACCGTGCCCTCCCCCTCGGAGCCGCCTCATGGGCGCTCTCTGCTAGACTTACCCTGCCCTCTCAGGTTGGAGTATGAGGCGCGAAACCAGAAGAAGGAAGCCAAGGAGCTGGCCTTCCTGGAGGCTGCCAGGCAGCAGGCGGCACAGCCCCTGGGGGAGCGCGATGGTGACTTCTAACCTGGCAGAGGCCCTGGCCGGCCCTCCCCCTGCTCTGCTTCTGCGCCTTCTGCGTTTGGACATAGGACTCTGCAGGGCCGCCCTCTCTAACTGGCCTGGCTCTGGAAGGGCTGGTGAGGACTCTGCCTCCTTGCCTGCCTACAAGGTGCCTGGTTTGCAGCAGGCTCTCCGCTCTTTCCAGCAAAGCTGCTCAGAGAGGGTGTCCAGCACAGTGGAGAGGCCGGAAGTGAGACGGGCAGACGGCACCTGCAGCCTGAAACGCACCGCTCCTGCGTGCGCCCCCACCTGGTCCCCGGATGCCCCCACCACCTGGACAGAGGCCACACTGACTGCCCACCCAGCTGTGGCGGGAGGTGCAGAGCAGAGGGCTTTAGGGAGCAGTGACTGCGGTCACCCCTTTAGTTCTCTGGGTGTAGACCACACCACCTCCCACTGGGCACCCCCCAACACGGTGTCCTGCCACCCAGCGCCTGGCTCCAGGAAAACACGCTTGCCTTCCTTCCCGGCAGCTTCGCCACTCTCCTTATGGACTCTGTTCTGTTTGTACATGGCTGACGGAAATCTCTTTGGTACAACCGAATAAAGCCTGGTGGCAGTGCTGCGCGGGGCTCCCAGCCCTGCTGGGAAGGACCAGGGAACCACTCAGCAAGGAGACCCTCTTGGCCCTGCCCCCACCATGCACCCAGCAGCCGGGAGTGCAGCGGGCAGCCTGGCAGTGAGTGAAACCCAGGCCTCCAGCCCTCCAAAGCCTGGGGCCACCCCCTGTAGCAGGCGATGCTAGAATAAGGAGGAGAGCCAGAGCTGAGGCTCCTTGCCCCTTGGCCCCTCCAGGGGCCATGGGATCTCTGTCTCCCACACCCCTGTCACGGCCCGCCTGGAGCAGCCCAGAGGCCGAAGAGGTTCTTACTGCAGCCTCCGGGAGGTGTCTAGGGAGGCCATAGATTGCCTGGTCTCGCCGCATTCAAAATGAGGCTTATGATCAGTACTTTTTTCAGCCCCACATTCCTCTCCAGAATGGCCTCTGCCCTACAGCACCTGGCCCATGTGGCACCCCATGGGCCTGTCCTCTGCTGTTGTGAGGTCGACCTCACGACCCAGCACAGGAGCTGGAGGCGAGGTGCACGCGAGGCTCTCCACAGCCCAGGAAGGCAGCCTGTCACCCTGCTCTCCGAGCCAGGGGCCAAGGTGTGGGGGGCACAGGCCATCCTCATCCTGCCAGGCCCCCGCTTTCAGGAGTGGGGTGGTGCCAATGCTCCCACTCAGAACCCTGGACTGCGGGGTCCCCTGAGCAGAGGGACCAGCCAGTTCCCCATAGACAGATTGGTGCTGGACAGGGGCTGCCTGGGCCCCAGGCTTGGGGAGGGTAGAAAGGCCCTGCAGTGCTGCTGCCTGGGCCCGGAGGTGGGCCTGGCCCCGTAGCAGCATTGGAGGCCAGAGCCCAAGCCAGTTCCGGAGTCACACCCAACGGCGGAGGGAGAACCTACCCATCTCCCACCTTCAGCTCTGGGGAGGCATGCTCTGGGCCTCTGGAGCCAGGGCTCAGGCCCCCAACTCTCCTCCTTGCCCCTGCACCCTCGGACTTGGCCTGGCCAGAAGGGATGGGGGCAAGAGGAAGGCAGCCAGGGGCTCCAGCCCATGCCCTCACAGATTTGGCTCTCGAGTTGGGGAGCGAAGGGCTGGGGGAGGACACTGGGAACCGGGCCAGCCGTGGCCCTGCACTTCCCCCAGGGAGCACCAAGGCTAGGCGCGGCTTCACCGCGGGGCTGGGTCGTGGCCAGCTTCGCCCCTGGGTCTGAAGACCTCTGGGCGGCCCAGGCCAACCTTGCCCTGCCGCCGCACACTCGGCTGCCTTCTCATACCCAGGCTTGGGGATTTCCAGGTCCCGTTCCCCTCGTGGCCTGGCTGCCAGTCCTCCAGCACCCCTCACTCCGAGGCCGCCTCATTTATTTATTCGTTTGCCATTAACTGCGGGGTGAGCGGAGTAGGGGAGACCTGGGGCGCCATCCCGCGCCGGAGGGGCCTGGGGTCACCGAGTGGGACGGTGGGGGCGGGGGGCCCCCAGCGGTGCCAGGAGAGGTCCGGGCTCAGGCGGCGAGGCAGTCGGCTGCGCGCAGGGACAGGAAGACGTTCGCCTTGCACTGGTAGGTCCCGCGGCCGTCGGGGAGCCGCTCGCACCTCTGCAGGTTTGGGGCGACGTCCTGGACGCACACAGCCTGGGGGGCAGGCAAGCAAAGGCTGAGGGGCCGCCGCACCCCCACCCACGTCCTGCCGCCGCCCCCCATCAGTCCCCGGCACGCCGGACTCACGAGGCTCCGCAGCCTGGGGTGCAGTTGCAGCTCCGGGGAGGCGCCGGCCCCGCCCGGGGGTTCCGCCCCTCTGTAGGGCTGGGAGCGCCGCGCGTACGGGGACCTGCGGAGGCCGGACAGCAGCCCCGCGGCGCGGCCCACCGAGTAGGAGCTGTGCCCCGCCGCTGGCTTGTACCACGCGAGGCCAGGCGGCGCCAGCAGCAGGCACAGCGCCAGGGCGGCGGCCGCCAGTGTCGCGGACCGGGCCATGGGGACGCCGGCTGACTGGTGGGCGGCGGCGTCCGGGCTCGGAGCAGCCACCGCCTGGGCCGCCTTATATCTGCGGCGAGGGCGGGCCGAGGCTGCGGAGGGCCGGGAGGGGCGGCGGGCGGGCTGGGGTGCAGCGGGCGCGCGCGGAGGAGCCGTCGCACCTCCGCATCCCAAAGGAACCAGCCGCGCGGGCGAGCGCTGGAGGCGCGCAAGGATCTGGCGCTTGGTGGGAGCCCAACGCCCCCTCAAGCTCCCCACCCATGCCGCTCGCGCCCTTCAGGCCCGGCTTGCGTGGGCCGCAGTGGCAGCAGGGGAGGGCCCACGGGCGCCCAGCCCTAGGAGTCGTCCCCCAGGCAATCCCCAGTACTCCTGATGCTGGAGAGCCAGCCACACTGCACAGTGCCCCGGGGGCGGTTTCTACCACCCTAAGGGGTATTCTTGGCTCCAGGCATCAGAGTCCATGTGGCTTGTGGGGCCCTCATTTCTTTCATGCCCACTGGGGAAGGTTCCACCAGCAGGGCTGTTACTGGCGGGGTCCTCTGGGAGGGGGGCAAGAAGGCCAGCCACACCAAGGCACTGGAGCTCCACGACTCCTGGCCTTCGATTGGAGGCCCCTCTCTGCCAGCTCTGCCCCTTGGGGGGCACCAGGCAGGACTGCCAGCCGCTCTCCTGGCAGGTGACATCAGCCTTCAAGCTCACTGTGCCCTCACCATTTCATGCTCCCCCAAGGTCCTGGTCATGTCTTCTCTTGGGTATCTTCCCAGGACAGGCACTGGCACTGGAGCCCTGGCACTTGTTTCTGGGTTCCATGCTTCCCAGGTGTGATGGTGAATGCTGAGTGTCAGCTTGACTGGATTGAAGGATGCAAAGTATTGTCACTGGGTGTGTCTGTGAGGGTGTTGCCAGAGGAGATTCCCATTTGAGTCAGTGGGCTGGGAGAGGCAGACCCACCCTCAATCCAGGTGGGCACCACCTAATCGGCTGCCAGCACAGCCAGGATACAAGCAGGCAGAGGAACGTGGAAAGACTAGACTGGCTGAATCTGGCCTCCATCTTTCTCCCATGCTGGATGCTTCCCGCCCTCGCACGTCGGCCTCCAGGTTCTTCAGCTTTTGGACTCTCGGACCTACACCAGTGGCTTGCCAGGGGCTCTGCAGCCTTTGGCCACAGGATGAAGGCTGCACTATCGGCTTCTCTACTTTTGTTTTGGGACTCAGACTGGCTTCCTTGCTCCTCACCTTGCACATGGCTTATTGTGGGACTTCACCTTGTGATCACGTGAGTCAATACTCCCAATAAACTCTTCATATATACTCTTCATATAGAGTCCTGTCTCTCTAGAGAACCCTGACACAGATTTCAGGTGAGGCCTGGTCTACTCCTCAGGTTGCTGTGAGGAAGGGTCAAGAGACACTGGGCACGGGTCACTGGCCCCATGAATGCCAAGGGCTCCCTAGGTTACTGGAGACACAGCCTGTGCTCTGTCCAGAAGCAGCCTGAGATGCCGGGGCTGCCACTCCCCCAGCGGCCCCTTCCCACCACGATTGTGGGGAGCAGAGGCACACAAAGGAGCCTCCCAGGGCCACCTTTCCCTAGGAAGGGAAGCCTCAGACGTGTGGACACACTTCCCAGTGTCAGGACACTGATCCCTACACTGTGGGAGGCCCAGCCCCGCTGCAGACAGTCCCAGTGAGAACAATGGACGCCCACTCAGAGATGGTGGCCTTCAGTCTGGAGGCGCCACAAGCAGTGGCCGCCAGCTTTGCACAGCCAGGGTCCCTCAGAGCCAGCCTGAGGGAGGGTCCCAGGGCCGCCGCCGGCAATCCAGCAGGCAAGAGCATGCCTGAAGAGCATGCCCCAGGCTCTACCGTCTGATCCTGCTCCTTCTCCTCCCAGTCATGACTCAGGGTTTGACGAGGGCCTTGGCGTTTCACGGAGATGTTTATTCATGAGAGTTTTCATATCAAAACACACCGAGACCACATCTATATGCCGAGAACACAGGCACCCAGAGGCCTCCAGCAAGATTTGAGTAGTTTAATGAGTTTTCACTTATTGGATAAAAGTGTCAACATAGTGATGGCAAAACAAACGCAGCTCCAGCCCTTGTTTCCACCTTGTTGCAGCTCAGGGGCGCTGTCCCCAGCAGCCATCGGCGCCAGCATGAGGAAGGAGTCTCAGGATGCCCCTCCAGCGAGAGCCAGGTCGGGCCTCACTCCTTGAACTTCCATTCCTGGCGGCACATGGGGCAGTGCTGCTGCACCTGCTGTGCGTGCAGCCACTTGAGGATGCAATGCATGTGGAAGCAGTGGGAGCACTGGCCCCACACCAGCGGGCAGTCGTCGCCGGGCACCTTGCCTACGGAGGGGAGGTGGGGAAAAGGACAGGCATGACCAGGCTGGACACAGAGCATGTGACAAGCCAGGCAGGGGTGCAGGTAGGGACCCTGGGCAGTGGCTCCAGCACTGCAGCCTCTCATGTTTCAGAGAAGCCGAAATCAGGAGTGTTACCCAATCGGTCTCCTGACCAGCCCGCCCCCAGGCGAAGACCAGCAATGACCAAGGGACACCGGACATGCGGCCTCCACCCGGGGCAACCGCAGCAGGCGCCTCCCCTCACCCAGGCTCATCATGCTCAGTGGGGAGCCCAGGGGCCTCTCTGAGGAGGTGGCGCTCTGGCCTAGCCCACCCTGTGTCCCCTGTGCTTGAGGCTGGGGAAAAAGGGCAATGTCTGACCTACAGGCCCTGGGCCCATCTGCAGACACTTGATCTGTGATGCCAAAAAGGTCACATGAATGGTCAAGGCACCAAGGAGACGTGCATCTGAGTAGTGAACTGGTCTCTTGATCAAGGGCAGGAGGGGTGGGGTCTGGGGACCTAGAAGACTCTTCCCTAGACATCAGGGATCCGGTGTGCTGCCCAGGCGTTGGGGAAGCTGTGTTGATGGGCACCTGTGGATGGGCCCTGCCTCCCAGGACAGGCACAGGCTGCGGGCACCAGCCCAAACACCTAGAAATGCTTTCTCCATGGAGAGGACCTGACACAGAGAGGGATGCTTGTATCAGCCATGATCAAGAGAAATGAGTGTCCCTGATCTCCAAGAGCCTGGAAACCCCTGAGGAACAGCTGCTGCCAACAGAGCACAGCAAGTCCCAGCCCCAGCCCCACGGCAGGGTCGGCCTGGCATTGTGGAGCTGGAGCTCGTGGCCACCCTCCTGTCCTGGCAGCGCCGGCCCCACGGCATGCCCACTCCCAGCCCTGGGAGGACCTGCCCGTGGGGGTTTCTGGCCTCAGCACAACTCTGCTTGATATCGGCCCTTTCAAATGAGAGCTGAAGCCTGCTAGCCCCCTGAGGAGAGGGGTCTGGGCCACTCTGAGTACTCGGGGGAGGCCTCGTTTAGTCAAAGGTGTCACTTCGTTCTAGTGCATTCCCCACCCGAAGCCGGCCTGGGGTGTCTGATGAGTCCGCAGATGCACTGAGGGTGACTCATTCCAGGACCTGCTGGTCTCCTGATTGCATTTTTTTAAATTAAAACTCCTCTCGGCAAAACTGCACTGCCACCAGAGTCCCCTGGGATGCGGGATGGACTCATTGTTTACCAGCCTCGGGCTCCCACGGTCTTTGTTGAATGAACTTAGTCACTCTGAATTTTTCACAGGAGTTCAATTTTAGCAAAAGAAACCTGGTGCTGCTTAGTATGGAAGCACATTGGACTCGTCAAACGCTTTGCGCGTTAACACTGACTCACTATGACTTAACCATCAGCAGGTCCAAAAATTAGACTCTCAACTCCTGAGTCTCTGCAGCCAACAGGCCCCATGTTAACAAAGCCTGAGCACACTGTGTCAGCGGAGACATGCTGAGTGTTCAGGGCAACACCCTCTGGATGCCCCATCACAGGCCCAGCTGGCATGCTGCAGGGCGGGCTCTGCAGGCTGCCTGTGGACCCACCACTGCAGTCACTTGGGGGCTACCTAGCACCACCTCTAATCCACAGGATTCACCACCCACATCTGGCCCACGGATGCAGCCAGACGAGGTGTGGACACATGGTTCGGAGGAATTTCAGAAGTTAAGCTGCTGCTCCAGAAGTCGAATGCCTGCCCTCAGGGCATCCCACGCACTCTTTGTTACATCCTTAAGAGCAATTTAAAAGAGATCAAATAAAACTGTGCCTTGTGAATTTAGTTATTAACCTAATTAGCTATTAACTACAAATCCAATCAGGTAGAGTCAATCAATAATTTCCTAAGATTACACCCTACCCGTTTGATTAAATGAGGATTAATTCCTGAGTGATGAGATTTCTATTTAGCTAGGGCCAATGTAAAAGTTAAGCCTAGAATAAAAAGTATTTGTACGGGCCAGGCGCCACACCTATAATCCCAGCACTTTGGGAGGCTGTGGCAGGACAGAGCCAAGAGTTTGAGACCAGCCTGGGAAACATAGTGAGACTCCATTTCCACAAAAAAAATTAAAAATTTATGTAGTTTTGTTCAGGCATGGTGGCTCACGTCTGTAATCCCAGCACTTTGGTATGCCAAGGCAGGCAGATCCCTTGAGCCCAGGAGTTCAAGACTAGCCTTGGCAACATAGCAAAACCCTGTCTCTACAAAAAATAAAAAAATAAAAAATTAGCCAGGCATTGTGGAGCATGCCTGTGGTCCCAGCTACTTGAGAGGTGGAGGTGGGAGGATCACTTGAGCTGAGGAATTGAAGGCTACAGTGAGCTATGATTTTGCCACACTGCACTGCCGCCTGGGTGACAGCAAGACCCTGTCTCAAAAAAAAAAAATTGTACTAAGATTCAGTCATCTCAATTTCACCTTAAGAAGCAAAGACAGGGGCGGGTGCAGTGGCTCACACCTGTAATCCTGGTACTTTGGGAGGCCGAGGTGGACGGATCACCTGAGGTCAGGAGTTTTAAGACCAGCCCGGCCAACATGGTGAAACCCTGTCTCTGCTAAAAATACAACAAGGGCTGGGCGCAGTGGCTCATGCCTGTAATCCCAGCACTTTGGGAGGCTGAGGTGGGCGGATCACGAGGTCAAGAGATCGAGACCATCCTGGCCAACATGGTGAAACCCCATTTCTGTTAAAACTACAAAAATTAGCTGGGCATGGCGGCGAGCGCCTGTAGTCCCAGCTATTCGGAAAGCTGAGGCAGGAGAATCACTTGAACTAGGGAGGCGGAAGTTGCAGTGAGCCAAGATCGTGCCACTGCACTCCAGCCCTGGTGACAGAGTGAGACTCTGTCTCGAAAATAAATAAATAAATAAAAATAAAAATACAACAAATTAGCTGGCTGTGGTGGTGCATGCCTGTAATCCCAGCTACTTGGGAGGCTGAGGCCGGAGAATCCTTTGAACTCAGAAGGGTGGGGGTTGCGGTGAGCTGAGATGGTGCCATTGCACTCCAGTCTGAGCAACAGGGCAAGACTCTATCTCAAAAAAAAAAAAAAAAAAAAAAAAAAAAAAAAGCAAAGGAGGCAGATGAGTGTGGTGGTATGCTACTTGGGAGGCTGAGACAGTAGGATGGCTGGAGCCCAGGAGTTCACGTCCAGCTTGGGCAACACAGTGAGACCCTGTCAATCAATATGGGCATGCACCTGGCCCTACAAAAATACGCCTGGTTACTTGGGGTAGTGAGTAGCTTCTCGGTCCTCCCCATTCCCCACTGTCCTCTCCATTCCCCACTGTCCTCTGGGGAGTTCTTCTTGTCCTCCCTGGGCAAAACCTTGACCCTTGCTTCTGCTTTACGCTCATTTCGGTCTCATGAAAAACCATTTCGCTGATGCAAAACTCTGCTTTCAACCTAAACATAATCAAACATTTCCACTTTTTTTCTTTTTTTTTGAGATGGAGTTTCACTCTTGTTGCCCAGGCTGGAGTGCAATGGTGCGATCTTGGCTCACCACAACATCTGCCTCCCAGGTTCAAGCGATTCTTTTGCCTCAGCCTCCTGAGTAGCTGGGATTACAGGCATGCACCACCATGCCCGGCTACTTTTTTGTATTTTTAGTAGAGACGGGATTTTACCATGTTGGCCAGGCTGGTCTCAAACTCCTGACCTCAGGTGATCCATCCACCTCGGCCTCCCAAAGTGCTGGGATTACAGGCACCTGCCACCATGCCCGGCTAATTTTTTTGGATTTTTAGTAGAGTCGGGGTTTTGCCATGTTGGCCAGGCTGGTCTCGAACACCTGGCCTGAAGCAATCCGCCTGCCTTGGCCTCCCAAAGTGGTGGGATTACAGGTGTGAGCCACTGCGCCTGGCCTATGCCATTCAATTTTGAGAATTTTCAAATAAAAAGTTTAAACTAATCTTTTTTTTGTTTGTTTTTTGAGATGGAGTCTTGCTCTTGGCTCACTGCAACCCCCGTCTCCCAGGCTCAAGAGATTCTCCTGCCTCAGCCTCCCCAGTAGCTGGGATTACAGGCACACGCCACACACCCAGCTAATTTTTGTATTTTTAGTAGAGATGGCGTTTCACTATGTTGGCCAGGATGGTCTCAATCTCCTGACCTTGAGATCCATCCACTTCAGCCTCCCACAGTGCTGGGATGACAAGTGTGGGCCACCACACCCTGCCTTGATCTCTTGACCCTGTGATCTGCCTACCTTGGCCTCCCACAGTGCTAGGATGACAGGTGTGAGCCACCGTGCCGGCCTCCATCTCTTGACCTTGTGATCCGCCCGCCTCGGCCTCCCACAGTGCTGGAATAACAGGCGTGGGCCGCCATGCCGGCCTCCATCTCTTGACCTTGTGATCTGCCCGCCCAGACTCTAATCTCTTTTTAATCCCACGTATTTCACAGCTGAGTTTCATCCTATGGAGTCTGTGACAGGATCTTTATATAAACATGGGTACCAACCACCTGGCTTTTTTTCTATCAACTTTTCTTCATGAGATGAAAATGAAAATGTTGGGGGGGGCACGGTGGTTCGCGCCTGTAATCCCATCCCTTTGGGAGGCTGAGGCGGGTGGATCACCTGAGGTTGACAGTTCGAGACCAGCCTAACATGGAGAAAGCCTGTCTCTACTAAAAAATACAAAATTAGCCGGGTGTAGTGGCACATGCCTGTGATCCCAGGTACTTGGAAGGCTGAGGCAGGAGAATCGCTTGAGCCCAGGAGGCGGAGGTTGCAGTGAGCCGAGATCGCGCCATTGCACTCCAGCCTGGGCAACAAGAGTGAAACTCCATCTCAAAAAAAAAAAAAAAAAAAAAGAAAAGAAAGAAAGAAAAGAAAATAAAAATGTGGGCCAGGCAAAGTGGCTCACACCTGTAATCCCAGCACTTTGGAAGGCTGAAGCGGGCAGGTCACCTGAGGTCAGGAGTTCAAGGCCAGCCTAGCCAACAAGGCAAAACCCCGTCTCTACTAAAAATAAAAAAATTAGCCCAGCATGGTGGCACATGCCTGTAATCCCAGCTGCTTGGAAGGCTGAGGCAGGAGAACCGTTTGAACCCGGGAGGCAGAGGTTGCGGCAAGCCGAGATCGCGCCATTGCACTCCAGCCTGGGAAACAAGATCGAAACTCGGTCTCAAAAAAAAAAAAAAAAAAAGAAAATGAAACTGGGTATTTCGTGCAGGTATTTAACAGGAGCTACTGAGGCTAGTCCAGCAGGCAGCAGACAGCACAGAGGGGACACTCACAGTCGGGGCCGCTCAGACAGCATGGAGGGGACACTCACAGTCAGGGCAGCATCCGTTAAATGCCATCCTGCAGATGCCACAGTTCTCATCGTTGGCCACCCAGAGCCAAGTGGCCACGCCGTTCCAGCACTTAATCTTCACCTTCATGGCAGCAGAGCCTGCGGCGGAGGGAACAGGACGACTGGCTAAATTGAGTCTGCAGAGCTAGAACGTTTAGGCACCAACACAGGTATAAGCCTGCCACAGTGCAGTCCCAGCTACTCAGGGGGCCAAGGCAGGAAGATCATACCGGCCCAGGAGTCCGAACCCAGCCTGGGAAACATCGTGAGCCCTGTTTCTATTTTATTTTACTTTTATTTTTATTAATTTTTTTTTTTTGAGACAGAGTCTCACTCTGTCACCCAGGCTGTAGTGCAGTGGCATGATCTCAGCTCATTTCTTGTGCTTCGGCCTCCTGAGTAGCTGAGGCTATAGGCACGTGACTCCACGCCCGACTAATTTTTGTATTTTTAGTAGTCGAGGTTTCACCATGTAGGCCAGGCTGGTCTTGAACTCCTGGCCTCAAGCGATCTGCCACTGCGGCCTCCCAAAGTGCTGGGATTACAGGCGTGAACCCCTATGCCCTGCTATGAGCCCCGTTTCTATTAAAACAAATAACAAGTAAAGGGCTCTGGGCCCAGAGGGTCAGGGCTGCAGGGGAGCTACGGGAGAACAGCAAGCCCCAGCAGCAATCCGCTTTGTGGCTCACACCTGTGATCCCAGCACTCTGGGAGGCCAACTCGGGAGGATCGCCTGAGCTCAGGAGTTTGAGACCAGCCTGTGTAACACAGTGAGACTGAGTCTCTACCAAAAAAAAAAAAAAAAAAAAAGGAAAAAAAAGAACTATCTGTGAGGTTTCTTTAGCCATCTAGAGAAAGGGCACACTCTTCTCTCCAAGGGAAGGGACTCAGCTCCTTACGGACAAGGAGATCACATTTGGGAGCACAGGACAGTCAGGAGTTTGGTTTTACCTCACGTTGAGGATATCTTCAAAGATCTCAAATGGGCCTGGCCAACATGACGAAACTCCGTCTCTACAAAAAATACAAAAAAATTAGCCGCAGGTGGTGGCTCATGCTTGTAATCCCAGCACTTTGGGAGGCCGAGGAGGGTGGATCACTTGAGGTCAGGAGTTCGAGACCAACCTGGCCAACATGGTGAAACCCCATCTCTACCAAAAAAACAAAAATTAGAGGCCAGGCGTAGTGGCTCACGCCTGTAATCCCAGCACTTTGGGAGGCTGAGGCAGGCAGATCACAAGGTCAGGAGTTCAAGACCAGCCTGGCCAACATACTGAAACCCTGTCTCTACTAAAAATACAAAAAATTAGCCGGGTGTGGTGGTGGGCAACTGTAATCCCAGCTACTCGGGAGGGTGAGGCAAGAGAATCACTTGAACCTGGGAGGCGGAGGTTGCAGCGAGCTGAGATCACGCCAGCTCCCAGCTCTATTCGGGAAGCTGAGCCACAGGAATCACTTGGACCTGGGAGGCAGAGATTGCAGTGAGCCGAGATCGCACCACTGCACTCCAGCCTGGGCAACATAGTGGGACTGTCTCAAAAAAAAAAAAAAAAGCCAGCTGTGGTGGCGTGCACCAGCTGCCTGAGAGGCTGACGTGGGAGGATAGCTCGAGCCCAGGAGTTTGAGGCTGCAGTGAGCCAAGATCACACCACTGCACTCCACTCTGGGTGACGGAGGGAGACCCTGACTCAAAAAACAAAAACAAAAGCAAGTATCTCAAAACAACTTAAAATCCATGAAATGGGCTGGGTGTGGTGGCTCATGCCTGTAATCCCAGCACTTTGGGAGGCCAAGGCGGGCGGATCATCTGAGGTCAGGAGTTCAAGACCACCCTGGCCAACATGGCGAAACCCTGTCTCTATTAAAAATACAAACATTAGCCAGGTATGGTGGCACGTGCCTGTAGTCCCAGCTACTCGGGAGGCTGCCGCTGGAGACTCGCTTGAACCCAGGAGGCAGAGGTTGCAGTGAGCCGAGATCGCCCCACTGCACTCCAGCCTGGGCGACAGAATGAGACTGCCTCAAAAAAAAAAAAAAAAAATCAATGAAATGGCACACTGGTTTTCATTAATAAGTTGCAAAAATAATTTTTTTTTGGAGACAGGGTCTGGCTCTGTCGCCCAGGCTGGAGTGCAGTGGTGCCACCACGGCTCACTGCAGCCTCGACCTCCTGGGCTCAAGCAATCCTCCCACCTCGGCCTCCCAAGTAGCTGGTAGTACAGAAGTGCACCACCATGCCCAGCTCATTTTTTTTTTTAGAGATGGGGGTCTCACGATGTTGCCCCGGCTGGTCTCAAACTCCTGGGCTGAAGCGAACCTCTTGCCTCGGCCTCCCAAAGTGCTGGGATTACAGGCGTGAGGCCCGCGCCCGGCCCGCAAGAAAACTTGTAAAGGATATGACTGGCAAAATGTGACAGTGCAGACTTGGGGGGGCTGCAGGTGGAGACCAAAAAACCAACCCGCAGCTCGTCTGCAGCGGCTGCCGCCCGCCGAAGCCGCGCCCGCCGGACCCCACCGCGAGCCGAGCGCACAGTCCTGGGCGGGAGCGGAAACAAGGACTCCCAGCAGCTCCCAGGCACCCGCCGCGCCCGTAGCGCCCCCAGCGCCCCCAGCCCTGGCCGATCGGGCGGAGCGTGCGGGGAGGGAGGGGCGCGTAGGCTCCGCCTCCAACGGCCGCCGCCCCACCCCCTGCGCCCTCGCACCTTCGCCAACCTAATCACGCACCGCCCTACCCGCCCTTCCGTTGGCAGCGCCGGCGTCCGCGCGGGAAGGTATAAAAACGACCACAGTCGCGGCCCGACTCCCTCAACAGCGCCCGCCGAGTCTCGCACGCCAGTGCGCACGCGCCTCCCCGCCTCACCCCGTCCCGCGCGCGCAGCCGTCCGCCAGCGGCCAATCAGCAGCCGCTCCGAGGCCGTGGCACCGGAAGGCCTCACGCGGCGCCGGAAGTGACGTGCCGGCGTGCTGACGCGCGGGCTCGAGCCGATGCCCGATTCCGCGCCCGCCATGGCCGACAAAATGGACATGTCTCTGGACGACATCATTAAACTGAACCGGAGCCAGCGAGGCGGCCGGGGCGGGGGCCGGGGCCGCGGCCGGGCCGGCTCCCAGGGCGGCCGCGGCGGTGGGGCGCAGGCCGCCGCGCGAGTGAATCGAGGCGGCGGGCCCATCCGGAACCGGCCGGCCATCGCCCGCGGCGCGGCCGGCGGAGGCGGCAGGAACCGACCGGCGCCCTACAGCAGGGTGAGTGCGGAGGCCGGCCGCGCCGGAGAGTGGGAGGGGGCCAGCCGGGGCTGGGGCCGGGGCCGCTCGCGGCGGAGACCCGGGCCGGCGGGTGGATAAGGCTGGTGGAGCGGCCGCCCGGAGGTCCGGAGGGTGCGTGTGGGCGCGGAGGGGGTGGTGGGCGGGAGCGAGGTCGTTCTTTCGGGGTCCGGTCCCGGAGGCTGAGACCCTTCCCAGCTCTTTGTTTGTTCCGGACGTTGGGGCCTCGTGGCAGGAGAGGAGGGGACGCTGGGCGCGGCACAGGCGGCGGGAAGTTAGTCTAAGGGAACTGAAGTTGTGCGGCCGCGGTGGGACCGTGCGGCCTCGGGCTGGGGCAGCTGCAGCGCCGGAGGGAGCGCTGGCGGCCCCGTTTCGGCCGGATCCTCTCAGGCCGGGAAGAGGAAGGGTCCGGAGTAGCCGTGAGGGTCAGGAAAGCCCTGGACTGAGACTCACAGATCTGCTCTTGTTGCGGTTTTTTTTTCAGCCAAAACAACTTCCCGACAAGTGGCAGCACGATCTTTTCGACAGTGGCTTCGGCGGTGGTGCCGGCGTGGAGACAGGTGGGAAACTGCTGGTGTCCAATCTGGATTTTGGAGTCTCAGACGCCGATATTCAGGTAAGAGACGAGGGCTTCTCGGTGAGCCGTTCGCCCTGCACAGGACGGATCGTGATTTTGGGGATGTGGCCCTGAGTCCCCTTCCCGCCTTAGCGAAGGGAGCCCTCCCAGCTCTGAAGGGCTGCAGGACAGACCCAGTGCTAGTAAAGCCGGGGTCAGTGCGCAGGCAGGTGCGAGCCTAGCTGAGCCTGAGGAACTGCTGCTGTTAGTCTGAAGATGGGTTCTGTGAGTGAAAATCCCCTGCCAGGGCTTCCAGTTTCTAACAGGGACAAAGACTGACCAAATGTGAGTGGTTTTTGGCTGTTAGACCCAGCCCAGTTGCTTTTTAAATTTTGTGCCTGTCTTAGTGGGTTAATGTGAGAAAAAGAATCTTCTTTATGTATCTTGTGAAGCACAGGGAGTCTGTTTTTCTGGCTCTGTTTGCCTTGAGTACTGTCTTATAAAGACCTTGTACGCTGTGGTTTTATCACTCCCCACCGCCGTGTCCCGTCAGTGACATGACTCTCAAATCCATCTTTGGTTGAAGCTTTTCTTTTTTAAAAAAAGAAAAATTGAATCCCAATGGCATTTCAACTTGTTTTCTGGTTAAGAAATGACTTTTTGGGAATCAGTTTTGGAGATGGCTGGGCAGGGTTCAGTTGCCCACAGCCCAGCCATTTGCCTTGGGAGGACAGAGTAGGGCCAGTGAGCACTCACAGTGTCTCAACACTTTTTTTAAGGTGGTTTCTAGCATCCACTGGAAACCGCTTTTGGTGAACTCCAGTTCCCGCTGTGTGCCTGCGGCCGGAGTATCCCCACACTCTGGGTTCCCTCTCCAACTCCCAGCCTGCCTGAGGTCAGGGCAGTTTCCATGACAGCGCTTGACTTCAGACTTTGCCGCAGGCTTGAGTAGGAGGAGAGGGAAAGGTGAGCCAGAATCTGCCTTTGGGGGAGGGGCTGGGGTCAGGGCTCCCGAATCTACAGGCCCTTCAAGCTGGTCTGATATCGGACTGCTTCCCTTGCTCTTGATTTTGGCCTTTACCGTTTCTTGGAACAGCCCTTGGGTGTGTTGTACATTTTCCTTTGTTGAAGAGGATAGTGGCTTAATTTTGTGCCCGTTGCTAGTGGGCTTTGCAGCTTCCTCTACCTGCATCGTGGTACACGTGTCAGGTCCCCACAATGGCAGGAGCCCTCAGACCCAGGTGCTCTTGGAAGTTGCTGTCCCTCCTGCCCCGCCCTTCCCTCATTTCCCGTTAACCACTGTCCTGCCTCCCAGAGAACCACCCCCAAAGCAACTCACGCTTCCAGGGCCTGTCCCTGGGCCACCAGAAGGAACGCAGTTTTGTTGCTTTTCTGACAACTGCTCTCTGCAACTCCCAGGAACTCTTTGCTGAATTTGGAACGCTGAAGAAGGCGGCTGTGCACTATGATCGCTCTGGTCGCAGCTTAGGAACAGCAGACGTGCACTTTGAGCGGAAGGCAGATGCCCTGAAGGCCATGAAGCAGTACAACGGCGTCCCTCTGGATGGTGAGTCTGGGGGTGGACCCACGCTGACTGTGGGGCTTGTGGAGTTTGGGGCTGGCACCTGTCCAGGTAGGAATATGGGGTACCCCTGTGGCTGAGGACACTTTGCATTTGCCCCTTTGTCTCTCTCTTCCATCTGCCACCTCTCATGCTGCCCCACACATCTGGACCAACCTCTTGTGAACCCCCATCCAGCAAGCTACATCCCTCCCCTCCTTCAGCTCCTTCCGGAAGATTCACTTCTGTGAAGCCTTCTCAGAACCGCCATAGTACACCTCTGAGTGCGGGGCTGTAGTCGTAAAGACAAAGGTACCGGTTCTTCTTCGTCAGGTCACCCACACCTCTCCACCCACGAGCACCCCGATACCTCAGCGAGCAGCCCACCTAGTCTGGACTGAGAAGGAGTGAGGAGGTGTTGGTGGGGTTGCTTCCTTGCCATTTTGTTCTCCCACCAGTATCTCCAGGCCATTTCCCTTGTCGGGGGCATTTGAGACGCACAGAGGCCCTTTCCAGTGTTTGCATGGAGACCAGGGTGTGGCGCCAGCTGGGTGGGTTTCAGAGCCTCTCAATAGAACGTGCCTTCTCGTATTCTTTGCCGCAGGCCGCCCCATGAACATTCAGCTTGTCACGTCACAGATTGACGCACAGCGGAGGCCTGCACAGAGGTGACTTCCGGGGCCTCTGGGGAAGGGGATTGGCCGAGGGTGAGGCTGCGTCGCTCTTAGGGTCCTTCCGGGTGTGTGAACGGTTTCGTCTTCCTTGCTAGCGTAAACAGAGGTGGCATGACTAGAAACCGTGGCGCTGGAGGTTTTGGTGGTGGTGGAGGCACCCGGAGAGGCACCCGCGGAGGCGCCCGTGGAAGAGGCAGAGGTGCCGGCAGGAATTCAAAGCAGCAGCTTTCGGCAGAGGAGCTGGATGCCCAGCTGGACGCCTATAATGCGAGAGTGAGTCCCGGGGGAGCCAGCTGGGGGCCTGGTCAAAGCCGCAGTGGGGAGCAGGCCGCCTGTGAATGCAAGCCTCTTTCTCCTCTGTGTTTCAGATGGACACCAGTTAAACAGACCAGCAAATCCGCGTGCGGAACAGGACCCAGGCGTCTCCTCTTGCTCCCTGGTTGGGGGGCGGTGGCTGGGGCTGTGCGGCCAATGATGGATTTGTTTCTTTTATGTTTTAAAATAGGATTTAAAAACTCATGTAAAGGTTTTTTTTTTTTCTTTTTTTTTTTTTTTAATTCTGAAACAGACCTGTTTTGTACCGAGTTATTTTTGGGATAAATTTTACTGGTTGCTGTTGTGGAGAAGGTGGCGTTTCCACCTTTTCCATAATAAAATAGAAATGTGTGTAGAACTGGAACTGTTTGATTCGTCCCACTGTTGGAGTCCAGGCCTGGGCCAGGATTTTGGTGTCTGTCCAGCTGGGAGGGGGTGGGAGAACCTGAGTTGGGGATGGAGGGAGCAGCCCCATCTGGTGTTGGACACCTGAAGTTGGCATGGGTTGTGGGGGTGGCGGGGGGTCCCCGCTCCTGGAGGGCCGAAGCTGCCTGTCTTCTTTCTTATCTTCTTTCCTGCCTCACACCTAACACCTTCCTCTCTAACTCACCAGGTGGGAGGACACCTTTGCCCGGGAGCCACCTGTTGACCCTTGTGCCTGTGCCTCCAGGTGAGGGGAGGTTGGGGTGGGATGGCTGCCCTGTGTGCCGTCCACAGGCTTCCCACAGCCAGAACATCTCTGGGCTGTTCCTTTCCTTCTTGTACTCTGGTTTTCAGAGAAACGTGGATTCAGCAGTTTTGACTTTGTAGTGTAATTCCTTTTTCTGTTTGTTTTTTTGTTGTTGTTTTTAACCTTGCCACGGAGCAAGGCATGAGGATCCTCTCTTAGTTGTATATTTGATGAAGTGGCTGGTGGAAGCTGTGATAATCCGTCCATTTAAGAGTGGGGCGGCTGGGCGCGGTGGCTCACGCCTGTAATCCCAGCACTTTGGGAGGCTGGGGCAGGCAGATCACCTGAGGTCAGGAGTTCAAGACCAGCCTGGCCAACATGGCGAAACCCCGTCTCTACTAAAAATACAAAATTAGCTGGGTGTGGTGGTGCATGCCTGTAATCCCAGCTACTTGGGAGGCTGAGGCTGGAGAATCGCCTGAACCAGGGAGGTGGAGGTTGCAGTGAGCCGAGATTGTGCCATTGCACTCCAGTCTGGACAACAAGAGTGAACTCCGTCTCAAAAAGGAGTAGGGCAACGCCTGATACCTGTAATCCCAGCACTTTGGGAGGTCAGGGCAGAAGGATCTCTTGAGCCCAGAAGTTCGAGACCAGCCTAGGCAACATGGCAAAACCCTATCTCTACTAAAAATACAAAAGTTAGCTGAGTGTGGTGGCGTGCTCCTGTGGTCTCAGCTATTCTAAAGGCTGAGGTGGGAGGATCGCTTGAGCCCTGGAGGTTGAGGCTGCTGTGAGCCATTATCATGCCACTGCACTCCAAGCTGGGCAGTGGAGAGAGAGCCTTGTGCCCCCTGATGCTGGGTTGGTGACAGCACTTTGAGAATGAGATGGGAAGGGGGACAAGGGAGCTCCAGAGTTCTGCCTGACCCCACTGTCCCACAGCTGGGATGTAAGGAAGCCCAGGGCAGTGGGCAGTGGTAGTGGAGAGACAGACAGGAATGCATGCCGTGTCTGCAGAAACCTTTCCCTGCACCAGCGGCTCCTGCGGGCACACATCCCAGGCTAAGCTTGCTTCCACGCTGGGATGGGCCTGGCTGAGTCATGGGCAAGGGAGTGTGACTAAGGGTGGTTCTTTCGCTGTCGGTCACAGATGTCACTACAGATCAGCAGCTGCCATCTAAGCA
The DNA here is from genome assembly GCF_000001405.40 of Homo sapiens. Classification (NCBI taxonomy): domain Eukaryota; kingdom Metazoa; phylum Chordata; class Mammalia; order Primates; family Hominidae; genus Homo; species Homo sapiens. The sequence goes on along the minus strand of NC_000017.11, from coordinate 81,886,344 downwards.
GCTTGCCCAATGCCAGCCAGGGCCACAGTCTAGGAACCCAGATGAACAGGATGACTAATCTTGGCCCTTCCAGAAGCCCAGTCTAGCAGGAGAAAGGATTACTAAGTCCCCAGCTGTAGTCGCTGTGAATGTGACAGAAAATGTCACCAGTGCAGTGAGTTAGAGTCAGGTTATCCCCAAGCAGGTGCCCTTGGCCCGGGCCTCGGTGTTGGAGCAAGGCCTGAGCAGGCCCATGCCAGGCAGGGGGTCTGCTCTCTGGGGCCGTGCTAGGACTGGCTCCCTGCTGCTTAGGAAGTGGAGAGGGCACCTGATGGACTGGTGTGGTCAGCCCCTGCAGGGTGTGACAAATGACAGGACTGACAAGCAGCATTGCTTTGGTTGTGCAGTAGTGGTGTAACAGGCATTTGGAGGGAGGAATGACCAGGATTTGGGACTTCCTGGCATTCTCGGGAGTGAGGGGCATGGGAATGAAGTAATATGAGGCCTTGGGGAACTGGGTGGGTAGGTGTCACTGGAGAGAAGGCCCCAGGAAGGAGCCAGCTGAGGGGCGTCAGCATTGGACAGGCTGGGCAGAGGCACCAGCTGGCCCGCAGGAGAGCGTTGCCTAGAGCCGGACCTCTCCAGTTTGTCAGCTGATAGCACGTGGACACGTCGAAGTCGTGTCCATATGTGGCATGGTCTTGGGAGGGTTGGAGGTAAAGGAAGTAGAGAGAATGATGTCATAGAAGCAACAGCTGGTATTTGCTGGGGGGCCAGTGGTGGGGTCATTGAGGCAGGTGCTGCCGAGTGGTCAAAGGAGAATGACCTGATTCTGTGCCTGTGGTGGAGGTGGGGCTGGCCATTTATAACTAGGATAGAGGCTGGGTCTGGAAGCCACCGGGGCTTCTGGTGGGCAGCAGGTCAGGTAGCTGGGCTGAGCCTCATCATACCCAATCTTCATTTCCTTATTCATAAAACACAAAACCTTATTTTACTTCCAAGGCCAGAGGACTATTTAATTTATTGTTCCAGCAGGGTGCTTGTGAGAGAAAGAAGAGCAGGGCTCTTCCACTGACTGCACAGACAGCAAGTAGACATGAGGCCTTGGCCAGCTGGGCTGTCTGGTCCCCTCTTGAAGGGTGCTGCCAGTCCTCCGGGCACAGGGCCTTGCAGGGCGGACACTCCACACTGCCCAGTGCCCTGCTGCCCCCCACATGGTGACTGAGTGATGCTTTGCTCAGACAGCGAGCTATGGCTGACAAACTGAACTGGCAGCCTGTGCCCCATGGGCACTTGGGGAACCCCCTCTGCCTCTGGCTGTCCTGTGGTTCCATGGTGCCATGCACCTGTAATCCCAGCTACTCCGGAGGCTGAGGCAGGAGAATCGCTTGAACCCAGGAGGTGGAGGTTGCAGTGAGCCGAGATCGCGCCATCGCACTCCAGCCTGGGTGAAAAAGAGCACAACTCCATCTCGGGGCAAAAAAAGAAAGCACAGGGATTGGCCCAGGTTGGACACATGACTTAAGTGTCGACAAGCGAAATTACACTCAGGGTGGGGAGAAAAGGGAAGCCCTGTTCTTCCTGGTCCCTTTCCCTGGCCGGCATGGGCTGAGAGTAGGAACTGGCCAGCCCCGGGCAGGAGAGGCAGCATTCCTGTGGGACTTGGAGCTCTTCCAGGGTGGCTCATGGTCTGCCCAGCTCCGTCTTCAGCCTGAGGTCCCTGGAGAGGGTCTCGGATGTGAGCGTGCACACGCTCCCACAGTGCTCTGGTTTCTGGCTGGTGTGCACGGAGATCTAAGGAGCAGTCTACACTGGGCAGCTGATTGAATCCTGTTCAGCCTCACGTGGGTTAAAGGGCTACAGTGTTGCTCTCAGACATCCTTTTAGATCTCATGAGATGGCTATGTCTGTACCTGGCAACAGAGTTGTCATGTAAATGGTAACTTTTGGTTCTTAACATGCAGTGAACTGATGGTCTAATATAGGAAACATACAAGTGATAGGTTGCAGTGTAGCCTAATGGGAGTGGAGTGTGGGGCATGGTTGGAACTCAAGCTGCAAGAGCACGCCTCTCTCAGGTTGCACAAATGGTCAGCCAGTGTCTGAGGCTGCACCTCTGCTGGATGTTCTACATACATTTCATTTACCTCTCAGCAATCTAGGGATACAGTCTTTCATTTTAGAGGTTGTTTTTTCGTTTTTTGTTTTTTTCTTTTGAGATGGAGTTTCGTTCCTGTTTCCCAGACGTGTGTGGTGGCATGATTTCACCTCACTGCAACCTCCGCCTCCCGGGTTGAATCGATTCTCCTGCCTCAGCCTCCTGAGTAGCTGGGACTACAGGCACCCGCCACCATGCCCAGCTAGTTTTTCGTATTTTTAGTAGAGATGGGGTTTCACCGGGTTAGCCAGGATGGTCTCGATCTCCTGACCTCATGATCCGCCCAGCTGGGCCTCCCAAAGTGCTGGGATTACAGGCATGAGCCACTGCGCCCAGCCTATGGTTTTTTTTGTTTTTGTTTTTTTGAGACGGAGTCTTCCTCTGTCACACAGGCTGGAGTGCAGTGGCGCAATCTCCACTCACTGCAAGCTCCGCCTCCCAGGTTCACGCCATTCTCCTGCCTCAGCCTCCCGAGTAGCTGGGACTACAGGCGCCCGCCACCACGCCCGGCTTAATTTTTTGTATTTTTAGTAGAGACGGGGTTTCACCGTGGTCACCAGGATGGTCTCGATCTCCTGACCTCGTGATCCGCCCCCCTCGGCCTCCCAAAGTGCTGGGAATACAGGCGTGAGCCACCGCGCCCGACCGGGTTTCTTTTTTCAAGAGACAGGGTCTTGCTCTCTAGGCTGGAGTGTGGTAGCTCAATCATAGCTTACTGTAAATGCAAACTCCTGGGCTCAAGCAATCTTCCCACCTCAGCCTCCCAAGTAGCTGGGACCACAGGCACATGCCACCACGCCCAGCAAGTTTTTTTATTTTCTTTTTTTTTTTTTTTTGAGATGGAGTTTCACTCTTGTCACTTGGGCTGGAGTGCCATGGCGCAATCTCGGCTCACTGCAACCTCCGCCTCCTGGGTTCAAGCAATTCTCCTGCCTCAGTCTCCCAAGTAGCTGGGATTACAGGTACCTGCCACCTTGCCCGGTTATTTTTTTTTTCTTTTTCTTTTTTTTTTTTTTTTTGAAGCAGAGTCTTGCTCTGTTGCCCAGGATGGAGTGCAGTGGCGCGATCTCGGCTCACTGCAAGCTCCGCCTCCTGGGTTCTTGCCAATCTCCTGCCTCAGCCTCCTGAGTAGCTGGGACTACAGGCAGCAGCCACCATGCCCAGCTAGTTTTTTGTATTTTTAGTAGAGATGGGGTTCCACCTTGTTAGCCAGGATGGTCTCTATCTCCTGACCTCGTGATCTGCCCGCCTCAGCCTCCCAAAGTGCTGGGATTACAGGTGTGAGCCACTGCGCCTGTCCCCAGCCAGCATTTTTAAGGTGCATCTGTGCTGTACCATGTCTAAGACTGTTCCTTTTTATGGCCGACTACTGACATGGATATACCGCATATTTTTTTTTTGTCCATCTGTTCATGGACATTTGGGTTGTCTCCACTCCGTGGCTTTATAAGAATAATGCTGCTGTGAACATTTTTGTATACATTTTATATTAACATCTTTTCAATTCTCGAGTAGAATTGCCGGGTCATGAGGTAACTGTTTAATTTTTTGAGGAACTGCCAGACTTTTCCAAAGCAGCTGCAGCATTTTATATTTCTACCAGCAATGTATGAGGGTTCCAATTTCTCCACATTCTCACCAACACTTACCTTTTTTAGTTTAGTCATCCTACTGGGTGTGAAGTAATATCTCATTGTGATTTTGCTTTGCAGTTTCTTCTTTGTAATCTTTTTTTTAAATGTCTTTAATCTCTCTTTTTTTTTTTTTTTTTTTTTTTTTTTGAGACAGAGTCTCGCTCTGTAGCCCAGGCTGGAGTGCAGTGGTGCAATCTCAGCTCACAACAGCCTCTGCCTCCCGGGTCCCCGTTCAAGCAATTCTTCTGCTTCAGCCTCCCAAGTGGCTGGGATTACAGGCACGTGCCGCCATGCCCAGCTAATTTTTGTATTTTTAGTAGAGACAGGGTCTCACCATGTTGGCCAGGCTGGTCTTGATCTCCTGACCTTGTGATCCGCCCACCTCGGCCTCCCAAAGTGCTGGGATTACAGGTGTGAGCCACCGCGCCTGGCCCTCAATCTCTATCTTTTTTATATCTGGATTGAATAGACTTTACCATGGATAAATCTCCACCCTGGCAGATTTAGGACTTTACTTGGAAATACAGATATTCTAAATGGAATTAAATGTCCTATTATCAGTGGCATTCATCACATTCAACAAAATAGCATCATAAAAGGTTGATATTGTTGAGCGTAATGAATACCTGAACTCCAGTTACATAAAGATGAGGATCATGTCTCTTCATATTACCTTAATGTCATTACATTTTGTAGAAAAACTTGTCTCAGGCTGGGCGCAGTGGCTCACGCCTGTAATCCCGGCACATTGAGAGGCTGAGGCAGGCAGATCACAAAGTCAGGAGATCGAGACCATCCTGGCTAACATGGTGAAACCCCGTCTCTACTATAAATACAAAAAATTAGCCAGGCGTGGTGGCGGGCCCCTGTAGTCCCAGCTACTGGGGAGGCTGAGGCAGGAGAATGGCGTGAACCCAGGAGGCGGAGCTTGCAGTGAGCCAAGATTGCACCACTGCACTCCAGCCTGGGTGACAGAGCGAGACTGTGTCTCAAAAAAAAAAAGAAACTTGTCTCAAAAGTGCTATGATATTCTTCCTGAAATGGACATTGTAGCATCTCAATATCTTTTTTAAAAAACTAAATTTTTGAAAAATTGTGTTTTGAGACAAGGTCTCCCTCTGATGTCCAGGCTAGAGTGCAGTGGCGCAAACACAGCTCACTGCATCCTGGAACTCCCGGGATCAAGGGATCTCCCACCTCAGCCTCCTTAGTAGCTGGGACTACAGACACCCACCACCGCGCCTGGCTGATTTTTAAAACTTTGTATAGATGGGGTCTCACTATGTTGCCCAGGTTGGTCTTGAACTCTTGTGCTCCAGGGATCCTCCTGCCTTGGTCTCCCAAAGTGTTGGAATTACAGGCCTGAGCCACCACACCGAACATAGCCTATTAATGTCAGCCTATTTCTCTATTTATGAATTTTCTGAAGTGTTATTTTTATATTCAGATTTATAGAAGCTTTTGTCTTTTATGACCTTGACACTTTTAAAGGGTACTCTCAGCTATTTTGTAGAATGTCCCTCACACTGGGGACTCTGACCTTATGACTGGACAAGGTTTTGTTTTTTGTTTTTTTTTTTTTTTTTGAGACGGAGTCTTTCTCTGTCTTCTAAGCTGGAGTGCGGTGGTGTGATCTCAGCTCACTGCAATCTCTGCCTCCCAGGTTCAAGCGATTCTCCTTCCTCAGCCTCCTGAGTAGCTGGGATTTTAGGCACCCGCCACCACACCCGGCTAATTATTGTATTTTTATTAGAGACAAGGTTTCACCATGCTGGCCAGGCTGGTCTTGAACTCCTGACCTCATGATCCATCCGCCTTGGCCTCCCAAAAGTGCTGGGATTACAGGCCTGAGCCACCACGCCCTGCTGGTTTATTTTATTTTTTGGCATGAATACCACAGCTGGGATGTCATCTTCTCAATGCATAGTGGAGATATGCAATGTCAGTCTGTCCAACTCCTGGTCCTGTTAGTTCAGGTGGTGGCAGCGGCTGCCGGGGCTTCTCCCCTACATAGTTACTGTTTTCCCTTTGTCATCCATAAATACCTTGGGGAGATACTTCCAGACTAAGTGAATGTCTGTTTCACTTCCAAGTTTTACCCACTTTTTTTTTTTTTTTTGAGATGGAGTCTCACTTTTGCCGAGGCTGTAGTGCAATGGCGCCATCTCAGCTCACTGCAACCTCCGCCTCCCAGGTTCAAGCAATTCCCCCGTCTCAGCCTCCCAAGTAGCTGGGATTACAGGCACGCGCCACCATGCCCAGGTAATTTTTTTTATTTTTAGTAGAGACGGGGTTTCACCGTGTTGCCCAGGCTGGTCTCCAACTCCTGAGCTCAGGCAGTCCACCTGCCTCAGCCTCCCAAGGTGCTAGGATTACAGGCGTGAGCCACCGTGCCCGGCCTACCCACTAATTAATTTCAGCATCCACTGGTGGGTCTTGCAATGCAGTAATTATTAACTTAGTTTTCAAAGGTGATTTTTGCATTTTCCTCATTCCTTTGACGTTTATTAATTGGAATTCATCTCTAAGAAAGAGCAGTCCCTTCAGCTTTTTTCCCTTTTTTTTTTTTGAGACAGGGTCTTGCTCTGCGGCTCAGGCTGCAGTGCAGTGGCTCGATCACGGCTCACTGCAGCCTCGACCTCCCGGGCTCACGTGATCTCCCATCTCAGCCTCCTGAGTAACCAGAACCACAGGTGCTCACCACCATGCCCAGCTGACTTTTTGTATTTTTTGTAGAGATGGGGTTTACCCATGTTGCTCAGGCTGGTCTCAAATTTTCGAGCTCAAGTGATCCGCCCGCCTTGGCCTCCCAAAAGGCATGAGCCACTGCGCCTGACCTACGATTTCTTTCTTTATATATCAGTATGAACGCAAGGGCTGTTTGTTGGATTCTGTGAGTCATAATCTGATACTGTTTCCACGCTTTGGCCATTGGGAGCTCCTGGAGATTGTCTCCTGTGCCCTATCCTTATTTAAGCACTTGTTTATTTTGGGATGTCTTCAGTTTTCCTTGTCCCAGCTCTGCACCCAGCTGCTTCTCCAGGGAGCCCTCCCTCACTGGAGACTGGGATTTAGCAACCAAGACCTGGGCACTGGCTGTGCTTGTTGCTTCTGGGCCCTCCTGGGACAGAGCTGGGAAGTGGATCTATGACACGTGCTTGTGCATTTACCCGCCCTGTTGGTTTCTGTAGCTGTCTAGTTCCTGCTGTTCCTGTCTCACCTGCCCCTTTCCTTATGTGTAGTTTCTTCCTGTGACAGGGAGAAACCTGGCTCTCAGATTGACAGGACATTCGCTTAGGCCATGTCAGTGCTGTAGGTGAACTGTTCAACCTGTGCCCCAGGGAGGCGCAGTCACTATGGAGGCACCTTACTTCCTTAATCGTGTACTGTTGTTTTTGTGTTTGACCTGTAGCATCTAAGTACTGGTTTCAAAAGTTGCCTAGATGAGTTCTTTTCTTTCTTTCCACCTCCTGCAAATTATGTGATTTGCATAATTTGTACATAGTTAGGTTCATTTGTTAGTTTGTATTCCTTTTGGCTTCCCCCATATCCTCGTTGACTTTTTCTTTCTTTTGTAACTTACATATGTTATGAAATTTATATGAGGATATATAATTTTCATAAATGTTTATGGTTTACATGTATTAGTTGTTATTATTAAGATCACCCTGGGATTGACTGGCCAAGCATTTGGTGGAAGATAGCAATAAATAATACATCATAAAAGACTTTAATGTAAAAATAAAGCCATGAAAGTACCAAGAAATAAATCTTCTCATTTTAATTACATCAGCTTGTCTGTGATCATGTAGCCTAAGGTAGGCCAGAGTTAATTTTTGTGTTATCTATACACGTTATTGAAGCGAATTATAAAATGTTTTAGCATGTTAATTACTTGTAAATTAATATCTACATATAAAAATGTGAGCATATATTCTATTTAGTATATTAATCCTTCATAAACAAGTAATGCAAGTTAGTATTAATGATATCTTAAGACTTAACATTCCTTTTTTAGTTTGTGTTGAATAAATGAACATCTAAGAGTTCATGATGATGCTTAAGGAAAGAAGCCTCATGTTTACCTTTGGAAGTTGTAAGGCACTGACTCATAAAAATTGGCAAATAAAAGGAAAGAATCGGGCATTTAATTTGTCTTTTCTGTATGAACTCTATAATTTTGGGGCAACAATTGATGACGGGGTCCTTTAAAAAAAAAAGAAATAATTCCAGCTAAGAAATACAGAAATAATTAGAAAATCAGGCCAGGCACGGTGGCTCATGCCTGTAACTCCAGCACTTTGGGAGGCCGAGGCATGAGAATCACTTGAACTCAGGAGGTGGAGGTTGCAGTGAGCCGAGAGTGCGCCACTGCACTCCAGCCTGGGCAAAAGAGCAAGACTCTCTCAAAAAAAAAAAAAAAAAACACACCCAAAATTAGAAAATCACCACTTTGAAGTGTCCAATAAAATGATGCATGTGAGAAACAGTGAAAATTGAAGATGACAGTTGAGGAGGCCACTGATAATGGGTGGACCAGCCCAGCTTCCCAGAACCAACCATACCTCACTACAGGTAGGACCAGAAGACAAGTCCAATGACGTGAAGCAGCAGGAGGCCCCCAGCACCGCCTCTAAAACTCGAACTGGGCTCATCCTGCCTAAGAAGTGCAGAGGATGGGAGAGGGTTCACAGGACACCTGGAGGGTTCAGCCCAGCAAATCCAGAACACAGGACATTGTCAGCAAAACACACTGGCTCCTGGACGCCTGGGTGGCACCAAGCGCAGAAGAGGAAATAGAGGCAGTGGGCATCCCAGTGCACAGCACGGCCTCTGTCCAGATTCTGATGTGGGGACACAATTGCAAGAAGAGACTTGGGGAAAATTGAGCAGAGACTATTAGATGTCAGAAAGCATTGTCAGTTTTGGTGGGTGTGTTCATGGTATTGTTAGGTAAAAGAGTCCCTATCTTTGCAGGACAGTAAGGACTTTTTAAAACTGTAGGCCGGGCGCGGTGGCTCATGCCAGTAATCCCGGCACTTTGGGAGGCCGAGGCGGGCAGATCATAAGGTCAGGAGATCGAGATCATCCTGGCTAACACGGTGAAACCCCGTCTCTACTAAAAATACAAAAAATTAGCTAGGTGTGGTGGTGGGTACCTGTAGTCCCAGCTACTCGGGAGGCTGAGGCAGGAGAATGGTGTAAACCGAGGAGGCAGAGCTTGCAGTGAGCTGAGATCCGGCCACTGCCCTCCAGCCTGGGCGACAGCGAGACTCCGTCTCAAAAAAAAAAAAAAAAAAAAAAAAAAAAAAAAAACTTCTGTAAGTCACCAACCTGGGCAACATGGCAAAACCCATCTCTACAAAAAACATTTAAAAAATGCAAAAAGTACCCAGACTCATTGCTGTAACATAAAAAGAAAAAAATTAACTGGGCATGATGGTGCCACCTGTGGTCCCAACTACTCGGGAGGATGAGGTGGGAGGATCCCTTGAGCTCCAGAGGTGGAGGATGCACTGAGCCAAGATCGTGCCACTGTACTGCCTGGGTGACAGAGCAAGACTCTCAAACAAAAACTTCTGCAAATCAGACAATCTCACAAATTCAAGACAAACAACCTTGGGAAACATTTACCACCAAGAACATGAATAGGCAGTTTACAACCATGGAAAAAGCCGGAAGCTGGACGAAGTGGTACATGCCTATAGTCCCAGCTGCTTGGGAGGCTGAGGTAGGAGGATCACTTGAGCCCAGGAACTTGAATCCAGCCTGAACAACATAGATTCTATCTTAAAAAGTTGTTTCGGCCGGGTGTAGGGGCTCACGCCTGTAATCCCAGCACTTTGGGAGGCTGAGGCGATCACAAGGTCAAGAGATCAAAACCATCCTGGCCTAAATGGTGAAACCCCGTCTCTACTAAGAATACAAAAATTAGCTGGGCGTGGTGGCGTGTGCCTGTAGTCCCAAGCTCCTCAGGAGGCTCAGGCAGGAGAGAATCGCTTGAACCTGGGAGGCGGAGGTTGCGGTGAGCCGAGATCGCACTATTGCACTCCAGTCTGGGCAACAGAGCCAGACTCCGTCTCAAAAGAAAAATTAAAAAACAGTTGTTTCTGGCCGGGTACGGTGGCTCACATCTGTAATCCCAGCACTTTGGTAGGCTGAGGCAGGAGGATTACGACGTCGGGAGTTCAAGACCAGCCTGGCCAACATGGTGAAACCCCGCCTCTACTAAAAATACAAAAACTAGCTGGGCATGGTGGTGCGTGCCTGTAGTCCCAGCTACTCGGGAGGCTGAGGCAGGAAAATTGCTTCAACCTGGGAGGTGGAGGTTGTGGTGAGCCAAGATCGCACCACTGCACTCCAGCCTCGGGAACAGAGCAGGACTCCATCTCAACAAATAAAAATAAACAAGGTTTTTAAATAACAAAATTATTTTAAAAGTTCATCCTTTTAGTAATGCAAGAAAGCCAGTTAATGTGATGCCATCATTTTAGGACGTAGCATTGGCAAAGACATATATGTCTGTCTGTCTTTTTTTGTCCTTTTTTTTTTTTTTTTTTTTTTTTTGAGAGACAGGGTCTCTCTGCTGCCCAGGCTAGAGCGCAATGGTGCCATCTCAACTCACTGCAGCATCTGCCTCCCAGGTCCAAGCAATAATTCTGCCTTAGCCTCCCGAGTACCTGGGATTACAGGCACCTACCACCAGGCCCGGCTAATTTTGTATTTTTAGTAGAGATGGGGTTTTTACCATGTTGGCCAGGCTGGTCTTGAACTCCTGACCTCAGGTGATCCATCTGCCTCAGCCTCCCAAAGTGCTGGGATTACAGGCGTGAGCCACCGCACTTGGCCTTTTTTTGGTTTTTTTTTTTTGGAGACAGAGTTTTGCTCTTGTCACCTAGGTTGGAGTGCAATGGCGCTATCACGGCTCACTGCAACTTCTGCCTCCCGGTTTCAAGCAATTCTCCTGCCTCAGCCTCCTAAGTAGCTAGGATTACACGCATGTGCCACCATGCCTGGCTAGTTTTATATTTTTTAGTGGAGACCACGTTTCACCATGTTGGCCAGGTTGGTCTTGAACTCCTGACCTCAGGTGATCCACCCACCTCGGCCTCCCAAAGTGCTGGGATTACAGGCATGAGCCACCATGCCCAGCAACAGGATCTCCTTTTGTCACCAAGGCTGGAGTGCAGTGGCATGATCACAGCTCACTGCAGCCTTGACCTCCCAGGCTCAGGTGATCCTCCCACCTCAGCCTCCAGAGTAGCTGGGACTACAGGTGTGCGCCACCATGCCCAGCTAATTTTTGTAATAAACCCTTCGATTTACATGAACAAAAATTTTTTTTTTGAGATGGAATTTTGCTCTTGTTGCCCAGGCTGGAGTGCAATGGCACGATCTTGGCTCACTGCAAACCTCTGCCTCACGGGTTCACACCATTCTCCCACCTCAGCCTCACGAGTAGCTGGGACTACAGGCATGTGCCACCACGCCCGGCTAATTTTTGTATTTTTAGTAGAGACGGGGTTCCACCACATTGGGCAGGCTGGTCTCAAACTCCTGACCTCAGGTGTTGCGCCTGCCTTGGCCTCCCAAAGTGCTGGGATTACAGGCGTGAGCCACTGCACCCGGCCTATGGTGAATAAATTTTCAACAAAGGTGGTGAGACATTGCATTGGGGGAAACGATAGTTTCTCAACAAGGGGTGCCAGGACAGGTGGATGTTCCTACACACAGAAAAGATGTTCACTCCATACGAAAAGTTAACCCAAATACGGACTGTATATCTAAATGTCAGCAAACATAAAATATAGCAGAAGATCACAGAAAAAATATGAGAGAGAATCTTTACAATATCCGGTTGGGCTAAGAGTTTGTTTTTGAGACAGGGTCTCTGTCACCCAGGCTGGAGTGCAGTGGTACAATCATAGCTGACTGCAGCCTCGACATCACGGGCTCAAGTGATCCGCCTACCTCAGCTCAGGAGTTCTTAGGATAGCAAAGGCATGCACCATGTGGAAAAAACTACTGCACTAGAATAAAAGGTTTTGCCCTTAAGAAGACATCATTAAGAAAATGAAAGACAAACCACATAAAATGTCTGCAAATCACCTATCTTTTTCTTTTGGAGACAGAGTTTTGCTCTTGTTGCCCAGGCTGGAGTGCAATGGGGCAATCTCAGCTCACTGCAGCCTCTGCTTTCTGGGATCAAGCGATTGTGTTGCTTCAGCCTCCCGAATAGCTGGGACTACAGGCGTGCACCACCACACCCGGCTAATTTTTGTATTTTTGGTAGAGACAGTTTTTTTGCTATGCTGGCCAGGCTGGTCTCAAACTCTTGGCCTCAGGTGATCCGCCTGCCTCGGCCTCCCAAAGTGCTGGGATTACAGGCGTGAGCCACTGCACCCAGCCTCATATATCTGATAAAGGACTGTATACAGGATATGTAAGTACTCATAGCTTAATCAGACAGCCCAATTAAAAATGAGCAAAAGATTTAAATAGGTTTCTGCCCAGGAAGACTCATTGGGGAAGTGCAGGTGCGACTCACAGTGTGACACGACACTGCTTCACACTTGTACAGCTGGGATCAAGCACAGCAGGTATTGCTGAGCCTGTGGCCACCTGGAGCAGCCCAGCGTTGCTAGGGGGTGCAAAGTGGCACACCTACATTGGAAAACATTTGGGGACTTCCACTCAGGAATCTACCCAAGAGAAATGAAAGCACATATTCATGAAAAGGCTTAATGCAACATTTATAATGGTTTATAATATTCGTAAATGTTTATGGCAGTATTATTCATAATGGACAAAAAAGAAACCAAATATTTGCCAACTGGAATGGTTACAAACAAAATGTATACCCACACAATCGAATCTTTTATTTATGTATTTATTTATTTATTTTGACAGAGTCTCGCTCTGTCGCCCCGGCTGGAGTGCAGTGGCGAGATCTCCACTCACTGCAAGTTCCGCCTCCCGGGTTCACGCCATTCTCCTGCCTCACCCTCCCGAGTAGCTGGGACTACACGCACCTGCAACCACGCCTGGCTAATTTTTTGTATTTTTAGTAGAGACGGGGTTTCACCGTGTTAGCCAGGACAATCTCGATCTCCTGACTTCGTGATCCGCCCGCCTCGGCCTCCCAAAGTGCTGGGATTACAGGCGTGAGCCACCGCGCCCGGCCCAACAGTTTTTTTTTAAAAGCACTTGGGTTATTGGAAAGTTGGGCAACATGATCACCTGCACAGGGGCTCTGAGTCTTTAACAGTGAAGCATTTCACACCTGATTAGGAAACGCTGTGCTGATGACATGGCACTGACAGTGTGACTCAGTTACAGAAACTCTCAAATATCCCTCCAACATTCAGAAATTTTCAAAAGACACCAAGCTCGGTATTTTGCATAGTTCTGTCCCCAAAAATGCCCTCCTGTGTTCATGTCTGTGTCTGAACAAAGCAGCTGTGCGTGTGTGTGTGCGTGTGGTCTCCACTTCTCTTGATCAGCCTGGGTTGCCTGGCAGTATGGGCCAAACAGACAGGGCCCTGTCTGCATGGAGCTCAAGAGTGATTAAAAGAGGCTGGGTGGCCGGACATGGTGGCTCACACCTGTAATCCTAGCACTTTGGGAGGCTGAGGCAGGAGGATCGCTTGAGCTCAGGGGTTCAAGACCAGCCTGAGCAACATAGTGAGACCCTGTCTGTACAAAAAATAAAAAATTAGCTGGACATGGTGTTGCACACCTGTAGTCCCAGCTACTCGGGAGGCTGAGGTGGAAGGACTGCTTGAGCCCAGGAGATAGAGGCAGCAGTAAGCTGAGATTGTACCACTGCACTCCAGCCTGGGCAAAAGAGCAAGACCCTGTCTTGAAGAAAAAAAAAAAAAAAAAAAAAGATTGGGCACCCCGGTGGTTCATGCCTGTAATCCCAGCGCTTTGGGAGGCTGAGGTGGGTGGATCACCTGAGGTCAGGAATTCGAGACCAGCTTGGCCAACATGGTGAAACCCTGTCGCTACTAAAAATACAAAAATTAGCTGGGCATGTTGGCTCACACTTGTAATCCTAACTACTCGGGAGGCTGAGGCAGGAGAATCGCTTGAACCTGAAAGGTGGAGGTTGCAGTGAGCCGAGATTGTGCCATTGTACTCAAGCCTGGGCGACACTGAGACTACGTCTCAAAAAAATAATCAATCAATAAATAAAAGAGGCGTCCACGTTAACGAGTCCACAGTCCTAACAAGTGCTGCAGGCTGGACGCGGGGCAGCGTCCCACCCAGTGTCTGGTGCAGGGCATTTAGGGGCTTGGCCTCCAGGAGAGGCGAGCCCGGGGCTGGGTGCGAGCACTGCTGCTGGGCCAGGCCACTCACGTTATGCGGCCGTTCCTGATACTTCAACACGGCCCTTGTGGGCGAATGTGTGGAATCTCGGAACAAGCGGAGTGGGGAACAGGGCTCTGCGGTGAAGCCCAGGCTGAGGCAGCCCCTCATCTGCTCACGGTGCCAGGAGCTCCCTGCCTCCTGGTCCTGAGGAGCCGCGGGATTCCTCAGGGACACTAGGGCCTCTGCAGCGGCGCCTGCGCCAGGCAGCCACGCGCGCTGCGCACGAATTCTGTCTCAGCCTGGAGAAAAACACCTCCGCTGCGCCCTCGCCCAGCACCAGCTTTCCGCGGGGCGTGCAAGGGGCTCCTCCTAGCCCCACAGCCCTGTCTTTCCACGGGGGACACCAAGGCCCTGGAACGGCCCGCGCGCCAGCGCTCTCGCCCGTGTTTAACGAGAACTTAATCCCCGTGCCCGTTACCTCCCCGAAGTCCCGGGACTAGGTGACTAGGCCCCGAAGCAAGAGTCGCAGTCGGACCGACTGGGCCGGGGAGGGCAGCGCACTGCACCTGCGCGGGCTTCCACAGCCCACGCGGCCGCCGCAGGCCTCGAGTGGGCGCGGGTTGGGCAGCGGCGAGAGGCGGGACCGGACCTCGCCTCCCGGGTGCGGGCGCCCTGGGCTCGCGTAGGGAAGTGCCCTGGCTTACAGAGGTGACCACTGACGGGGCTTGGGGTGGAAGGTGACGACGCCAGAACCCACGCGGAACGCGCCCACGAGGCCCAGCCGCAAGATGGCGACGGCGTGCCCCCGGCCACCCGCGCGCCGCGCATGCGCCCTGGCCTTCCCCGCCCGAGTGAGCGGAAGTCTCGTGACCCCGGAAGTGACAGGCAGGGCGGGCGGGGCGGCCGACGACGTTCGTCATTTAGTGCGGGAGGGATCCTGAACCGCGCGGCCGAACCCTCCGGTGAGTGGCCGTGGCGGGGCGGAGGCGGCGGGGCGGAGGCGGCGGGTCGGGGCGGGGACCGGCGGCGCCGGCGGGGGCGGGGGGCGCTGAGGTGGGGGCTTCCGCCTTTGTTCGCGCCCCGCCCTGAGCCCGCGGCAGGGTCTCGGCGGGCGGGGGCGCGGTGACAGCGGGCCAGGGCGGTGCGGGCTAGGGCGGGGCCGGGGCGGGACCGGGCGGCGGCGGCCCCGGCCCCACGTGCGGGTCCCGGGCCGGAGGGGCGGCGGGGACCAGGGGAGTGCCGGCCCCTCCCGAGCGGTCCGGAGCTTCTTTCATGGCCGCCGAGGCGCGTGGGGCCCGGGCCAGACCTGAGGGCCCCTCCTTGGGGACGCGGGGGGCGCCGGGCCGGCAGCCGCGGTCCATCGCGTTCGGGGGCGACGCGGGGATTGGGGCGCGGCCTCCCCCAGCGCCCGGGCCACGCCCGGCACGGATTGCGGGCCCTGCGGAAGTGCGGGCCGCGCCCTAGGATCCCGGCGCCTACGGCTATCCTCGCGCGGCGCGGAGGCCCCAGCCCCTGGAGGAAGCAGGGCGGCCTGGACCCCGGCCTGGGTGTCCCGGGTGTGCTGCTCCCTGACCCACCTCCCACGCTGCCGGGAAGGATCTGAGCCTGACAGATCCCCTGCCGGGTCAGTGCTGCCCCGGGCACTCCGGGCCCACCATCTACAAGAGGGCCCGAGAGTACTGAGTGGCTGTGGTAGCTCCCAAGTTGTAGGTCACAGACCCTCACAATTGTGGAGAAACCGCAGATACTTAGGATCCCCGTGTCCAGGTGGCCCCGTGCGGTATTCTAGCTGCCCCTAACATCCGAGCTCCAGGGGCATCCTGTTTGAAAGATGACGCTGAGCCGACCACACACGTTTACATGTGACTACCACGGCCAGAGGAGCAACCCTACTGAGGGATACCGAGCCCCGTTACCCCGTAGGGCGAGGGCCTGGGCAGCTCAAGAGCGGCAAGACCCTAAGAGAGGGTTTAGTGTGGGCCCCGCCGGTTGATTCTGGGGCCTGCTAGCCCCGCCCCACACATACAGGGGGCTGCTGCCTCCTCCATCGTGGAGGGGGAGGTGTGTCCTCTCTCCCCATGATCGGCTGCAGTTCCCATTTTGTCTTAGATGTTATACCTGGGGTGGGGGCACCTCACACTGCCCCAGAGGATGCCCCTGAGCAGGAATCGCGGGGGTGGAGAGGAGCGAAGGTGGCCCCCTTGGAGCCCTTTTGGAGCTCCGGCTGCAGCCCACACTCCTGCTCAGAAGTGCGCCTCCGTTGGGGATCCAGGTCCAAGGCCTGTCACCGTCCCGCCCACAGGTGTCCCGACCCAGGCTAAGCTTGAGCATGGCTGAGCAGGAGCCCACAGCCGAGCAGCTGGCCCAGATTGCAGCGGAGAACGAGGAGGATGAGCACTCGGTCAACTACAAGCCCCCGGCCCAGAAGAGCATCCAGGAGATCCAGGAGCTGGACAAGGACGACGAGAGCCTGCGAAAGTACAAGGAGGCCCTGCTGGGCCGCGTGGCCGTTTCCGCAGGTGAGTCTGGGCTGCGGGAGCCGGGTGGCCGCCCGTTCACTCCAGCTGTCTTGCCGCTCCCCAGCCCCTACTTCCACTGGTGGGGGTGGGGCCCTCACCTGCTGTCACTCCCCAGACCCCAACGTCCCCAACGTCGTGGTGACTGGCCTGACCCTGGTGTGCAGCTCGGCCCCGGGCCCCCTGGAGCTGGACCTGACGGGTGAGTGCCCTGCGGCCGCGGGGGTCCGGGCGGCCCCTGGTGGGGATCTCGGGAAGTGCAGCCAGGGGGCCGCGCAGGGCTGGGGCTTCGCGCAGGGCTGCTGGGCAGTCATTGAGGGGGAGGTCCCCCCAACAGGCGACCTGGAGAGCTTCAAGAAGCAGTCGTTTGTGCTGAAGGAGGGTGTGGAGTACCGGATAAAAATCTCTTTCCGGGTAAGCTACAGGCTGCTGTGGCCAGGGAATGGAGGCGGGGCTGGGGCTGGGGTCCGGACCGACCTTCCCTGATCCTCGCTTCGGGTCCTGCAGGTTAACCGAGAGATAGTGTCCGGCATGAAGTACATCCAGCATACGTACAGGAAAGGCGTCAAGAGTGAGTGGGGCCCCGGGCAGGGCAGAGGGGGCCGCTTGGGTGCGTGCTGCCAGGCGGGGAAGCGGGGCCGCTGACCGCCCTCTTCCTTGTGCCGCAGTTGACAAGACTGACTACATGGTAGGCAGCTATGGGCCCCGGGCCGAGGAGTACGAGTTCCTGACCCCCGTGGAGGAGGCACCCAAGGGTATGCTGGCCCGGGGCAGCTACAGCATCAAGTCCCGCTTCACAGACGACGACAAGACCGACCACCTGTCCTGGGAGTGGAATCTCACCATCAAGAAGGACTGGAAGGACTGAGCCCAGCCAGAGGCGGGCAGGGCAGACTGACGGACGGACGACGGACAGGCGGATGTGTCCCCCCCAGCCCCTCCCCTCCCCATACCAAAGTGCTGACAGGCCCTCCGTGCCCCTCCCACCCTGGTCCGCCTCCCTGGCCTGGCTCAACCGAGTGCCTCCGACCCCCCTCCTCAGCCCTCCCCCACCCACAGGCCCAGCCTCCTCGGTCTCCTGTCTCGTTGCTGCTTCTGCCTGTGCTGTGGGGGAGAGAGGCCGCAGCCAGGCCTCTGCTGCCCTTTCTGTGCCCCCCAGGTTCTATCTCCCCGTCACACCCGAGGCCTGGCTTCAGGAGGGAGCGGAGCAGCCATTCTCCAGGCCCCGTGGTTGCCCCTGGACGTGTGCGTCTGCTGCTCCGGGGTGGAGCTGGGGTGTGGGATGCACGGCCTCGTGGGGGCCGGGCCGTCCTCCAGCCCCGCTGCTCCCTGGCCAGCCCCCTTGTCGCTGTCGGTCCCGTCTAACCATGATGCCTTAACATGTGGAGTGTACCGTGGGGCCTCACTAGCCTCTAACTCCCTGTGTCTGCATGAGCATGTGGCCTCCCCGTCCCTTCCCCGGTGGCGAACCCAGTGACCCAGGGACACGTGGGGTGTGCTGCTGCTGCTCCCCAGCCCACCAGTGCCTGGCCAGCCTGCCCCCTTCCCTGGACAGGGCTGTGGAGATGGCTCCGGCGGCTTGGGGAAAGCCAAATTGCCAAAACTCAAGTCACCTCAGTACCATCCAGGAGGCTGGGTATTGTCCTGCCTCTGCCTTTTCTGTCTCAGCGGGCAGTGCCCAGAGCCCACACCCCCCCAAGAGCCCTCGATGGACAGCCTCACTCACCCCACCTGGGCCCAGCCAGGAGCCCCGCCTGGCCATCAGTATTTATTGCCTCCGTCCGTGCCGTCCCTGGGCCACTGGCCTGGCGCCTGTTCCCCCAGGCTCTCAGTGCCACCACCCCCGGCAGGCCTTCCCTGACCCAGCCAGGAACAAACAAGGGACCAAGTGCACACATTGCTGAGAGCCGTCTCCTGTGCCTCCCCCGCCCCATCCCCGGTCTTCGTGTTGTGTCTGCCAGGCTCAGGCAGAGGCGCCTGTCCCTGCTTCTTTTCTGACCGGGAAATAAATGCCCCTGAAGGAGCTGGGGGTGTCTGCTGCTTGGCTTCTCCAGGGTGTGGCAGGGGAGGGCCTGGCTCCTCTACTGCCTCACGGGCTTTAGGAGACAAAGGGGAAGATGGGGACCCTGGTGGGGTGGTGGGAGGGGAAGGGCAGGGCCCCCTTGAAGTGCTGTGGCTGCTGGGCCCCTTGCAACTATCTGGGGAGAAAGGAATGTGACTCCCAGCTACAGTAGCCCTAGGCAGCAACAGTCTAGAACAGTGCAGAAGGCCTTGGCTGGGGTTGCCCCTCCTTGCTAAGGGAATGGGAAGACGGGCCTGGCTTGTGTAGCTCATGCTGCCAGAGGGAGAGCTGCTTGATTCCCTGGCCGGGCTTGGAGGTGTCGAGTTGGCCCAGCTGTGCGCGGGCCCTCCAATGACTGGATCCCAAGGAAACCCAGGGAGGAACAGGCCCAAGCCAGGGTCGGCCTTGTGGCCCCTGGCGCACGTGGATGCAGCTGTGGCTGAGGCAGGAAGTAGGTGCCCAGGCAACGGGGGCCACGGAGGCGCCTAGAGCACCAGCCCTTCACAGCCACAGCCGCAGCCAAGTGCCCTCCAGGATCGGGCAGTGCCAGGAGCCCAACAGCGAAAAGGCTTGGTGTGATGGGATCGGCAGGAGACAGGGCATCCTCACTGCGGTGTGGTGTGAAGGGGCTACTGGGGGAACCACGCAGGGCCTCCTGGGGCAGGTGCGCTCAGCCAGGGGCCCCAACTGCTGCAGCATCCAGGAACCCCAGCTCGTCCGTGTCTGCAGTCTCCAAGAGCCCCCGGGAACTTCAAACCCATGCCCCTCTACCCTGCAGGGGGAAGAGGCAGATGAGTAACCAGGCACCCCTTAGAAGTGTCCATTCAGAAATTCTTTTTCTGGCCTGATGCGAGTTTCAAAATCTGCCTTCTGTGGTATAAGGTGTTGAGGAAAATACTTCACACACACACGCAGCTGGGCTGGGCAGCTGCTACCCCGGGGCCCTCCTACTGGTCATTCTGACACAGGCCATACTGCTCTGGGGTTTATCAGCAGGGTGGGCCCCGCAAGGGGCTTATCTCCAGCTGGGGTGGGCAGGGAGATGCCCTCATGCTTCAGGTCACTAACTACACACCTGTGCCAGGGCAGTGCGTGCGGGCACCACTGCCACCTTGCCCCATCCTTGCTAGGCCTTTGTGGGGGCCGCAGAGGCTGAGCCTAGAGCTGACCGTGTCAGACACCCCAACAGAATGGTGCCTTCCTGCAGAAGCTGGTCCAGACCCAGATCTGGAAGCAGCTATAGAGAAAGCCTGGGTCAGCCCCCAGCCCTTGATTCCGCAGGGAGCAAAGACCCTACCGAGCCTTTCCCAGAACTGCTACTAGCCCCAAGCGAGGTGGTCTCGTGTTGCGTTGCTGCTTCTGCCTGTGCTGTGGGGGAGAGAGGCGGTGGGGTGGTGAAACCACAGGATGGAGGCTAATCCCACTGGACAGACACCAGCACAGCCAGGGAGGATGAGCTCCGAGGCAGCAGCCCCTGCCAGACAGTTTCTCCCACGCTCCCAGTTCACTTCTTACATGCTCCAGGGGAGTCCCCAAGCCCAGTGCCAGGGTGTTGTCAGCAGTTCGGCTCATCGGGCAAGGGCCTTCTGAGCTTGGGCTGAGCCAAAGGGCTTCACCTTCTTGCTCCTGGATTTTCCCAGCTTTGCTAGACATGTGAACTCAGACCCAGGTGCCAAGCTGTACGGGCATGCTGCCAGCAGCCAGGACTTTGGGCTGGCCCCTCCCCTGGTGCAGGATAACATGAGGTGGCACCTGCACAGTGGGCATGACGTGTCTCTCGGGTCCCAAGTCTAACCTGATCCTCGTGGCCCCACCTGGGACCTGTTTGTATGGCCTGGCGCTCCAGAGAGGCCTCCTCGCCTCCAGCAGCCTGCGCCTGCAGTCTCCTCTCCCAACCTCCACAGGTCCGTGGCTCCCAGCAGTCCCCTAGCATCCACCTCCTCAGCCACCCCCAGGTGGACACTTCTTCCATTCAGGAGAGTGACAAGTCACAGTGCCAGCCAGTGCTAGGTCAGGGTCTGGGATGTGACCAACTAACCATGGGTTACTGTGGTTTCTGAGAACCTTCTCTGTGCCCAACACTGCCCTGCACCATAATGAGCGCCTGCCACACTCCGCAGGGCCCACACTCACC
This sequence comes from Homo sapiens, assembly GCF_000001405.40. Taxonomy (NCBI): domain Eukaryota; kingdom Metazoa; phylum Chordata; class Mammalia; order Primates; family Hominidae; genus Homo; species Homo sapiens. The sequence goes on along the minus strand of NC_000017.11, from coordinate 81,865,547 downwards.
ACCGCGCTGCTGCTGGATTTCTCACCTCCACTCCGGGCACAGCAGGCTGCTGCTCAGTGGGAACACAGGAGGGACCTCGGAGCACTGCCCAGGTATCCATGAGCCTGCTGTTGTTACCCCCACCACACCTTCGACCGGACTGAAGGTTGAAAGGGAGCTGTTTTGCTCTGAGAACTCTACTTTTAAGAGTAGTAGCTGGCCAGAAGCAGATCACTTGAGCTCAGCAGTTCAAAACCAGCCTGGGCAACACAGGAGACCCCATCTTTAAAAAAATAAAAATTAGGTGGGCATGGTGGTGCACAACTGTAGTCCCAGCTACTCAGGAGGCTGAAGCAGGAGGATCACTTGAGGCTACAAGGCAGAGGCTGCAGTGGGCCATGACTGCACCACTGTGCTCCAGCCTAGGTGACAGAGTGAGACCCTGTCTCAAAAGAGTAATATTGTACACACAGTACATTTCAAAAACTGCATCAATCAAAACATTTAATCACAAACCAGTTGGCTGGGCATGATGGCTCACGCCTGTAATCCCAGCACTTTGGGAGGCCGAGGCAGGAGGATCACGAGGTCAGGAGTTCGAGACCAGCCTGACAAACATGGTGAAACCCTGCCTCTACTAAAAATACAAAAATCATCCAGGGTTGGTGGTACACGCTTATAATCCCAGCTACTCAGGAGGCCAAGGCAGGAGAATCGCTTGAACCTGGGAGGCAGAGGTTGCAGGAGAATCGCTTGAACCTGGGAGGTGGAGGTTGCAGTGAGCCAAGATCACGCCACCACACTCCAGCCTGGGCAACAGAGGGAGACTCTGTCTCGAAAAAACAAAAAACAAACAAAAACCAACTAAGCAACATTTAATGGATCCCTTCACCAAGCCTGAGACTCCCTAAAGGATGTCTGGAGCACCTGTGATGATCCAAAGAAATACCAGCCACAGGAGGGCTCTGACCCCCAAGGGCACACTCCTCGAAGGGCCTGGGCATGAGGTGAACACAGCCCATCTTCTCACCCTAGGGTTAGAAGGCACAGGAGCAGGCCTCAGGAAAAGGACATCAGCCCTCTGCAGGTGCCCAGCGGAACCAGCCTGCATTCTTGGGGGCAGGACCCATGCCCTGCACATTTCCATCCACTCAACAACCCCCATAGAGGGCGTCTCAGGCCATCGCAGACCAGGCTTCCTCCTCCAGCCTTACCAGAAAGTCCACCTTTGCTGCACCTGTCAGGTTGGTGTAGGAAGCCAGTCCAAGGGCAGAGGCACCTTGAGAGGACCCTATGGGCAGCCATGGCATCTGTCTAAGATACTGTGATTCGGCTGGGCGTGCTGGCTCACATCTGTAACCCCAGTGCTTTGGGAAGCTGAAGAGGGGAGGATCCTTTGAGGTCAGGAGTTCAAGACCAGCCTGAGCAACATAGCAAGATCCTGTCTTTAAAGAAAAAAAATGCTGCCATCTATCTAGATTAGTGCTGGTTGGGCACCTGATTTTCACAGGAGAATGTCAGGTCGGCCACAGCCACCTGGGCTGCTGTTCTGTAGCCCTGCCCTCTGCTACCCTGGCTAGGCCTTCACCCACACTGAGGTGTGTTCCACTGGCCCAGAGCCAGCCTGAGACTCATCCACGGCCACTGGGATCCTTGCCTGGTCTGTGTGCCTTGAGTATTCACCACTTGGTCCCAGTTTTCATTGTCTGTGAACACTTTTCCTTTTTACTTTATGCTCTGGCCTAAGCTGCCGCCAAACCATCACAAGCTAATCAACATTATGGTATGTCAAATCTCTTCACTCTTCCCCCAACAGTGGACAAAACACAAGCTACAATATTTAGGCATCTGAACTCTGACCTCGTATCTAGATGTGGTACAAATATGGGCTGGGGTTTTATGTAAGATACAGGGTCTCTGTCACGCAGACAGAAGTGCAGTGGTATGATCATGGCTCACTGCAGCCTAGACCTCCTGGGCCCAAGCTATTCTCCTGCCTCACCCTCCAAAGTAGCTGAGATTATAGGCATGCAACACCATGCCCAGCTTGTCTCAGGCCCCAAACTGTGGTCTGTACAACAGCTCATGGCAACCACAAAAACGTTGGAAGATAGTGCAGTGACCTGAAGCAATTTCCATCATCCAGAGAGCAGAAGGAACAATGCCTGCAATCAAAACCATTTATGAAGAGATGGTGTTTCCTGAGTGGGCTCCAGGCCAGTGCTCAGGGAGGCACATACTCATATTCCTTCTTGGCCAGAAAAGTCACCCGGAGGAAGCAGACAGTTCTCCCAGCAGGTACAACTTATGCCGCTGACTGACCTTTGCTCCGCTGGCACTGGGGGGAAGGGAACAGGGGACCCAGTCTTGACCACAAGGAGCTCATATTCTAGTGGAGGGAGTTCCCTGTCGGAAGGAGAAGCATGTTCTCAGGAACAACTGATCAACAAACAGAAACTCTCAAAGTACAAAAGCAACTTACTCTACGTTTTACCATTTCAAAAGTCAGGATACTATTGCAGTCAATGTGTATACATTTAACATGGGAGTACCTCCCTTTTGCCTGCCAAGTTTCAACTTTAAAATCAGTGGCGGTGCCGATTCCCAGCGGAGGAAAGTGAGGAGGAATGGAGAGGGCAGGCACCTGGGGAAAAGGAGAGCAGCAGATTCCAGGCAGTGAGGGAGACGGAGGGCTGCCAGTGTCCAACACTAACAAAATGCAGACCATCTATGTAATTTTAAAAGTTTCTAAAAGCCACGTTAAAAGATAGAAGAGGAGGCCTGGTGCGGTGGCTCACGCCTATAATCCCAACGCTTTGGGAGGCCAAGGCGGGTGGATCACCTGACGTCAGGAGTTCGAGACCAGCCTGGCCAACATGGTAAAACCCTGTCTCTACTAAAAATACAAAAATTAGCTGGGCATGGTGGTGCATGCCTGTAATCCCAGCTACTCGGGAGGCTGAGGCAGGAGAATCGCTTGAATCCGGGAGGTGGAGTGAGCCGAGATCGCCCACTGCACTCCAGCTTGGATGACAAAGTGAGATTCTGTCTCAAAAAAATAAAAAATAAAAATTTTAAAAAAAGGACATTTTTTTACTATTTTTTGAGATAGGGTGTCGATCTGTCGCCCAGGCTGGAGTGCAGTGGTGGGATCATGGCTCACCGCAGCCTCAGCCTCCTGGGCTCAAATGATTCTCCCACCTCCACCTCCCAAGTAGCTGGGACCACAGGTGCACACCACCGTGCCTGGCTAATTTTTTTAATTTATTTTTTGTAGAGACGGGAGTCTCACTATGTTGCCCAGGCTGGTCTCGAACTCCTGGGCTGAAGGGATCCTCCTGCCTCGGTCTCCAAAAGTGGTGGGATTACAGGAGTGAGCCACACAGCACCTGGCCTCAATATTATTATGTAATCCAACATATGCATACAGAATATTTCAACATGTAGTAGTCAATGTAAAGTTATTAACGAAATACTGTACCTTCTGTCCTCCAGCCCCTACACGCACACTTTTTTTTTTTTTTTTTTGAGATGGAGTCTCGCTCTGTTGCCCAGGCTGGAGTGCAATGGCGCGATCTCGGCTCACTGCAACCTCTGCCTCCTGGGTTCAAGCGATTCTCTTGCCTCAGCCTCCCGAGTAGCTGGGATTACAGGCGCGCGCCACCAGGCCCTGTTAATTTTTGTATTTTTAGTAGAGACGGGAGGTGAGGGGGTTTCACCATGTTGATCAGGCTGGTCTCGAACTCCTGACCTCGTGATCCGCCCGCCTCGGCCTTCCAAAGTGCTGGGATTACAGGCGTGAGCCACCGCACTCGGCCCCGCACACTCAGTCTTAGAAGTTTGATGTGCATTGCGCACTCACAGCCCGTCTCAGGTGGACTGGCCATATTTCAAGTGCTCAGGAGCCTCGGTGGCGGGTCGAGTCGGGAGGCAAACCCAGCTGCTGCCTTCGGAGTGAAGCAGCGCCCAGGGTATTTCCACAGCTGTGTAACAGCTGCGAGGTCTCCTGAGCCGACCAGAGCATCTGAGAAGCACCAGAGAAGGGGCAGCGTCACAGGATTTGGCAACCCGTGGGAAAGGAAGGAAGAGATCGCACAGGGCAAAGGGCCGCTCCCTGAAGGCCTTAGCGGGGAGTACCTTTCCTGCGGCCGCTCCACGCATGAGCAGCGTCTTCCTGGGGCCTGGGAGCCGGCAGGTCCCCGGGGCCCAGGTCCCGCCCCTCCCGCCCGTCTCTCCAGCCCCATTCTCCTAACCACCCGCCCTGTGCTCGTATCCCCTCCGAGGCTTCCTCGCACTGTGCGCACGATTCCCATGCCCAGGCCCTGCCGCCATGCCTCGGTGAGTGTCTCGCGTGACCTCGCGGAGCGCGTCGGACCGGGCCGGCTATCCCACACCGAGCCCACCGCCGACCCTAGGCGGCCAACCCCACCTTCCACGGCCGCCGCCGCACGCTTGACACGCGCGCCGGAAATTGCGTCACCCCAACTTCCGGTCCGGGGGCCGGGGGGCGTGCCAGTTGGGTACGCGGTCCAGTCAGAATGCAACACGAGGGGTTTCGGAAGCGCAGCCGCAGCTCCGCCCCTAAACTGGGAACTCCTCCCCACTGCCACGTTCGACGAAGGAACGCGCAGAGTGCGCGCATCCCTTGGCCAATCAGGAGGCGCAGAGTCCGTGCTACCGAAAGGGGCAGCCATTCCAGACCCGTGGAAGGTGCAGGCGAAAGCCACCAATTAGAAGCCAAGGCAGAAAAAGTTCTTGTCGGGAGCCAATGAGAGGCTAAGAAAGACAGCGAGCGCGAGGTCCTCGGCCAATCCCGAACGAAGGCCAGGGAGCACTCAGGAGCGTTTCCGAATCCGGGGCCAGGCCTGGTGTGAGTGTCCAATCCGAGAGCGGCAAAGACGAGCCTCGAAGTCCGCCGGCCAATCGAAGGCGGGCCCCAGCGGCGCGTGCGCGCCGCGGCCAGCGCGCGCGGGCGGGGGGGCAGGCGCGCCCCGGACCCAGGATTTATAAAGGCGAGGCCGGGACCGGCGCGCGCTCTCGTCGCCCCCGCTGTCCCGGCGGCGCCAACCGAAGCGCCCCGCCTGATCCGTGTCCGACATGCTGCGCCGCGCTCTGCTGTGCCTGGCCGTGGCCGCCCTGGTGCGCGCCGACGCCCCCGAGGAGGAGGACCACGTCCTGGTGCTGCGGAAAAGCAACTTCGCGGAGGCGCTGGCGGCCCACAAGTACCTGCTGGTGGAGTTCTGTGAGCGCCGGGCCTGGCGGGCGGGCGGGGCTCGGGGCCGCTGAGCCAGGCTCTTGGGACGCAGGCACGGCCCGGCAGCCCCCGGGGTCGGGACCCCCGGCGCGCCCGGAACTGAAGGGCTCCCTTGCTGCCCGCCTTGGGGGCCATGTCAGGGGCTCCCTGGGGGTGAGAGCCGGGCTGGGAGCCGGGGGGCCGTCCCGATGCCCGCCCTGCGCACGGCAGGATCTTCCTGTTAGTGCGAGAAGAACAGGATCGACCTGTGTGAGCAAACAGAGCAAGCCAGTGTCCAGCCTTGCCGAGTCCTCCCCGGGGGCCGACCCGGAAGGCGCCCCGCTCCTGCCCACCCCACCTTCAGCTTGCCACAGCAGTCCTTCCGATGGTGTCTCAGAGGAGAATCCCAAGCCTTCCTCACGTCCATAAGGATTTGAGCTCTGTCCCTGGGGTGGGAACCTTGTGCCTGACACAGCTGCTAACTCTATTGACAGATCGTCTTATTCTCACCCTAAGCAACTCAGGGTCTGTGTGCACGGATGTGCATCTCATACTCACAGCTAGTGCTGGTACAGGCCGCCACGGTCACTTCTTCACTTTTGTCTGTAGTCTTAAAGGGAAAGTCTAGGGGAGATCCTTGCCTTAGTTGCCTGTGGGGAATAAGAAGTCAGCAACCATTGAAAGGTTTGTCTGGCTGTGCTGATGGTGACATAGCAGAGTGGGGGCTGGTGTTGGTTGGTGGTAGTTTGTCGTTCACGGCCTCTGTCCTGATATTGCCCAAGAACACCAGGCTATCAGCTCAGCCTTGTGCGTTAGGAGGGGTTATCTTGGTGAGTAGATAAGGTTTTTATGAAGGGAAATGCCAGAGGAAAAAGGGAAGCACTGCTGAGGGATCAAGGCTGCTTTAGGGATCAAGGCTGCTTTCTAGCATCTCATTTCCGCTTCCAGATGCCCCTTGGTGTGGCCACTGCAAGGCTCTGGCCCCTGAGTATGCCAAAGCCGCTGGGAAGCTGAAGGCAGAAGGTTCCGAGATCAGGTTGGCCAAGGTGGACGCCACGGAGGAGTCTGACCTGGCCCAGCAGTACGGCGTGCGCGGCTATCCCACCATCAAGTTCTTCAGGAATGGAGACACGGCTTCCCCCAAGGAATATACAGGTGTGGCTGTGGCACTGCCCTTGAACTGTCTTTAGAGAGGGACTGGCCTGCCGACTTGGAAGGGCAGGGGCAGCTGTCTGAGCGGTGGGGAGGCCGGGTTCCAGAGGCTTGGAGGGATCCCGTTCCTCAGGCCGGGTTCTCTGTCCACTTGTGCCCTGAGGGTCTTGTGAGGAGTTTTCATCCTGGAAGAACCTTCGAATGGAGAACCTGTCTTGTCTGGTGCCATCCTGGGGGCGGCTGGCTGAGGTCTGTTTGGAGACTGACCAGCGAGGAGAGGGAGACTGGTGCCTTTCTGGCCACATGGGCTGTTTGTGCTGCCCCCTGTTCCTAGGAGCAGCAGCATGGCTGTAGCTCTCGGGGTGACACCTGCTAGCTGTCGTGTGTAGCGTGCCAGCTGCCGCGTCACGTGCTTGCGTGATTTCTCCTCGCATCCTCTCTGTGAGGCGGGCTTTTCCCAGACAAAGGGCTGAGGCTTAGAGCAGCTGAGTAACAGCATCGAGCCTGTCGGTAGCAGACCTCGAATCCAAGCCCGCCCTGCTCCGTCTGTAGCACGGGCCCTCAGCTGCTCGTCTGCCGCCTCTGAAGCTGCCGTAGTGGAGGCCGAGCCCCTGTGTAGCCAGATCAGTGACGGTGGCAAAAGAAAACTCGTCTATAAAACCGGTTCTGTGGCATGTCAGATGCTCATGGTGGGTAGCCCGAAAGCAGCTCATTCCAGTGTTAGCAGGGTTCTCCCCTTAAGCAGGTGTGCCCTGTCCTGTTCTAGTGGCAGCAACTCCGTGGTTGCCTCTCACTTGGCTGTTTTGATGTTTCCTTTTGTCCCCTTAAGCAGGTGTGCCCTGTCCTGTTCTAGTGGCAGCAGCTCTGTGGTTGCCTCTCACTTGGCTGTTTTGATGTTTCCTTTTTTTTTTTTTTTTTTTTTTTTTGAGACAGTCTCGCTCTGTCGTGCAGTGGTGCGATCTCTGCTCACTGCAACCTCTGCCTCCCGGGTACAAGTGATTCTCCTGCCTCAGCCTCTTGAGTAGCTGGGGCTACAGGTGTGCACCACCACGCCTGGCTAATTTTTGTATTTTTAGTAGAGACGGGGTTTCACCATGTTGGCCAGGATGGTCTCGATCGTGACCTCGTGATCCACCCGTCTCGGCCTCCTAGAGTGCTAGGATTACAGGCGTGATTGATGTTCTCATTTTTTACTCATGTTCACTTTTGGAACGGGAAGTGCTCTGTCCAAAGTCACCGTGGTTCTGTCACTAACACTCAGGTTTGCAGATGAGATGAGCACTCCTAAATCCACTTGTCACTGGTGACCGTCTTGTTAGCACTGGTGGAATCCTTCTACATCTGAATGGGGTTTTCCCGATTCGGACCAGGGAGTCAAGTTCTAGGAGGGAAAAAGGAGAGGCATCATTCCTTAGCCTCAGTCTCCCAGGAGGAGGAAGTTTCTTTCCTGTCAGTTGACCGCCTTTGGTGGCATAAAAGTGTGTCATCTTCTTCCTGGTCTGGGAGGCATGGAGGGTGGGCCATTGGCGAGAACTCCCGAAACGCCTGGGATAAGTTAGGAGGCGCGGGAGTCAGGTGGGCGGGGCGTCAGCCTGTTCCCAGAGGTAGAAAACTGGCACTGAGTTTTGAGTTACTGTCCACCTCTCTAAAATGAGGCCTGCTGTCAGACTCCTGGGTGAGAACATGTGTTTGATGGATGTACATGTCAAAGAAAATTTAGATAACGCAGAGGACAGGCTGGGTGCGGTGGCTCATGCCTGTAATCCCAGCACTTTGGGAGGCTGAGACGGGTGGATCACCTGAGGTCAGGAGTTCGAGGCCAGCATGGCCAATATGGTGAAACCCCCGTCTCTACTAAAAATACAAAAATTAGCCGGGCGTGGTGGTGCACGTCTGTAATCCCAGCTACTTGGGAGGCTGACACAGGAGAATCCCTTGAACCTGGGAGGTAAGGTTGCAGTGAGCTGAGATCGTGCCACCGCACTCCAGCCTGGGTGACAGAGTGAGACTTCGTTTCAAAAAATAAAATTTTTAAAATGCAGAGGGCCATCCTGGGCAACATGGTGAAACCCTGTCTACAAAAAATACAAAAATTAGCTAGGGCTGGGCACAGTGGTTCATCCCGGTAATCCCAGCACTTTGGAAGGCCGAGGTGGGCGGACTGCTTAATCCCAGGAGTTTGAGACCATCCTAGGCAACGTGGCAAAACCCCATCTCTACAAAAAATAGAAAAATTGGCCGGGCATGGTGGCTCACGCATGTAATCCCAGCACTTTGGGAGGCCGAGGCGGGCGGATCACGAGGTCAGGAGTTCAAGACCAGCCTGGCCAACACAGTGAAACCCCGTCTCTACTAAAAATACAAAAATTAGCTGGGCATGGTGGCGGGCGCCTGTAATACCAGCTATTTGGGAGGCCGAGGCAGGAGAATCACTTGAACCTGGGAGATGGAGGTTGCAGTGAGCCAGGATGGCGCCACTGCATTCTCCAGCCTGGACGACAGAGGTAGATTCCGTCTCAAAAAAAAAAAAAAAAAAGAAGAAACATTGCTGGGCGCAGTGGCTCACCTCTGTAATCCTAGCACTTTGGGAGACCGCTGAGGCAGGTGTATCACCTGAGGTCAGGAGTGAGACCAGCCTGGCCAACATGGGGAACCCTGTCTCTGCTAAACATACAAAAATTAGCCGGGTGTGGTGGCGGGCACCTATAATCCTAGCTACGCGGGAGGGTCAGGCAGGAGAATTGCTTGAACCCGGGAGGTGGAGGTTGCAGTGAGCCGAGATCACACTATTGCACTCCAGCCTGAGCAACAAGAGCAAAACTCCGCCTCAAAAAAAAAAAAAAAAAAAAGTTAGTTGGGTGTGGTGGCACATGCCTGTGGTCCCAGCTACTTGGGAGCCTGAGGTAGGAGGATTGCTTGAGCCCAGAAGTTCGAGGTTGCAGTGAGCCATGATCATGCCACTGCACTCTAACCTGGGTGACAGAGCAAGACCCTGTCTTCCAAGAAAAAAAAAAGGGCTGGGATTGGTGGCTCATGCCTGTAATCCCAGCACTTTGGGAAGTCGTGGTGGGCAAACTGCTTGAGCACAGGAGTTAAAGACCAGCCTGGGCAACGTGGCAAAACCCCGTCTCTACAATAAATACAAAAATGAGCTGGGTGTGGTAGCGTGCATCTGTACCCCAGATACTCAGGAGGCTGAGGTTGGGAAGATTGCTTGAGCCCAGTGGGTGGAGGCTGCAGTGAGCCAAGATTCTGCCACTACCCTCCAGCTGGGTAACAGAGTGAGCCCCTGTGTCAAAAGAAAAAAGAAAATGCAGAGAGATCAGAGAAAAAAAATGGGTTTGTGATCCTGTTATTCAGAGACAGAATCACCCTCTTCCCTCTCCACTCCCCATAAACACAACCACAGTCTCACGTACACTGGGGTTTAGGAGGCGGGCGGACGGCACCGGGCCTCTTCCATGGTGGGAGAACATCTTACTTAGGTTGATTCAGGTGTCCTCAGCCTGGCTGGCAGAGAGCAGAGACGGGAGCAGGCGCGGCAGGGCAGGCGGCACTCCCTGTTTGAGAGTAGAACCTACATTTGTTTGGGGTTAGCTGGCAGAGAGGCTGATGACATCGTGAACTGGCTGAAGAAGCGCACGGGCCCGGCTGCCACCACCCTGCCTGACGGCGCAGCTGCAGAGTCCTTGGTGGAGTCCAGCGAGGTGGCTGTCATCGGCTTCTTCAAGGTAGAGACCAGAGCATTCCAGTCTTCCTTCCTTCCGTCATCCATTGAGGAGGGGTCCACAGCCTGCAGCTGGCAGTTCTGCACGTGTCCCCCCTGGCCTGGGCTCTACAGGGTCTGCCCTACTGCTTGGTGCTGCGGGATCATGACGACCTCTGCTTCTCCCTCCTCATTCAGGACGTGGAGTCGGACTCTGCCAAGCAGTTTTTGCAGGCAGCAGAGGCCATCGATGACATACCATTTGGGATCACTTCCAACAGTGACGTGTTCTCCAAATACCAGCTCGACAAAGATGGGGTTGTCCTCTTTAAGAAGGTGAGTGGCCCCAGGCAGCTCTGCCCAGGTTAGTTCTGGGGTTGGTCTGCAGAGGGTGGCGTTGCTCTCCTTATCGTTAAGGGAACCTTGCTCCTGGCACCTTTGGCCCAATAGGTATGTTCTGCAGCTTTGCCAAGTTGGGGTGTTGCGCTGATGCCTGTGGCCTGGTCTTCGCATTCAGCTGTGGGCTTTCTGGCCACTCTCCTGCCACAGCCGCCTCAGAACTGCTTTTGACTGTTAGCTTTTTTTTTTTTTTCAATTATGATAAAACATGTAACAACATTTGCCCTTTTTTTTTTTTTGGGAGAGTCTTGCTCTGTCACCCATGCTGGAGTGCAGTTGCGTGATCTCGGCTCACTGCACCCTCCGCCTCCTGGGTTCAAGTGATTCTCCTGCCTCGGCCTCCCGAGTAGCTGGGACTACAGGCATGCACTACCATGCCCAGCTAATCTTTGTTTTAGTAGAGATGAGATTTCACCATTTTGGCCAGGATGGTATCAATCTCTTGACCTCGTGATCCACCCACCTCAGCCTCCCAAAGTGCTGGGATTACAGATGTGAGCCACCGCGCCTGGCCCCGTTTGCCTTTTTTTTTTTTGAGATAGGGTTTCTCACTCTGCCGCCCAGGCTGGAGTGCGGTGGTGCATTCTTAGCTCACTGCAACTTCTGCTTCCCAGGCTCAAGTGATCCTCTAACCTCAGCCTCCCGAGCAGCTGGAACTACAGGCGCGTGCCACCACGCTGGGCTGAGTTTTTGTATTTTTTGGTAGACATGGGGTTTTGCTGTGTTGTCCAGGCTGGTCTTGAACTCCTGAGCTCCGAGTGGTCTGCCTGCCTCAGCCTCCCAAAATGGTGGGATCACAGGCGTGAGCCACCGCGCCCGGCCACGTTTTAACTATTCTAAAGTATTAACTACATTCAGAGCGTCCTGCAGCATCCCTATTTCCAGAACGTTTTCCTTACCCAGAGGTCTGGAGTATTGGCGCTCTGGGCGTGTTCCCACCCAGGTGGCACCCACACTTCGTATGCCCCTCAGCCCCAAGGGCATTATGACCCCTAAGGATCCACTGTGAAAACTGCCATCCTGATCCCGCTGTCCTTCTCCTGGGGAAGGGCTCCTGGACAGTGTGGCCTCTTAGCCGCCTCTCCCCGTTACCAGGACACAGCAGGGTCCTTGTTTGCACAGTGTCAAGATGGGGCCTGTGGGTTTCTATTGTCTCTTTTCTCGGTCACCAGGCAGGTGGGGCTGGGGCCGCACACTTGTGCTCTAGGGACAGCTGAACCTGGATGTGGGTGATGGTGGGTTTGTGCCGCTCAGAGCCAGGGTAGTGTGGATAGGAGAGAAAGTCTCGGGAGAGGAGGGACCTGGGGAGTGAGGGGCAGGAGGGCGGCCGGGGGCGATCGGACCTTCAGCTCCTGTCCTGTGTCGTTTCCAGAGGGGAGAAGAACCTTTTAGACAGCAGCATCATAAGCCAAACGGTCAGACGGGCAGCCTCTGGGATTGGGGCTGAGTGGTTTTGGACACAAGGAACCCATTCACTTTCTTTTTTTTTTTCTTTTTCTTTTTTTGAGACAGAGTCTGTCTCTGTCGCCCAGGCTGGAGTGCAGTGGCGCGATCTCAGCTCACTGCAAGCTCCGCCTCACGGGTTCACGCCATTCTCCTGCCTCAGCCTCCCGAGTAGCTGGGACTACAGGGCACCCGCCACCACACCCAGCTAATTTTTTTGTATTTTTAGTAGAGACGGGGTTTCACCGTGTTAGCCAGGGTGGTCTCGAACTCCTGACTTCATGATCCGCCTGCCTTGGCCTCCCAAAGTGCTGGGATTACAGGTGTGAGCCACCGACCCATTCACTTTCTGTAGTAAGCACGGAGCATCCAGCACTCCCCGGGACCAGGTAGGAGGGAGGGTAGAGCCAGCTTCCTGGAGCGCGGTGGTGCGGGTGGGTCAGGATGGCTTGCTTCCATGTTCTTGTTCTTGTCATTTAGCTGTTTTTGCAGCCACTTCCTCAAGATAACTCAAGACAGTAGATGCTCTTTACCAGGAGACATTCTCTTGATGTCCCCTGAAGGGAAGAGAGTTGCTAAATTAGTCTATTGCCATTGCAAGGTGCCCAGGAAATTAAACCTCTGACTAGAAAAAGCCAGTGAAGTGTTGGATAAAGTTGAAGGAACCAAAGGTCTTTTTAGAGCTTTTATTAAAGAGAAAGTTCCAAGTCTTGTCCTGAAACTTGGGTTCTGGGGCAGACTTTCTCCAGAGCCCACGAAACTCGCGAACCCTGTGTTGTCACACAGCCCACAGCTCCTTCAGTGCCCTGGATGTCTGCAGTGGCCGCTGTGACTCTATGGACAGTTTGGTGATATGTGTCCGCGAAGGCTGGGAGGGTGGTTTCGTTGCTCTTGCCTGCAAAGGCTCACACGTGGCCATCCATGTGGGCTCCCCACAGGTTAACGTTCTGTCTCCATTCTCTGGAGTCCACTAGAGCTGGGCACAGACAAACCCACTTGGGTTTGATGCCAGTTGGTGGGTGGCGCTTTCCTGCCCACTGAAGGTGGCTCAGGTGTCTGTGATGGCGAACGTGGTCGTTGCAGGCAGCTCCGGGCAGAAGCCCGGCCCCCTGTCCGGTGCACGTGGTAGGGGCTGCCCTGGAAGTCAGAGCTCACCCCGCAGCTGAGAGGATGAGTCCAACTTGTTCCTTTTCCACCAGGCTGTTAACCCCCATCCCTCAAAGTGAGTGAGGCCTTCCTGTGTGTGCAGTGGCCACAGTGGGCAGCCTGGCTGAGTCGGGTGCTCTTGTGTGGCCCGCTCTTGCCTGCTCTTCCCTTCCTTCCCTAGCAGGCACTGCAACCCAGGAAAACCTCTGCGGGGGCTGCTGGTCACTGGCACCATGGGTGTGAGAGCTTCTGATATTTCACTTTTTCTTCTCCCCCAGCTGGCAGCACTGGGCCTGTTATTGTTGTTTGAGAAAGGGTCTCGCTCTGTTACCAGGCTGGAGTGCGGTGGCACAATCACACTTCACTGCAGCTTCGACCTCCTGGGCTCAAGCAGTCCTCCCACCCCAGCCTGCTGAGTAGCTGGGACCACAGGTGTGCACCACCGCACCTGGCTATTTTTTAATACTTCTGTGGAAATGGGGTTTCACCGTGTTGCCCAGGCTGGTCTCGAACTTCTGAGCTCAAGCAATCCTCCTGCCTCAGCCTGCCAAAACATTGGGGTTACAGGCGTGAGCCATACCACCCGGCCTGCATTGGGCGTTTCTATGCTGTTTGTCACCGTGGCCTGGCAGGGCTGGCCTCCTGCTGCTGTGCCCTGCTAAGTGGACCAGTTTCCCTTACCGCAGTAGACCGTGATTGAGTGTGGTGTAGCATCTCTGCTGAAACGATGGCAGCCCTGGGACAGCTGCGGCAGTGTCTCCTCCTGGCTTCTTGGCATGAGATGGTGTAGGCGGCGCCTGACACTCTGGAGGGAGTCAGAGACATTGTTCTGCAGGGGTGGGGGGATTTCGTTTGCCTGCAGTTGCGGCCCGGCGTTACTCCTGGGCACAGTGCGAGCCCACCCGTGCCACTGGGAGCACGGCTGTGATCAGCAGCTCATGTTCCAAAGGATTCCCTCCAAGGGCCTCCTGAACTTGGCTTTTCTGCCTCTCCTTACCCGCCTTTGCCCCTCTGGGGAAGAGGTAGCAGGCTTAGAAGCCTCTGCCCCTCGGGTTCGGGCAGGGTGGTTGGTGCTTGTGCCCTGGTTTAACATCAGCTCCTTGGCAGTCAGGCCAGGCCAGGGTGGCCCAGGCACAGCGTGCACAAGAGCAGGGAGTGGCACCTGGTCTCTAAGTTACTCTGCAGACGCATACATGGAAACGGCCAGTAAGAAAGGATGCGTGATTTATTTCCCCAAGTCTCATTTAAGAAGTTTGAGGAGGCCGGGTGCAGGGGCTCATGCCTGTAATCCCAGCACTTTGGGAGGCTGAGGTGGGCGGGTCACGAGGTCAGGAGATCGAGACCATCCTGGCTAACACGGTGAAACCCCGTCTCTACTAAAAATACAAAAAATTAGCCGGGCGTGGTGGCGGGCACCTGTAGTCCCAGCTACTCAGGAGGCTGAGGCAGGAGAATGGCGTGAACTCAGGAGGCGGAGCTTGCAGTGAGCCGAGAAGCACCACTGCACTCCAGCGTAGGCGACAGAGCAAGACTCTGTCTCAAAAAAAAAAAAGGTTCAAGGGGACCAGGCTTGGTGGCTCACACCTGTGATCCCAGCACTTAGGGAGGCCAGGACAAGAGGATTGCTTGAGGCCAGGAGTCTGAGACCAGCCTGGGCAACATAGTAAGACTGTCTCTACAAAAAGTAAAAATAAAATAAATTTTTTTGGCTGGACACGCTGGCTCACGCCTGTAATCTCAGCACTTTGGGAGGCCAAGGCGGGCAGATCACCTGAAGTCAGGAGCTTGAGACCAGCCTGACCAACATGGAGAAACCCCATCTCTAATAAAAATACAAAATTTGCCAGGCGTGTTGGCACATGCCTATAATCCCAGCTACTTGCGAGGCTGAGGCAGGAGAATTACTTGAACCCAAGAGGCGGAGATTGCAATGAGGCAAGATCGAGATCGTGCCATTGCACTCTAGCCAGGGAAACAAGAGCAAAACTCAGTCTCAAAATAGATAAAATAAAATAAAATAAATTAAATAAATAAGTATTTTAAAAAGTAGTTCTGTCCAGGTGCAGTGGCTCACACCTGTAATTCCAGCACTTTGGGAGGCCGAAGCAGGCCGATCACCTGAGGTCGGGAGTTCAAGACCAGCCTGACCAACATGGAGAAAGAAACTCCATCTCTACTAAAAAAACAAAATTAGCCAGGCGTGGTGGCGCGTACCTGTAATCCCAGCTACTTGGGAGGCAGAGGCAGGAGAATTGCTTTAACCCGGGAGGCAGAGGTTGCAGTGAGCCAAGATCCTGCCACTGCACTCTAGCCTGGGCAACAAGAGTGAAACTCCGTCTCAAAAAAAAAATAAAATAGTTTGGGCCGGGCTCAGTGGCTCACACTTATAATCCCAGCACTTTAGGAGGCCGAGGCAAGTGGATCACCTGGGGTCAGGAGTTCAAGACCAGCCTGGCCAACATGGTAAAACCCTGTCTCTACTAAAAATACAAAAATTAGCCAGGCGTGGTGGCGGGTGCCTGTGATCCCAGCTACTCGGGAGGCTGAGGAAAGAGAATTGCTGGAACTCGGGAGGTGGAGGTTGCAGTGAGCCGAGATCATGCCATTGCACTCCAGCCTGGGTGACAATAGCAAAACTCCGTCTCAAAAAATAAAAAAATAAATAAATTTTAAAAATAAATAAAAAAGTAGTTCGGGGGAATGATGGAAGGCTCACCCAAAATTCTCACTTGAAGAGCCTCAGCACAGGGGCGCCTCTCTGAGCCTGAGCCGAGGCCGCATCCTCAGCTGCAGGCTGACCCCTCGTGGTTGGGGCGCCACAGCCTCTCCATCTTGTGGCCTTAGGACTCCCTGAAGCTGCCGTGCATTATTAGGGGTCCCCAGGGCCTTACAGGCACGTGGATTGCGCCTTTCAGGATCTGTTGTATTAGAAACTAGAACTAAGAATGTAAAAAATCGTTTTTTTCTCTCTATTTATTTTTATTTTTTATTTTTTGAGATGAAGTCTTGCTCTGTTGCCAGGCTCGAATGCAGTGGCACGATCTGGGCTCACTGCAACCTCCGCCTCCTGGGTTCAAGCGATTCTCCTGCCTCAGCCTCCCAAGTAGTTGGGATTACAGGCACCCGCCACCACGCCCAGCTAATTTTTGTATTTCTAGTAAAGACGACGTTTTACCATGTTGGATTAGGCTGCTCTGAAACTCCTGGCTTCAGGTGATCCGCCCGCCTCAGCCTCCCAAAGTACTAGGATTACAGGCGTGAGCCACCACGCCTGGCCTGTTTCACTCGTCACCCAGGCTGGAGTGCAGTGGTGCGATCTCACTGCAATGTCTACCTCCCAGACTCAAGCAATCCTCCTGCCTCAGCCTCCCAAGTAGCTGGGATTACAGGCAGGTGCCACCATACCCAACTGATTTTTGTATTTTTGTATTTTTTTTTTTTTTTGAGACAGAGTCTTGCTCTGTTGCCCAGGCTGGAGTGCAGTGGCACGATCTTGGCTCACTGCAACCTCTGCCTCCCGGGTTCAAGTGTTTCTTCTGCCTCAGTCTCCCGAGCAGCTGGGATTACAGGTGTGCACCACCACACCCAGCTAAATTTTTGTATTTTTGGTAGAGTCGAGGTTTCACCATGTTGGCCAGGCTGGTCCCAAACTCGTGAACTCAAGTGATCCACCTGCCTCAGCCTCCCAAACTGCTAGGATTACAGGTGTGAGCCACTGCACCTGGCCTTTTTTTTTTTTTTTTTTTTTTTTTTGAGACAGAGTTTCGCTCTTGTCGCCCAGGCTGGAGTGCAGTGGTGCGATCTCGGCTCACCGCAACCTCCGCCTCCCGGGTCCAAGCGATTCTCCTGCCTCAGCCTCCCAAGTACCTGGGATTACAGGTGCCCGCCACCACGCCCAGCTTATTTTTGTATTTTTAGTAGAGATGGGGTTTTACCGTGTTGGCCAGGCTGGTCTCGAACTCCTGGTCTCAAGCGATCCACCCATCTTGGCCTCCCAAAGTGCTGGGCTTACAGGCCTGAGCCACTGTAGCCAAATTTATTTTAAAAGAATAATAATCCCATTACATGTTATCATAAATCACATCTTTACGGAAACTAGTTTGTCCCAGACAAAAACAATTTAGTGCTGAGTGATGTTTTAGATTCCTCCAGCAGGATTCTCCTCTCCTGCCCTCCTGCTCTTGCGACACCATGCGCCCAGCAGCCTCTGTGGGTCTGTGCCGCAGCACGTGAGAGGGAGAGTGAAAAGGCAGAGGCCAGAGAAGTGTGAGTGTGAAAATAGCTTTGACCAGCCGGGCGCGGTGGCTCACGCCTATAATCCCAGCACTTTGGGAGGCCGAGGCGGGCAGATCACGAGGTAAGGAGATTGAGACCATCCTGGCTAACGTGGTGAAACCCATCTCTACTAAAAATACCAAAAATTAGCCGGTGGTGGCGGGCGCCTATAGTCCCAGCTACTTGGGAGGCTGAGGCAGGAGAATGGCTTGAATCCGGGAGGCGGAGCTTGCAGTGAGTGGAGATCACGCCACTGCACTCCAGCCTGGGAGACACAGCAAGACTCCATCACAAAAAAAAAAAAAAAAAGATCAAGACCTTCGTGGCCAACATGGTAATACCCCATCTCGACTAAAAATACAAAAAAAAATTAGCCAGGCATGGTGGCAGGCGCCTGTAGTCCTAGCTACTCGGGAGGCTAAGGCAGGAAAATCACTTGAACCTGGGAGGCAGAGGTTGCAGTGAGCCAAGATCATGCCACTGCACTCCAGCCTGGGCAACAGAGCGAGACTGTCTCAAAAACAAATAAAAAAGAAAATAGCTTTGACCACATGGGTGCCCTGAAAAGGCTAGGGGCCCTGGGGATGGGCCACACTTCAAGGTTGCTGGAGGACCACGTGCGCCAGGCTTGCATTGTGGATGTGAAGCCAGCTGTTGAATTCACGGGCAGCCATAAGGCCGTGACCAGAGCCAGTCTTACTGTCGAGGAACAGCCATGTCCTGTACCCATTGCTGGACCTGTGGCTCGAAACCCCACGGGAGGGCAGGGCTGCTGGCTGCTGTGACTTCCCACGTCCAGGGAGACCCGGGCCCAGGGGCTGTGCTCCCAGCAGCAATGCTCAGTCAGGGCCCTCTTTCTGTCCACAGTTTGATGAAGGCCGGAACAACTTTGAAGGGGAGGTCACCAAGGAGAACCTGCTGGACTTTATCAAACACAACCAGCTGCCCCTTGTCATCGAGTTCACCGAGCAGGTGCGGCTGCCCTGCAGCCCCCAGGCTGGGGATGGGGAGGAGTGGGTTGGGGGTGGCATGAGGCTCCCGGTCACCACTGCTGTCCAGCGTCTGACATTGGAGGCCATTGGGAGAATCTTCTGCATTAATAGTGTGTGACTCAGACCCAGTAACTTAAGTTTATAACACAGACAGCCCCGAAGATTTTTGGAGGTGAAATCAAGACTCACATCCTGCTGTTCTTGCCCAAGAGTGTGTCTGACTATGACGGCAAACTGAGCAACTTCAAAACAGCAGCCGAGAGCTTCAAGGGCAAGGTGAGCTGCTCTTCTGGGTGGCTCGTGGGGCGGTGCCAGGGAGCAGTACAACTCTTCCCGAGGTGACAAGTGTGGGGCCTTCCTGAGGCTGCCTGCTGGACTGGATCGGGCACCTGATTCAGGACAGCCTGGATGTAGGCGAGGGGCCAGCCAGGCCAGACCTCTGCTCCCAGTCACCTGCTGGTCTGGTTGGGCAACCCCGGAATCCAGGTTGGAGGAAAAAGGCACCGGAGCACGGTCTGCTTCCGAGCAAAGTCAGGGCTGGAGGCAGAGGCCAGCCGTCTCCCGCACCTGTGCAACCTCCTTTTCTCCCCCAGATCCTGTTCATCTTCATCGACAGCGACCACACCGACAACCAGCGCATCCTCGAGTTCTTTGGCCTGAAGAAGGAAGAGTGCCCGGCCGTGCGCCTCATCACCCTGGAGGAGGAGATGACCAAGTACAAGCCCGAATCGGAGGAGCTGACGGCAGAGAGGATCACAGAGTTCTGCCACCGCTTCCTGGAGGGCAAAATCAAGGTGCAGGCGCGTCCCCGGGCCAGGGCTGCCTCCCGGGTAGAGCCGCCACCTTGGGGTCTCTGGGCTCTCAGTGTCCTGGGCTTCGTCCTCAAAGTAAGATCTTCAGAGTAAGAGGACGGAGCCCAAGATGGTGTGAAGACCACCATTCTTGTCACACCTTTGGGGACCTGTAGGAGCCCTCTTGTCCACACGGCTGGCCCAGATGCTCCTCAGGGAAACCTCCTGGCCGGCGAGGGTGCGGCCTGCGTGGGCTCATTGGGCCCAGCCCACTGGCCCAGCCTTCTCTTTCTGGATTCTTGGCACTGTTGGTGTCTGCGGCTGCCACCCTGGTGTGCCCAGGGCAGCCACGCACCTCAGTCCCGGGCAGGGTGAGGGTTGGGGAGCTCTGTGGTCCCCCAGGCATCGCCGCCCCTCACCGTGCCCTGCCTGCCCTCCAGCCCCACCTGATGAGCCAGGAGCTGCCGGAGGACTGGGACAAGCAGCCTGTCAAGGTGCTTGTTGGGAAGAACTT
This sequence comes from Homo sapiens, assembly GCF_000001405.40. Lineage (NCBI taxonomy): Eukaryota > Metazoa > Chordata > Mammalia > Primates > Hominidae > Homo > Homo sapiens. The sequence goes on along the minus strand of NC_000017.11, from coordinate 81,845,917 downwards.
TGAAGACGTGGCTTTTGATGAGAAAAAAAACGTCTTTGTGGAGTTCTGTAAGTGTTGCCCTTTCAGCTCCCCAGGTCCGTGCCACCAGGGCACGCGCAAGGTAGGCAGACTCCTGGGGAAGCGTCTGCCAGTGGCTTTGTGTCCAGGACACACCCTAGAACTGCTTTCTTTTCAGATGCCCCATGGTGTGGTCACTGCAAACAGTTGGCTCCCATTTGGGATAAACTGGGAGAGACGTACAAGGACCATGAGAACATCGTCATCGCCAAGATGGACTCGACTGCCAACGAGGTGGAGGCCGTCAAAGTGCACAGCTTCCCCACACTCAAGTTCTTTCCTGCCAGTGCCGACAGGACGGTGCGCCTTCCCTCCAGACGGGGCTGGGGCGGGCTCTGGGAAGAGCAGTGGTCCCCACGCCAGCCTGGGTGCCTCTCTGGAAGGAGCCTGGGGCTAGTCAGGTGGGAGAAGAGCTGTGGGAGCTCCTTCAGAAGCACCCACCTTTGTTTTTCGAGAGAGATGGGATCTCACTATATTGCCTAGGCTGTTTTTGAACTCCCAATGTGCTGGATTCCGGGTGTGAGCCACCGGACCGGGCCTGCTCTGCCTTTCTCTAGGGAGGAGGAGCCAATGCCAGGAGATTGGCTCTGGGCCGGGACCAGCCCCTGCACTCATCCCTGTCTTCCACAGGTCATTGATTACAACGGGGAACGCACGCTGGATGGTTTTAAGAAATTCCTGGAGAGCGGTGGCCAGGATGGGGCAGGGGATGATGACGTGAGTGGGGTCACAGCCCTGGGCTGGTCTCTGGGATTCAGCCCCTTGGCCCCACGGGACATGCCCACTTGGGCTCGGCTTGTGATGGGAATGGTGCCATTGGAGGCACGTCTGTGCGTCCAGGGCTCTGGGGCCCCACACCTTCGCCCAGCAGGGCAAGGGATGTGCTCCCAGTGCTCTGCTGAAACAGCTCTCCCTGGCCAGCACTTCTTTAGGGGACGACGTTGAAGGCATCTTTAAAAACCAGATTTTGCTTAGAAAACCTTTTCAGACACATGGCACCGGTTCCTCACATGCTGCTAACTTGGACTCAGAGGTCCATCCCCAGCCCGCTGGCGGGGCCCGGGCACAAGGGCGCAGACATGGGTCTGCCCTCGGGAGTTTAGTCCTGCCCGTCAGCGCGTGGCCAGCAGCAGTGGTGACTCTGCCGGGGAAGCAGGAAGGCTGGTGTTGGGAGGATGCGGCAGGGGCGGGGTGCTTGACCATGGTGAAGGAGATGAGGGCATGGTCAGCCCAGGCTGGCAGGGCCTGCTGGGAGTGCTGGTGCACAGTGGGAGGTGGGAATACTCTGCCCAGGCTGGGGATGGAGGGCCGGCCCCTGGTGCTGCCTGTGGCCTGTCATTGGCCAGAGCCCAAGGGTTGGAAGTAGAATGGTCACACCCCAGTGGTGACTGTGCCTGGACTTCATGCTGGGGCTGTTGTCCCTGCCGAGATGTGGACCCTCTGTAGACTCCATGGTGCCAAGCTGGGAGACACACATACGCCTTCCATGCCCAGTGGAAGGGTCCAAGGCTGAGCTGGGATTCCCAGGGTTCCTGACACAGTGGGGGCTCTGATTCATCCTGCTATAGGCAGAAATCCCCCAGGCGTCACTCTTCCTGGGAAGACCCCTGTGTAGCTCGTAAAGACCAGGGTTGGCTGCTCCAGTGGCCGGTGGCCATGTCCGCCGTGGCCGGCTAGTCCCCGGTGTGAGCAGTGTGGGGTGCTGGGGGCCGGCAGCCTCAGCTGTTGCAGCCAACCTGCCCGCCCCGCCCCTTTTCCTGTATCCCAGGATCTCGAGGACCTGGAAGAAGCAGAGGAGCCAGACATGGAGGAAGACGATGATCAGAAAGCTGTGAAAGATGAACTGTAATACGCAAAGCCAGACCCGGGCGCTGCCGAGACCCCTCGGGGGCTGCACACCCAGCAGCAGCGCACGCCTCCGAAGCCTGCGGCCTCGCTTGAAGGAGGGCGTCGCCGGAAACCCAGGGAACCTCTCTGAAGTGACACCTCACCCCTACACACCGTCCGTTCACCCCCGTCTCTTCCTTCTGCTTTTCGGTTTTTGGAAAGGGATCCATCTCCAGGCAGCCCACCCTGGTGGGGCTTGTTTCCTGAAACCATGATGTACTTTTTCATACATGAGTCTGTCCAGAGTGCTTGCTACCGTGTTCGGAGTCTCGCTGCCTCCCTCCCGCGGGAGGTTTCTCCTCTTTTTGAAAATTCCGTCTGTGGGATTTTTAGACATTTTTCGACATCAGGGTATTTGTTCCACCTTGGCCAGGCCTCCTCGGAGAAGCTTGTCCCCCGTGTGGGAGGGACGGAGCCGGACTGGACATGGTCACTCAGTACCGCCTGCAGTGTCGCCATGACTGATCATGGCTCTTGCATTTTTGGGTAAATGGAGACTTCCGGATCCTGTCAGGGTGTCCCCCATGCCTGGAAGAGGAGCTGGTGGCTGCCAGCCCTGGGGCCCGGCACAGGCCTGGGCCTTCCCCTTCCCTCAAGCCAGGGCTCCTCCTCCTGTCGTGGGCTCATTGTGACCACTGGCCTCTCTACAGCACGGCCTGTGGCCTGTTCAAGGCAGAACCACGACCCTTGACTCCCGGGTGGGGAGGTGGCCAAGGATGCTGGAGCTGAATCAGACGCTGACAGTTCTTCAGGCATTTCTATTTCACAATCGAATTGAACACATTGGCCAAATAAAGTTGAAATTTTACCACCTGTCCTTGCCTCGGGTTTATGATCTCACCAAGCCCGGAGAGCTGGGCTGGAATGCGGACGCCAAGGCCATCTGCCAGGCCTTAGTGGGGTTACTGGTGCTGAGAGGCCTCGCCCCTGGGACGAGGTGCAGATGCAGAAACAGGCCCCAGTCTCCCCAGCAGAGCTGTGCAGGCTTGCGATTCCCGGGGAGGATGCCTTCCCTGCCTGTAGGCTGCTTTACCTGGACTCTGATGGGGCTTCTGTGATTCTGGACCCTGGATGTGGACACGGGTGGAGCCACCCAGCCCCATGTGATGCTCAGACTCCTGGTCATTCCCTCCCATCCCCGCCGTGGAGTGACGAGAAATCAGGTGGACTCAGGCTTCAAGGATGGGTGAGAGGAACAGGGGGCCCTGCTTATCACTAACCCTTCACACGATAAAGGGCAGGGCTGGGCGCAGGGACGCGCGCCTGGAATCCCAGTGCTGGGGCAACACGGGGAGACCCCGTCTCTAGGAAAAATTAGAAATTAGCTGGGCATGGTTTGCACCTACAGTCCCAGCTACTCGGGAGGCTGAGGCAGGAGGATCACTTGATCCCAGGAGGTCAACACTGCAGTGAGCGGAGATCGCGCCACTGCACTCCAGCTGGGTGACAGAGCTGTCTCTAAAAATAAGGATCTCCTGGTCTTTAAGTTGTAATTTGGCTTAACCTCAGCACTCCTGTGCTTCACATGCAGAAAAAACACATACACTCGATTTTTTTTGAGACGGAGTCTTGCTCTGTGGCCCAGGCTGGAGTGCAATGGTGCTGTCTTGGCTCACTGCAACCTCCGCCTCCCGGGTTCAAGTGATTCTCCTGCCTGAGCCTCCTGAGTAGCTGGGATTACAGACATCCGCCACCACGCCCGGCTAATTTTTTGTACTTTTAGTAGAGATGGGGTTTCACTGTGTTAGCCAGGATCTGCTGGCTGACCTCGTGATTTGCCCGCGTCGGCCTCCCAAAGTGCTGGGATTATAGGCGTGAGCCACCGCGCCCGGCTGAAAGTCAATTTTTCTGCAGACGGCAAGCCGCGGCCTGTGTGCAGGGCTGGGCGATGGCTCTGCTGAGCCTGGATTTGCTGCTTTTCTGCAGGGGAGGCAACAGGAGCTCTGTGGTGTCTGTGGGTCCCCCTGAGGGCAACGGCAGAGGCCCTGAGGATCCAGCAGGGCTCATGGTGGTCTCAGAGGGCGGTGAGGCAGGAGGAAGGAGCCCAAGGGTGCAGGTGGCAGGTGGGAGTGGGGGTGGAGCTGCAGCTCTAGGGAGGCTGCTCGGCCCTCAGAAGTTCGGATGGAACAAACGACCCTCACCAGGCTGCCTTGAGGAGCCCTGCCTGTGACTCTGTGAGCCCCGCCAACTTCACATCCTGATGTGCTTCCTAGAGTAGGAGCTTCCGCACTGCCGAGATTCCCGGGTGTCCTCCCAGTTCCCGAGCTTGCGGGCTGGCTGCAGCTGCTGGAGCCAGAGACGGCTCTCAAGCCAGACCAGGCCTCGCCGGGGGTGCGGTTCTCCCGTTCTCCCCGCTACCTCCCTTGCCGGCCCCACAGGCCCTCACAAACTCGGCCGCTCCGGCTCCTCCTGCCTCTGCTCCAGGCTGTGGAGTATCCGGCCAGCATGCCGCGAGGACCTGTGTCAACACGTCGCCAGCACCAGCCAGCCCGGTTTGCCCACATGTCCTTGGCCCCACACGGCTCACACCAGCTCGGCAGTCTGGGTGCTGCCGTCTGCCCCGGCCCCCAGCTCTGTGGGTCTTGGAGACAGCCCGTGCTGGGGCTGGTTTCTGGCTAGTTCAGCTCCAGGGCCTCAGCAGGGTTTGTGTGCCATGCCTGGGTCCTGCGACACAGTGAGCCGCGTACTCACGGAAAAGTGGGCAACGGCATCTGGAGGTGCCGTGGGAGGATGTGGGCAGAGGCCCGAGGGCTGTGGCTCCTTGCAGGGTCTCTGAGGGAGGCTGTCCTGAGTCACAGCTAAAGGGGTGGGCTGTATTTGTGCCTGTGCTCCCTGGCCGTGGGATGGGGTGCAGTGACCCTGTGGACCAGCTGTGCGGGGAGCCGGCCCTCTGGAGAGAACGTTGGGACATGGCACAGCTGCCCGCAGCACTGGTGTCATGTGCTCTGGAAAGGGGAGGGAGTCACTGATACCTTTCCCGTTTTGCAGAGGCAGCTGATGAGCACATTCCTGGGCTCGGCTGTGGCTGGGAGGTGGTGGGGCAGTGTCCAAAACCTCTCTGACTGGGCTGCTGGATTAGTGGGGAGACTTTGAAGGCTCTGGGAGGAGGTGGTTAGGGCTTAGCAGCCTGGGACTTCCCAACCCTCTGTCTCTCCAGGTGCCAGGAAGCCACCGGCCTGGAGCCTAAAACAGTGATTGCTGGGTCTATGTACCACACCCCGGGGGGCCTCTGACCTCAGGGAGGGAAGGGCCCTTCTGGCCCTAGGCTGGCCCTCCTGCCAGACTGCAGTGCGACCTGCGCTGACTTTTCCTTTTTTTTTTTTGAGACATAGTCTCACTCTGTTGCCCAGGCTGGAGTCAGCGCTGCGATCTCAGCTCCCTGCAACCTCTGCCTCCTGGGCTCAGGTGATTCTCCTGCCTCAGCCTCCTGAGTAGCTGCGATTACAAGCATGCACCACCATGCCCGGCTAATCTTTGTATTTTCAGTAGAGATGGGGTTTCACCATGTTGGCCAGGCTGGTCTCGAACTCCTGATCTCGGGTGATCCACCCACCTTGGCCTCCCAGAGTACTGGGATTACAGGCGTGAGCCACTGCGCCTGGCCTCAGCTGACTTTACTAACAGGGTCTCCCGGGTGCTTTTGCAGAGCACTGCTGGTTGCATTCACTGGACATTTTTTTTTTTTTGAGACAGGGTCTTGCTCTGTTGCCCAGGCTGGGGTGCAGTGGTGTGACTGTAGCTCACTGCAGCCTCAAACTCCTGGGCTCAAGCAATCTTTTGCACCTCAGCATTCTAAGTAGCTGGGACCATAGGCACCCAGTACCATGCCTGGCTAATTTTTAAATTTTTTGAAGGGAAGGGGGTCTCCCTATGTTGCCCAGGCTGGTCTTCAACTCCTGGCTTCAAGTGATCCTTCTACCTTGGCCTCCCAAAGTGCTGGGATTACAGGCGTGAGCTTCTGAGCCCAGCCAGGCCTCACTGGACTTCTAAAAGTTGGACGGTAGGCCGGGCGCGGTGGCTCACGCCTGTAATCCCAGCACTCTGGGAGGCCGACGCGGGCGGATCACGGGGTCAGGAGATAGAGACCATCCTGGCTAACACAGTGAAACCCCGTCTCTACTAAAAATACAAAAAATTAGCTGGACGTGGTGGCGGGCGCCTGTAGTCCCAGCTACCCCGGAGGCTGAGGCGGGAGAATGGCGTGAACCCGGGAGGCGAAGCTTGCCGTGAGCCCAGATCGCACCACTGCAGTCCAGCCTGGGCGACGGAGCGAGACTCCGTCTCAAAAAAAAATAAAAAAAGTGTGATGGTAAACCTTGTGCATCAGATGTTCTAGTTCGTCCTCCAGAAGGCAGAAACTTAGAGTCATGCAAACTAGGTCAATTTGCAAGTTCATATGGACCAAGAAGAATCAGGGACAAAACTCCATGAAGACAGGTTTGGCTCTGACGTCACGCTGCATGAACAGCACGCTTCGCCCACGGTGGAGCAGGCACGACTGCTGACGGCCGGCTTCTGATGGAACGTTTCAAGGGTGAGGAGCTCCAGGGAGTGTCTATCATGGCGTAGAACACACGGTTCCCACATCCTTATTAGAATAGAAGGCACATAAATACCTTTCAAGGAAATCTGTTGTGACTGGCGAGGCTTCAGGCACCAGTCCCTCGGGTGATCCAGATAGAAACCCCAAAGCCAAAAGCTCTGCACGCTCCCAGCTCACCTCCAGCAGGAGGGACACAGGGGCTTGCTTGGGGTCGCCAAACAGGCTCACCGGGTGGTCTTGCCCCCACCGCGTCTCTAGCCTGAGGCCCGGTCACTCCTGGAAAGGGCGTTCCTTCTCGTCACACTGTTGGTGGCAGCTTCATCCAGCGTGCTTTCATCTGATCCTCTGAGGGGGGAGGGCAGACAGAACTTTCCACAACATGAGAAAAGGCAATCTTCACATCAGAGGAGAGCCTGTCTCCAGTGTACAACGTTTCGTCTCCAGGCTTCACGTAAACAAGCCAGAAAAAACGGCCTGGCTCCTCCCAAGTGACCTGGAATTCCAACTGTCCATACCTTTCCCTGAGTCCCTAGAAATGCAGCCACGCTGGGAGCCGACCCCCCTCAGGGTGTCTGCAGGCCCGGGCCTGGCTAGAGGCTCCAGGGCCACTCCAGTGTGTGACTGGAGAGGTGGTGTACCCGAGGCGAGGGGCCCAGGGGGCAGGGGAGGGGACAGGGGGTGCACCTGGGTACCAACGCAGGTCCAGGAAATTTCGCCAGGCAGGGACCCTCCGTCAGCGCCGCTTCTCCAGCAGCATTTTTCCTTTTACTCTTTTTATTTTATTTTTTAAATTTTTTATTATTATTATTTTTAAGATGGAGTCTTGCTCTGTCGCCCAGGCTGGAGTGCAGTCGCGCGATCTTGGCTCACTGCAACCTCCGCCTCCCGGGTTCAAGAGATTCTACTGCCTCAGCCTCCTGAGTAGCTGGGATTACAGGCGCACGCCGCCACATCCGGCTAATTTTTGTATTTTTAGCAGAGACGGGGGGTTTCTCCATGTTGTCCAGACTGATCTCGAACTCCTGGCCTCACGTGATCCACCCTCCTCGGCCTCCCAAAGTGCTGGGATTACAGGTGTGAGCCACTGCACCCGGCCAGTTTTAAATTTTTTTAAAGCAAAGGAGTCTCACTATGTTGCCCAGGCTGCTTAAACCCCTCGCTTCAACTGACCCTCCAGCCTTGGCTTCCCAAAGTGCTGGGATTACAGGCATGAGCCACTGTGCCCAGCCCTCCCATAGCATTTGGCCAAGGCTTTGCACCTAGAGGTGTCTAATATGTTTGCTGATTTGATTTCGTTGGATGCAGATCAGCCTAATGATGCGAGGCTGTTGGTGGCCCAGCTCTCCTCTGCCCCTGCAAAGAGCTGCTGGCCAGTCTTGGTTCTGTCCTCATTCAGGCCTTTAGTGACCACCTGCAGGGTTTTACCAGCATTATGGGTTGACTCATGTGTCTCCTTAATTAACGTTGAAGTCCTAGCCCTCAAGACCTCAGAATGTGACCGTTGTTTGGAAACAGGATGCTTGCAGATGTCACTGGTTAAGATGAGGCAATACCCAACTATAACTGGTGTCCTTATACAAGGGGGTGATGTGAACAGTGACAAAGGCTGGGAGAACACCATGGAGATGAAGGCCGAGATCGTGGCGATGCTGCTAGGGCCAAGGACACCAGGATTGCTGGCGGCACCAGAAGCTGGGGAGAGGCTTGCGACAGACGCTCCTCAGAGCCTCAGGAGGAACCTGCCCTGCTGAAACCCGGATCCCAGATTTCAGCCTCCAGAGCTCTGGGACGGACCGTCTTTTTTTTTTTTTTTTTTTTGAGACGGAGTCTTGCTCCATCCCCAGGCTGTAGTGCAGTGGTGTGATGTCAGTTCACTGCAACCTCCACCTCCTGGGTTCAAGCAATTCTCCTGCCTCAGCCTCCCGAGTAGCTGGGACTAGAGGCGCCTGCCACCACACCCAGCTAATTTTTGTATTTTTTTTTCCCGAGACAGAGTCTCGCTCTGTCGCCCAGGCTGGAGTGCAGTGGCGCGATCTTGGCTCACTGCAAGCTCTGCCTCCCAGGTTCACGCCATTCTCCTGCCTCAGCCTCCCAAGTAGCTGGGACTATAGGCGCCTGCCACCATGCCCAGAAAATTTTTTGTATTTTTTAGTAGAGATGGGGTTTCACCGTGTTAGCCAGATGGTCTCGATCTCCTGACCTCGTGATCCACCTGCCTTGGCCTCCCAAAGTGTTGGGATTACAGGCGTAAGCCAACGCGCTTGGCCTTTTTTTTTGAGATGGAGTCTTGCTCTGTCACCCAGGCTGGAGTGCAGTGGCACGATCTCGGCTCACTGCAAGCTCCACCTCCCGGGTTCACGCCATTCTCCTGCTTCAGCCTCCTGAGTAGCTGGGACTACAGGCGCCCGCCACCACGCCCGGCTAATTTTTTTTTTTTTTTTTTGTATTTTTAGTAGAGACGGGGTTTCACTGTGTTAGCCAGGATGGTCTCAATCTCCTGACCTCGTGATCCACCCGCCTCGGCTTCTCAAAGTGCTGGGATTACAGGCATGAGCCACCGTGCCCGGCCTAATTTTTGTATTTTTTAGTAGAGAAGGGGTTTCACCTTGTTGGTCAGGCTGGTCTCGAACACCTGACCTCAGGTGATCCACCTGCCTCGGCCTCCCAAAGTGCTGGGATTACAGGGTTGAGCCACCACGCCTGGCCAACCATCTGTTTTTTAAGCCACTCAGTCTGTGGTCTGTGAAGACAGCCCCGGCAGACTCATCCATCCAGCTTCAAGTGCTGCAGTGCTCCTAGCACAATCGATCGCTGTCCCTGACAACAAAGACCTCCCTGGTCAACTCTGTGTCTGTGTCCCATCCCATCCACTTGCTCATGTCCTGTAGTCCAAGCCCTACTTTGGACCTCCACTGGGGCTGTTGCAAAAGTAAAGGCAGCCAGCAATGAAGAGCCTGTTGGAACACGAGTTTTAAAAATTCCCTTGGCTGGGCGCAGTGGCTCACGTCTGTAATCCCAGCACTTTGGGAGGCCGAGGCGGGCGGATCACAAGGCCAGGAGTTTGAGACCAGCCTGGCCAATATGGTGAAACCCCGTCTCTACTAAAAATACAAAAATTAGCCAGACGTGGTGGTGCATGCCCCTGTAGTCCCAGCTACTCGAGAAGGTGAGGCAAAATAATTACTTGAACCCGGGACGCAGAGGTTGCAGTGAACCGAGGTTGCGCCAATGTAGTCCAGCTTGGGCGACAGAGTGAGACTCTGACTCAAACAAACAAACAAAAAAATTCCCTTGGCTGTGCTTCTAGAGGTAAGATCACAGGGGCCGGGGCAGAGAGAGCACACCACCCAGGGTGTGATGGTCCCTGAACGTGGAGAGCAAACTGGACACCACCTTAAGTGTGAGTATGTGTGTCAAACCTGGAATGCAGAGACACTATGCAGGGTGAACCCATGAGTGTGTAGGGAATACCCTGTCCCCTGCAGGTGTGTGAGGCAGGGGAGCCAGGCACGTGGAGGAAAAGTCGCAGGACTGACTGAGCAGGAGCCTGAGGCACTGAGATCCCAGCCAAGGATGCCTGCGGGGTTTCTGAGCAGGAAGCAGCACCATCAGAGTCATTTTTTTTTTTTTTTTTTTTTTTTTTGAGACAGAGTCTTGCTCTGTCGCCCAGGCTGGAGTGCAGTGGCACGATCTCGGCTCACTGCAACCTCCGCCTCCCGGGTTCACGCCATTCTCCTGCCCCAGCCTCCCAAGTAGCTGGGACTATAGGCGCCCGCCATCACGCCCGGCTAATTTTTTGTATATTTAGTAGAGACGGGGTTTCACCGTGTTAGCCAGGATGGTCTCGATCTCCTGACCTCATGATCCGCCTGCCTAGGCCATCAGAGTAGTTTTGGGAAAACCACTGAGAGTGAGGCAAGCCACGCTGGAAGGTGAAAACTGACAGGTAGGGAGATGGAGGGGCTAAGGCCTGTTTCACCACAGCACGGTGGACCTGTGCTTCTGCAGATGTGGAGGGGGTGGCCGCCCCTCACTTTCCAGGAGGTAGAGAGCAAAAGCCCTTCCAATGACCTTGGTACCTACTGTGCCCTTGATCTCGCGTTCCTAGCTATCTCATGGGTTCTGCACCGGTGCCTCCTCCTGCCCTCGGTAAGGCACCTTCTAGGTCCAGCTGTGGGGCAGGGAGCGACAGGCAGGAATGATCTGACCCCTTTGGCCGGGCACGGTGACAGATGGGCTGAAAGATGAGTCACTAAACATGATCTGGGGTGCGGGGCGGGGGTGCAGCTCAGTTTCAGCCCCTCGCGCCGGGGAGGATGACCGTGCAGCTTTATATAGCCCCTGAGCCCTATATAAGCAAGTCAGAGGCCGGGGCTCGTCCGACAGGAGCCCTCAAGCTGATCTGGTCGGGACCGGATACATTATTAACCCCAGTGCAGTAGGGTCCCCAGGGGCAACCTGCCCCACAGCGCCCAAGATGCCTAGCAGAACTGCCCGCTATGCCCGCTACAGCCCACGGCAGCGGCGGCGGCGGATGCTGGCTGATCGCAGCGTGCGTTTCCCTAATGATGTCCTGTTCTTGGACCACATCCGGCAGGGTGACCTGGAGCAGGTGGGGCGCTTCATCCGGACTCGGAAAGTCTCCCTGGCCACCATCCACCCCTCAGGTGAGCAAAGCCTGGAAGAGCTGGCCAGGGCCTGTGGGGTGGTGGGAGAGGCCAGCAAGGAGGACCTGACCTGGGGCTCAGTCTTGACCCCTCCCGTCCTCCCTGCCCAGGCCTGGCCGCCTTGCATGAAGCCGTGCTCTCTGGAAACCTGGAATGCGTGAAGCTGCTGGTCAAATACGGGGCTGACATTCACCAGCGAGATGAGGCGGGCTGGACACCCCTGCACATTGCCTGCAGCGATGGGTACCCTGACATAGCCAGGTGAGGGGGCCCTGGGTCTACACAGGCTTGAACCCGACCCCTCCGGGCCTCAGTGGGTCCCCAGGATGGGAGCCCCAAAATGTAGCCCGGGTGGTGTCGGCAAGAACCCTAGAGGCTGGGGGCGGTGGCTCACGCCTGCGCCTGTAATCCCAGCACTTTGGGAGGCCGAGGTGGGCGGATCACCTGAGGTCAGGAGTTCGTGACAAGAACCCTCTCACTACTAAAAATACAAAATTAGCCACGCGTGGTGGCGCGCGCCTGTAATCCCAGCTACTCAAGGCTGAGGCAGGAGAATCACTTGAACCCGGGAAGTGGAGGTTGCCGTGAGTCGAGATCATGCCATTGCACTCCAGCCTGGGTGATAAGAGCGAAATTCTGTCTCAAAAAACAAAAAAAACAAAAAAAGAACCCTGCAAACCCTAGAGGCTTCTGGAATCCTGTTTCTGCCTTTGTCCTCAATAGAACCAACTTGAAAAGCTGGCCACAGCTTCCAAAGGGTCAGGTTTCTTCCTCCTCACCCTACCCGGACCTTAGGACCCCAAGGTGGGGGACACACAGGTGACCCCAGGACTCTGGCCCTCTGACCCGGGTTGGGGCGAGCACTCTCCTGGCTCCTCCCCGCTTCAGCCAGAGCGACCTTTACACCCCAGGTACCTTATCTCCCTGGGAGCGGACAGGGATGCAACCAACGACGATGGCGACCTGCCCTCCGACCTCATCGACCCGGACTACAAGGAGCTGGTGGAGCTCTTCAAAGGGACCACGATGGACTGAGCCAGCTTTGCCCGCCCGCCCCCGCGCCCAGGGCCGCCTCCCTGGAGAAGCCGCGCGTCGCCCATGGGCCAGCACGTGCCCCACCCGTGGGCCAGGGGCGGCCGGACCCGTCCCTCCACGACCCCGCCACCCCTCCTAGGCCTGGCTTTGTCCCCAGGTGAATTTTTTACTGTGACACTTTTTACTTTTTCAATAAACGTGACTCCCAGGTGAGGGGGCCTGGGTCTACACACGTGGTCCCTGTGGTGGTGTCCTGATTACTGGGCTCTGGCCGCTCCCAGTGGCCGGCGGCGCTCACCGTTCGGGCCAGGGAGGTCCGGAGCTTCCGCCACGAGCCCCAACCCCGCACGGGAATCCCGGCCGCCCCCGCCCTCCGCCAGCCGGGCGGTCACGTGAGAGCGCGCTGCGCCTGCGCCTGTGCAGCCCGCGGTGGCGTCACTTCCGGCGGGGCCTCCCAGCTGGAAGAGGCGGTGGCGGCGGGTCGGGGCGAGGTGAGGCGGGTGCGGCGCCGGGCGGCGGGGACGGGGCGGGGCGGGGCGGGCGCGGCTGGGCCCCGCCCTGGTGTCGCCGCGCGGCCGCGGGTGCCCTGCAGGGCCGGGCGGGGCCGGGCGCGGGGGAGTGGCCGGGCAGCCGGGGTCCGAGGGAGGGGCCCGCGTTCCCCGCCCGGCACCTGCAGGAGGGCGCGGCCCGCGGGGCGCCTGGGAGCGCGCGTGGGGAGGGCGCGGCTCGGACTGAGCGCCTTTCCCGCCCAGGCAGGGGCAGGTGCCGGGGACCCAGCGCCGCCGGACGCTCGCAGCGGGCCAGCCTTCTGCCGCCGTCGGGGCTTTGGGGCTGACAGAGCCCCGCTTTCCCGGTCTCCTGGAGGGACCGTGCCTGAGGATGCCTCCGATTCTCGGAGCGCCGCGGGCCCGGCCGTCCGCATTCTTTTTCTGTCCATTTTTCGGCCTTGCCCTCTTTCCCGTCTCCCCGGGCGGTGATGCTGGGCCTAACGGGGAGAACGGGGCCTCCGCCTGCCTTCTAGGCACTCACTGGGCGGTGGTTGTGACCGCGGGGGCGGGAGCCATACGGGGCACGGGCTGTGCTTCTCTCCCTCCTGCCCCTGGGTAGCCGTCGCAGGAAGGTGGTCTTTCAGCTGGATCCCCAAGGATGAGTAGGATAGTTTTGGGCAGAGAAGACAGCTTGACCAAAGGCCCTGAGGTGTAAACAGGGACCAGTGAGTGGACTTTGGGTGGGATGTGGCGAGAACGTGTAGAGAGGGTGGGAAGTGGGACGTGAAGGAAGAGCCAACAGGGCTGGATTTGGGGCGAGTCAGGGGAGGTTGTGGTTTGAGTGGGATCAGGATGGGGAGGAGGGCGCACACGCTCAGGCTGTTGCTGCCACCACCCAGGGGAGAGGGTGAGGAGGTGGTGCAGCGCTTAGAGGCTTTCCCTGGGCGGTCTTCAAGGGACCACGAGGTGCCAGTGTGGCAGCTGTGACAGCCGTATCCTCGTGCGCCTGCTTGGGCAATAGATCATTTTCTAGCCTCGTTGGCTGAAAAAGACACAGAACACGAAGAGAAAGTGGAGTCTTAGAAACTTTGAATCTCAGAAACTCCGGAGGAGCATGGTGACTAGCGATGGCGTCACTGATTCTAACTCTGGAACCTCACTATTGTCACGTTGCTGGAGTGTTACCTCATGGCCTGTTCTTAGGCATGTGGCTGTGTGGGGGAAAGAATTTGGGACTGGGAGGCCAGAGACTGGGGTTCTGTCCCCTCCCCACCTGGAAGTCTCTAAAGCCCTTGGGTCCCCTGGAGGAGGAAGGTTCTACATAGTTCTACCCAATGCGACTCCCCTCCCTATCTGGAGGGAGGGCCAGTCTCTGAGCAAAGCCACATGGGTATCAGTAGGGAGTGGGTCTTTCAGGGAGTCCAGAAACCTGCTGTAGGGTGCAGGCAGAGTGGAGGCAGACTTTGGGAGGCTCAGGCCAGCTGCAGCATTCGGGCTGAGCCCCAAATGCTGTGGCCCCGGAGGCCCTGGGAGGGGCACCGCTGCTTGGTGGCAGGCTCCTTCAGCGCTGAACTGGAAGTTCTCAGGGTATCTTTCTGGTCCAGCTGTGGGGATGTGGGCAATGTGTGTAAGGGCCCAGCGTGGTGGCTGCCCTGCCCTTAGCCCGACAAGTGTTTGCTGTGGCTGGTGGCAGTCTCTTCTTTCAGTCCCCAGTGCTTTTCTGGGCCTCCACCTTCCTAAGAGTGGGCTGACTCTACATTCCAGTTTACCCAGAAGAGTTGTTTCATTCTTGATAATCAACAGCATCCCTTTCGTTCTTTTTTTTTTTTTTTTTTTTTGAGGGCAGAGAGCAGAGATGGGGCCCTTTTTTGTTTGTTTGTTTGTTGTTTGTTTTGAGATAGAGTCTTGCTCTGTCTCTGTTTCCCAAGCTGGAGTGCAGTGACATGGTCTCTGCTCACTGCAACCTGCGCCTCCTGGGTATAAAGCGATTCTCCTGCCTCAGACTCCTGAGAAGCTGGAATTACAGGTGCATACCACCATGCCTGGCTAATTTTTTTTTTTTTTTTTGAGAGACAGAGTCTTGCTCTGTTGCCCAGGCTGGAGTGCAGTGGCACAATCTCGGCTCACTGTAACCTTTGCTTCCTGGGTTCAAGCGATTCTCCTGCCTTAGCTTCCCAAGTAGCTGGGACTACAGGCATGTGCCACCACGCCCAGCTAATTTTTGTATTTTTTTTTAGTAGAGATGGGGTTTCACTGTATGTTGGCCAGGCTGGTCTCGAACTCCTGACCTCAGATGATCCTTCCACCTTGGCCTCCCAAAGTGCTGGGATTACAGGCATGAGCCACTGCGCCTGGCCTAATTTTTGTATTTTTTTTTTTTAGTAGCAATGGGGTTTTGCCATGTTGCCCAGGCTGGTCTCAAACTCCTGACCTCCTATGATCTGCCCACCTCAGCCTCCCAGAGTGCCAGGATTACAGGCGTGAGTCACCGCACCTGGTCGAGATGGGGCTCTTTCTATGTTGCCCAGGCCAGTCTTGAACTCCTGACCTCCCAAAGTGCTAGGATTACCACCACATCTAGCCCCTTTCTTTTTTCTTTTTTTGAGATGAAGTCTCACTCTTGTCCCCCAAGCTGGAGTGCAATGGCGTGATCTTGGCTCACTGCAACCTCTGCCTCCCGGGTTCAAGCGATTCTCCTGCCGCAGCCTCCTGAGTAGCTGGGATTACAGGCGACTGCCACCACGCCTGGCTACTTTTTGTATTTTTAGTAGAGACGGGGTTTCACCATGCTGGCCAGGCTGGTCTCGAACTCCTGACCTTAGGTGATCTGCCCACCTCAGCCTCCCAACGTGCTGGGATTACAGGCGTGAGCCACCACGCCTGGCCCCAGCCCCTTTCATTCTTAACAGCATCCAGTTGAACCATACAGCACATGCTTGTCCTGTCCATCATCGTATTGGATAAGGAGCCA
This sequence comes from Homo sapiens, assembly GCF_000001405.40. Taxonomy (NCBI): domain Eukaryota; kingdom Metazoa; phylum Chordata; class Mammalia; order Primates; family Hominidae; genus Homo; species Homo sapiens. Next base: position 81,830,269 of record NC_000017.11, on the reverse strand, counting down.
CAGAGACCTCACTGAGCTGCTGGCTTTCCATGGCTGTGCTTCCGTCCCTATTGGAGCAGGCGAGCCTACCTGTGGGCTGCATCACTTTGAATGAGGATGCTGAGGCTCAGAGGAGCTTGCCCGGGGCCCCAGAGCAGGGGAATACCTGCAGCCCAGTAGGCCAGGCCCTGTAGGCTGGACGGCCACGGAAGCAGGCAGTCACGTCCTGCAGAATGCACAGACTTGCAGGTGGCCTGTGCTCTGTGTGGCTGGTGGCAGGTAGTCCTGTGGCAAAGGCTGTTGGGGCAGGAGTGGAGCAGCAGGTGACACCTGGTAAAACAAGTTGGGACTGGACAGTGGGCTTGATGGCAGCAGAGGGCCTGGGTGACACCCTAGTGCTAAGTGACTTGGGGATAGGGTTTCAGGAAGATCATGTAGACATCTGTGTCCACCTGTCCTGATGCTGGGTGTCTGGAACTGGAGGTTGTCCCAGCACTGGGTGGGGTGGGGTGGCGTGGGATGTGGAAGACTTTGAGGGGAAGGGGAGAAAACACCTAAAGACCATGTAGCCTGAGGGGCTCTGGAAGGGTGGTCCTGGGCCAGGAGAGTGTCATCGAGGGTCCTCCCATGTGAGACCCCAGCCATTGTGAGCTGCGCTATATTTTACAGTACATTGAGAAATAAAAACCACCATTGGTTAAATTCTGACGTGTTAGCAATTGTCAGGCGCAGCCCAGTTTCAAAGATGTTAAAATATGAAAACTATGAAAGAAAACTCTCAGAGGCAGTGGGGTGTGGTGTAGCGACTGAGGAGTACGGGGCCGTGGCCGGGACATCGGCATGCTCGGTCTTGATTCTGACAGAAAGAGGGAAGGAAAACGGGACCGAGGCATCGCCTGACCCTCCCTTACTGCTGTCACCCTGGTGGTGGCCCAGGTGGGATGAAGGCAGGGGGCCGGGCTGGATGGGGTCTCGAGACCTCTGAAGTGGGGCTGTCTCTCTGGGCTGAATGGAGCCCCTCCCTCCCACCCTTCACCTGTGGTCGGCCTCGGTCAGGCCGCCACTCCCCTTTACCTGGGCAGCTGAGGTGTCAGTCTCCTGCTGGCTCAGGGGCTGCCACCTCAGGTGGCCGTCTGCCGTGTGCTGGGTCTTTTCCGGCTGCCCCCGGCGCTTCTCTGGGCCTGTGCCATTGTCCCCTGCTCACTCTCACCCACTATGGTCCTGGGTCCCTCCACATCCACCACCTCAGGGACCCCATGCATGGATGTTGTGCCTCAGGGTTCCCTCTGCTTAGCCAGACACCAGCCTGCTGCCCACCAGGCCTGAGCTAGGGCTGAGCTGCCTGCCAGCCACACTTCCTGCCCTCCCCCCTCAGCTGTGTGCCTCACTATGCTAGGCCGCCCCGCTGAGGTTGTTGGAGGCCTTATTGTGGCTCCATGGTGACCTCTTGGTTCAGAGCTTGCTTGACCTCCAGCCCTCTCCGTGGATGGCTCCTTCCTGCCCTCACAGGCACCGTCCTGGCCCCGGCTCCAGTTATGTCCATGCCTCGGCCCTCTGCAGCTTCCTCCCATTCCATGTGTCCCAGGGCCTGTCTGTGGCCCCTCAGGTCCTGCTCTTGTGCTTGGTGTCCGTCTCTGCGTGGGGGCTGTGGTGCCCCCTCTGGCTGCTGATTCCCTTATGGGAATAGGCCAGGTGTGCATTGCTACCCTTCTGCGGTGGCTCTTCCCTTTGGGTAATTACGAGTGAAATTCTCCAGCTGTCCTTGTACGCATCTTGGGTGTGTGTACCTAGGAGCAGAATGGCTGGGTCATAGGTTGTGCACAGATACTTGATTTTTAATGGAAAATTCCTTCTGGGTCAGAATTGGGCACCCAGCTCCTTGGCAGGGCCCCAGGAGGCAGTGAGGCTGAATGAGCTGCAGAACCGTTTATTGTGCTTCCAGGGGGACAGCAGGCCCCTGGCCTCTTGGAACTGCTGGCACATCCAGGAAAGCCTGGGGCTATGTGTGCAGGGTCGGGGGGTGGGGGGGCAGTGTGAGGCCCTGGGGGTCCCTAAGCTGGAGGAAGAAGTAGGGAGAGGTGGGAAGGGCTCTTCGTGTCTGGGAAGACTTAGAGGACACAGCCTGTGGTATTGAGGGTGTGGGTACATTTCTTTTCCTAACAAGAGGAGGCAAACGAGACTCCTTGTTGACTTAAAAAACTGTATGGGTGCAGCTGGGTGTGGTAGCTCACACCTGTAATCTCAGCACTTTGGGAGGCCGAAGCAGATGGATCACGAGGTCAGGAGATCGAGACCATCCTGACTAACACAGTGAAACCCCATCTCCACTAAAAATAGAAAAAATTAGCTGGGCGTGGTGGCGGGCGCCTATAGTCCCAGCGACTCGAGAGGCTGAGGCAGGAGAATGGCGTCAACCCGGGAGGCGGAGCTTGCAGTGAGCCAAGATCGCGCCACTGCACTCCACCCTGGACGACAGAGCGAGACTCCATCTCAAAAAAAAAAAAAAAAAAAAAATGTATGGGTGCACAATAGGTGTATATATTTATGGGGTTTTAAATTTATTTACTTAGAGACAGAGTCTCCCTCTGTCACCCAGGCTGGAGTGCAGTGGTATGATCATGGCTCACCACAGCCTCCACCTCCCAAGCTCAAGCAATCCTACCACCTCAGCCATCACTCCTGCCAAAGTTTTTATATTTTTGTAGAAATGGGATTTTGCCGGCCGGGCGTGGTGGCTCACGACTGTAATCCCAGCACTTTGGGAGGCCCAGGTGGGTGGATCACAAGGTCAGGAGATCGAGACCATCCTGGCTAACAGGACGAAATCCCGTCTCTACTAATAATACAAAAAATTAGCTGGGCGTGGTGGCGGGCTTCTGTAGTCCCAGCCACTTGGGAGGCTGAGGCGGGAGAATGGCGTGAACCCGGGAGGCGGAGCTTGCAGTGAGCCAAGATGGCGCCACTGCACTCCAGCCTGGGCAGCAGAGCGAGACTCCATCTCAAATAAATAAATAAATAAATAAATAAAAGAAATGGGATTTTGCCATGTTGCCCAGGCTGGTTTTGAACTCTTGGGCTCAAGTGATCTGCCCTCTTTAGCCTCCCAAAGTGTTGGGATTACAGGCCTATTTTAATAGGCCAGCAACCGTACCTGGCTTTTTTTTTTTTTCTTTTAGACGGAGTCTTGCTCTGTCGCCCAAGCTGGAGTGCAGTGGCACGATCTCGGCTCACTGCAACCTCCGCCTCCCAGGTTCAAGCACTTCTCCTGCCTCAGCCTCCTGAGTAGCTGGGACCACAGGTGCCCACCACCACATCCAGCTAATTTTTGTATTTTTAGTAGAGACAGGGTTTCACCATATTGGCCAGGCTGGTCTTGAACTCCTGACCTTGTGATCCACCCGCCTCGGCCTCCCAAAGTGCTGGGATTACAGGCGTGAGCCACCACGCCTGGCCTTTTTTTTTTTTTTTTTTTTGAGATGGAGTCTTGCTCTGTCGCCCAGGCTGGAGTGCGTTGGCGCGATCTTGGCTCACTGCACCTCCACCTCCCGGGTTCAAGCGATTCTCCTGTTTCAGCCTCCCGAGTAGCTGGGATTACGGGTGCCTGCCACCACGCCCAACTAATTTTGTATTTTTAGTAGAGACAGGGTTTCACCATGTTCGCCAGGCTGCTCTCAAACTCCTGACCTCAGCTGATCCACCCGCCTCTGCCTCCCAAAGTGTTGGGATTACAAGCGTGAGCCACCGTGCCTGGGCTTTTTTTTTTTTTTTGACACAGGGTCTTGCTCTGTTGCCTGGGCTGGAGTGCAGTGCCACGATCTTGGCTCCCTGCAGCCTTGACCTCCTGGGCTCAAGCAGTCCTCCCACCCCAGCCTCTGAGTAGCTGGGACTACAAGTGCATGCTGCCACACCAGGTGTGTTCATATGGGTGTGTGCCGCATGTGTGTGGGCAGGTGTGTACAGACAGGTGTGTGCGGGCGGTTGTATGCATGTGTGTGGCAGATGTATTCAGCTAAGGTGTGTGCAGGTAGGTATGTGTGGGCAGGTGTGTGTGTGTGTGTGTGTGTGCACACAAGGCAAAGGGAGCCCCGGAAGGGTAGTTGCTTGGGAGGATGTGGGGCAATCAGTGGGATCTGGGGCAGGAGTGACAACCGAACCCAGCAGGGGGATCCCAGGCCAAAGGTGTGGCTGCATAAAGGCCAAGTGGCCACTGGAGGCAGAGGATGCATGGGGAGAAGAGCCACGGGAGAGGGCAGGCTGGGAGGCAGGTACCCCTAAAGCAGCAGTCGGTCAGTGGTGAGAGCCAGCAGGGGGCGAGGCAGGGGGCTGGCCAGTCTACCTGTTACCTGAGCTCTGCCTTTCTCTGTAACGGGAGCTTCCCAGCAGGCAGCATGTCCCTGTGGGACCCTCAACCCAAACAGGCCTTTCCCTCCGTGCTCTGGTGTTCGTGGGCTGGAGTCCCTGGCAGGAGGACTGGGCAGAGAGACCCCAGAGTCCAAGAAAGGAGAGGTGACTTTGTGAGCAAACTGGGTGCTGCCGTGGGTGGGGAGCCCCTGGCCCTTTTTGGACCTCACTCCTGGCCTGGGATGGGGCACAGAGTTCCAGGGCTGGGAGCTGGTTTTCTGCTCTTTGCTGGTTTTGCCCTTGAGCCGTGGGATTCTTATCACGTGGTGTTTGAGGGCTGGACCATTGACATGAGGCGGAATGAGCCAGAGAGGACTCGAAGCCTCAGTGCTCCTGGCCCTCTGTGAGGGCTGCAGCCGTGTGCCCTGGAGTATCTGCAGCCTTGGGCCTCTGGGTGGGCAGGGGAGTTGCTTGTGCTCAAAGCCCCCTCCTGGGAATCCTGGGACTCCCCTCCCCCAGAACCTGGAGTTGCCCCCTCTGGAGCAGGGCAGGCTGGAGACCAGCCCTGTCAGCTTCCCCACCTTGGGGTTGTGTGTCCTCAGCTGGAGTGGGGACACTGTCCAGCCTGCCAGTGTGAGCGTCTGAGCCTCAAAATAGACTCCATTTTTCCAGAGCCGTGGATTCCCCTGGGCTGGGAGGCCATAAACGGGCGGCAGCCCAGGGTCTTGGTCACCAGGTCAGGCCCAGCAGCTTCCTCCAGGGCCACCCCCTCTGCCCACCAGGGGAGCTGGAGTTTGGTTCCATCTCCAGGGTACTGATGTGGCTCATGCTCTAGGGAACCAGGAAGCTGGACCTGGGTAGGTGCCGGGGAGCTGGGATCACCTTTAGGAAGCTCATCCCCGTTTTACAGAAAGGAAATCAAGGCTCAGCAGAAGCCGTGTGCCCAGCCCTGCACCAGGGAGAGCAGGGTCAGTTAGCTGAGGGGCTGCAGGCCCTCTGCTGCAGTGAGAGGCAGCTGGACATCAGAGATGCTGACGGCCCCACCAGCCCACGTGGGGAGGGGCTCTGGCCACAGTGCTCCCGGTGCTGGGGCTGAGGCCTCCACGTCTGAGCCTGAGACGTGGAGGATCAAGGCCGCTGAGCGGGCTTGATCGCTTCAAGTTGTGTGTGTGTCTGGCTCGTCTGGCCAGCTCTCTGCTACCTCGTAGGGTTGCCTGGAGCCCACTGGCTGCCTGTGGCTGGACCCCAGCCTGTGGGGGACACCCTGGTAGGCAGAGGGACCATGCACTTTGTTCACATCTGAAGGGAGGAGGCAGGTGTGCCCTGCGCCTCCCCCTCCTTCTGTGCTGGAGAGGGTGGCCCTGCGTCCCATGCCTGCGCTGGCTTCTGTTTCAGAGGCTGAGGGGATCTGGCGGTGGAGCGCTAGGATCAGACGCCCCCGCGATGACCAGGTGGGTCTCAGGCAGGTGGGCTGGTCTCCACCGGGGCGGGTTGTGGGCTCCCACCCTGCTGTGTGCCCTGTCTCATGCGCCAGGCTCCCCCAGCTCCCCCGTCTCCAGAGTCGTGTACAACGGCAAGAGGACCAGCAGCCCCCGCTCCCCACCCAGCAGCAGCGAGATCTTCACCCCAGCCCACGAGGAGAACGTCCGCTTCATTTACGAAGGTGGGTGCGCCTGCCACACACAGCTCCTGCCCTGTCCTTGACGGAGTCAGCTCTGCCCCCAGCCCAGGACCCACGCTCCGAGGAACCTCCTGCGGCCCCTGCCCCTGCCCCTCCAGGGCACAGATAGCCCCATCACTGTGTCCACAGCCTTCAGGGCCCAGGCGGGTAGGGGTGGCCGAGGGGACCTTGTGTAGAGAGGAGACCTGGTTCTGATCATGGGGGGAGCCCGGGAGGAGGGGCTGGGGGTGGGCCATGCCACAGATAGAGGCCGCACTGGGAGCCAGTCATCCATGCTAGCAGCACTGGAGGAGTTTGCTGGGGAAAGGGAGGGGCCTTTGAAGACAGACAGGCACGCATCCAGCCATGAACGGGCGTGTTGCAGAAGTGGCCGGGAGGTGGTTGTCTGGGATTAGGGGAGTGTGCCGTGTGCTGGGGCCGGGGAGGTGCGTGGATGAGGTGGGAAAGATAGAGGCCTAGCTGAGGAGGATGCGCTGCCTCCGAGGCGCAGGGAAGCCTGGGGTAGGGTCATAGGGGTCCCTCTGACCACAGTCCTGGTCATCTTGCGGGGAAGGGACAGGCCTGCCAGAGGAGCGGGGACGGGGTCTGCAGGTGAGTGAGGCTGGGGTGGGCAGAGGGCTGTGGGGGAGCATGGAGGACACTTCTGAGGGAGAAGAGGATCTGGGAGGGCAGGAGCTGAGGGCAGGCACTCTCGTGACGTGGATGCCACCCCCTGGGGCAGGGGGCCCTGAGCACACCACTCTCTGCCTCTGCAGCCTGGCAGGGTGTGGAGCGAGACCTGCGAGGCCAGGTGCCGGGTGGCGAGCGGGGCCTGGTGGAGGAGTATGTGGAGAAGGTCCCTAACCCCAGCCTGAAGAGTGAGTGGGGGCTGACCTGGGGGCAGGGCTGGGCCGGCAGGCCGGGCCTCATGGGCAGGAGGGGCCTGTGCCCACCACCTACCGCGTTGTCCCCTGGCAGCCTTCAAGCCCATCGACCTGAGTGACCTGAAGCGCCGGAGCACGCAGGATGCCAAGAAGTCCTAGAGCGCCCGGTGCCCCTCCCCGGCCTCCGGAAGATCAGGGTGCGAGGTGTCGGTTCCCTCCTGTCCTGTGGTCCTGCCCCTGGGATGGGGGTGCCTTGCTCCAGCGGGCTGCAGATCCCAGCACTGGCGTGACTGACGGCTGAGGCCTGCCTCTCCTTCCCAAGCCCCCTTCCTTCATCCTTGGGGGTCTCAGGCTGCCCCCATCATGGGGGTCTGGGCCCTGCCCACCCTCCTGCCCTCCCCCAGCCACCTGGCTGCATTTTTGAAGCTGCCTGGCCCCCAGGGGCCCTGACCTGACCTCTCTCCTCTCCCCTCACCCTCCTGCCCCTGGCCACTGCAGGATCAGGAGGGGAGAAGAAGGAGCCTCTGCTGCCTCCCAGGCTGCTGGGACTGGGCTGGTTTTGTCCTTGAAGTGGTCAGGATACAGGACAAGGGCAGCCCCACCCCATCCAGCCTGGGCTCCCCGCAGACCCTTGCTGCTCCCGTGGCCTGGACACGCTGGGGAGCTTCTCACACCTACCCCTACCGTCCAGCCTGGCCTCTTCCCTGAATCAGCTTCAAGATGGCACCAGCTCTTTGGGCCTAGGATACTGCCGGGCCCCCCAAGGGGGTCCCCAGCAACCAGGCCTGGCCTCCTGGTGTCTGCGGTCACAGTGGCCCCTGGGCAGGGGCACCCAGGCTGACCCTGAGGTGCTGCTGCTGGGTCTGTCTTGGCTCTGGGGTGTGCTGGGAGGGTCACCAGGTCCCTTTTCCTTCCTGTGCCCTCTGAAAGCTAAGTGTCTGTGTGGCTGTGGAGCTCGAGGGTCTGTGAATAAAGGCGGCGGCACTGGGCGTGGCCTCTTGGTGGTCTGTCAGGCCTCTGCCCCTGCGGCACACATGCACAGCCAGCTCCCGGGCAGGGCTGGAAACCCCAGATCATGGCGAAGGCTTCTCAAGCCCAGAAATTCTCAGTCTAAGCCACTGGGCGTGCTCAGGTCTCCTAGGGCAGGTGGTGGCAGGGAGGGCATTCTGGAGGGAGAGGCTGGGCTGCCTGATATCACTACCCTTGTTCTGCCACAGGGGCTGCCCAGGGGGCCGCAGAGGTAGTAGGCACCACCCTGAACCCACCCTCTGGGGCACTGTGGCCCCTCTAGGAGCTGGCTCCTCCCCTGTCCAGAAGAAGGGGGTGCCGCTGGGCCCAGGAGAGAGCCACGTGCACTTGACCTTCAAACCTGCAAGCTGCCCTGGCAGGCCAGACAGGGAGCTCTATTCCTGTTCCTGTTGGAAGCGAAACCAGAATTTATTCCAGGAACACGCTTTCCCAGAAGAGTGGCCCCACAGGCGCCTCCTGGTGGGTGGGCTGGTGCAGGAGATGCTGGCGCAGGGCTGGCCTCCCCGGGGAGGAGGAGCAGGGGAGGGTGTTCCAGTAATAAACCAGCCCAGCTGCCGCCTGGCAGCCAGTGTGCACAGCAGTACCCAGCCCCGAGCCAACTCCCTGTAAACACACGGCCTTACCTGGCCCCCATGGGGCCTGTGAGTCCTTCGAGGAGCGTTTCGAGTGCCCACCAGGCTAGGGTGACCCAGGCTGCCTCCCCCTGTTGAGCCGATGCAGCCTGGGGAACACCACCACGGGGATGAGGGGCGGGCGGCTCACAGCGGTCCTCATGCCATGTGCCTTCCACTCACCGAGCCTCTTGGGGACAAGGCCCTGCCCTGTGCACCTTCTGTACAGTGGTAGCTGCAAGGGCCAGCAGAGGTCCTGCAGTGGGGGGCCCACTCAAACATGGGGTTCCCAGATTCCCAGGAGGAGGAGGGGTGGGCTTGAGCCCTGGCCAGGCCATTGCTACACCGTGGCTGTGAGCAGGTTGGAGTCAGCCTTGGTTTCTTCAGGTGGTGATGACTACATCATGGGTGGCGCAGTGCTTGGTGCTGCTACCCCCACGAGTCACCGTGTGGGTGCACTTGACAAGGTGCTGAGCCTCACACAGCAAGCGCGACCCTCAGCCTTCGGTGGGGAGTCTGGGCTCTGCAGTCTGGGGCCTGGCACACGGCCAGCCTGCCTCAATTTACCCCTCTGGGTTTTCTGGTTTTTGGTGTTTTTGTTTGTTTGTTTGTTTGTTTTTGAGACGGAGTCTTGCTCTGTCACCCAGGCTGGAGTGCAATGGTGTGAGCTTGGCTTACTGCAACCTCCACCTCCTGGGTTCAAGCGATTCTCCTGCCTCAACCTCCCGAGTAGCTGAGACTACAGGCGAGCGCCACCATGCCCGGCTGACTTTTTGTATTTTTAGTAGAGACAGGGTTTCACCGTGTTAGCCATTCTCCTGACCTTGTGATCCACCCTCCTCGGCCTCCCAAAGTGCTGGGATTACAGGCGTAAGCCACCGTGCCCAGCCTTTGGGTTCTTTTTTTTTTTTAAGCAAATTTATTAAAGAAAAGGGGCCAGGTGCGGTGGTTCACGCCTGTAATTCCAGCACTTTGGGAGGCTGAGGCGGGCGGATCACAAGGTCAGGAGTTTGAGACCAACCTGGCCAATATGGTGAAACCCCATTTCTACTAAAAATAGAAAAGTTAGAGCCGGGTGCGGTGGTTCACGCCTGTGATTCCATCGCTTTGGGAGGCTGAGGCGGGTGGATCACAAGGTCAGGAGATTGAGACTATCCTGGCTAACACGGTGAAACCCCGTCTCTACTAAAAACATAAAAATTAGCTGGGTGTGGTGGCAGGCACCTATAATCCCAGCTACTCGGGAAGCTGAGGCAGGAGAATCACTTGAACCCGGGAGGCGGAGGTTGCAGTGAGCTGAGATTGCGCCACTGCACTCCGTCCTGGGCAACAGAGCAAGACTCCGTCTCAAAAAAAAAAAAAAAAAAAAGAAAAAGAAAAAAATAAATAAAAGAATGGCTACTCTACAGGCAAAGCAGTAGTTTATCCCTCTGTACAGAGTGTGGGCTGTGGTGATCCAAAGGCCTCTCCCCTGCATGGGTGCTGGGACCCCTGTGTAGCACACAGGAGGTGCCGAGGGAGCTCCTTGTGTTAAGAGATGGACCTGATTTGGGCTCACCTGGGTCATCTTACACTGGGCCCTGGAATCCGGGCCTTGCCTACCTACAGCCGGGGGGTGGAGCTCCCCCAGGTATGGCCCCAGCACCTGGGCCTGCCACCAGAAACCTTCAATTTGGAGATCTTTCTGCCAAGAACCCTTCAGAGGAGGGGGCCGGCCTGGCCAGGCACATGCTGGGCAGGAGGGTAGGAGTCTGTGGGGAGCGCTGAGCCCACGGTGTTGCTGGAGGCCCCACCCCTTCACCCGATGCACCGCGTGGGGGATGGGGATTGGGGTGAGGAGGGGGAGGGGATTGGGGTGAGGAGGGGGAGGGGACGCGGGAGAGGGGGCCTAACCTACCTGAGGGCTGGGGAGGTGCACCCACCGGGACCGGACCTCTGACCCTGAAGCAAACTTGCCCTCCCATCCCCTCTTCGGTGGACCACCCAGTGAGGTCAGCTCTGCAGGGGCCACAGGGTGGTCTTACCCCAGCCGTTCGCCTAATGGTGTGAGAACTCACTGTAGTCACAAAGCGGGGTCTCTACTTTCAGCTTGAGGAGCACATAAAGGGCTGCTAGAGTGGGCACCTCTCCCCTGGGCTGCGGGAGCTGACCGTGGGGCCCGATCCCAGAGGGTTGCGGTCCTCCCACCCCAGCCTGTCCTTCAGCCCTGCTGCCACTGCCTTGTCCATGCAGGGCACCAGGGCCCTCCGACCCTCACCCAATCCTGGAGGCTGCTGGACTAAGCAGCTGGAGACACTCCCCTTTCTGCAGTGAGGGCGACTTGGGGAAATGAGGCAACTGCAACTGTTGCGTGTTGTACCGTTGGTGTGCATACACACATCACAATCTGCTGTGTACTGTTGGTGTGCACACACATCACTATCTGCTGTGTAGTGTTGGTGTGCACGCGCATGTCACTATCTGCTGTGTACTGTTGGTGTGCACACACATGTCACTACCTGCTGTGTAGTGTTGGCGTGCACGCGCATGTCACTATCTGCTGTGTAGTGTTGGTGTGCACACACATCACTATCTGCTGTGTAGTGTTGGCGTGCACACATATGTCACTATCTGCTGTGTACTGTTGGCGTGCACACACAAGTCACTATCTGCCGTGTAGTGTTGGCGTGCACACACAAGTCACTATCTGCCGTGTAGTGTTGGCGTGCACACACAAGTCACTATCTGCCGTGTAGTGTTGGCGTGCACACACAAGTCACTATCTGCCGTGTAGTGTTGGCGTGCACACACAAGTCACTATCTGCCGTGTAGTGTTGGCGTGCACACACAAGTCACTATCTGCCGTGTAGTGTTGGCGTGCACACACAAGTCACTATCTGCCGTGTAGTGTTGGCGTGCACACACAAGTCACTATCTGCCGTGTAGTGTTGGCGTGCACACACAAGTCACTATCTGCCGTGTAGTGTTGGCGTGCACACACAAGTCACTATCTGCCGTGTAGTGTTGGCGTGCACACACAAGTCACTATGCTGTGTAGTGGCGTGCACACACAAGTCACTATCTGCTGTGTAGTGTTGGCGTGCACGCACATGTCACTATCTGCTGTGTAGTGTTGGCGTGCACGCACAAGTCACTATCTGCTGTGTAGTGTTGGCGTGCACGCATATGTCACTATCTGCTGGGTACTGTTGGTGTGCACGCACGTGTCACTATCTGCTGTGTAGTGTTGGCGCGCACGCACAAGTCACTATCTGCTGTGTAGTGTTGGCGTGCACACATATGTCACTATCTGCTGTGTACTGTTGGTGTGCACGCACACATGTCACTCTGGCAACTCCATGGGGCAGGTTTTAGTATCCCAATTTACAAGTGAGGAAACAGTGACCTCTTTCAGGGGGGTTAAGCTCTTATGAAAATTGTAATTAATACTTATTGAGCATGAACAATTTCCTAATAGCCGATATACCCAGCTCCCATTTCCCAAATGACTAAATTAATAGGTTCCTGGTGGGTTGCTGGCAGCATGGGAAGGCGGCGCCCATGTGTCCCGAGCCTCCATCCGTAACATGCCCCTCTTTTTCCACCATTCGTGTAAGGACCCCTGGCGTTTGACAGTCGTGTACCCCACATTCTGCCTTTGGCCAGCTGCATCTCTGTGGTGTCAACAGACCCCTGTTTCCCCTGTACTTCTGTAAAATGAGGTGTGGTGCAGAGGCCTCATCGGATTCATAGGAGACTTCGGGTGTCAAAGCATCTGGCTGCTGTGTGGGAATGGGTTGCAGGGTCCGGGGTAGCAGCAGGGGTCCTGTTAGGAGGCTTCTGCAGTGGACAGTGGGAGGAAGAAGCTGGGGACAGGGTGAGCAGCTCGGTGTGGACATCCAGCTGTACATGCCGAGCTGATAGCTGGGTCTAAAGCGTGGATTCAGCAGAGCCCCAGGTCGGGGGAGATAGATGAAGAGTTAGCTGAGCACTGCTGGTTTTTAAAGATTGATCAAGAAGAAATGAGGGTGGTGCCTGGTTCCTGGACACAACAGGGAGAGAAAGAAGAAAAAGGAACAGTGGAGGGCAGGGTCAGAGAAAGAGCAGGCAGGGGAGGACCCGGGGCTGAGTGAGTGCAGGGGGAGGACCCGGGGCTGAGTGAGTGCAGGGGAGGACCCGGGGCTGAGTGAGTGCAGGGGGAGGACCCCGGGCTGAGTGAGTGCAGGGTGTCTGGGGATAGGCTGAGCCAGCTCACGTAGTGGACCTGCAGCCCTAGCCATCTCCCACCCACCTTGCCTAGAGATGACCACTTTGTTTTTTTGTTTTGTTTTGTTTTGTTTGAGGCGGAGTCTCACTCTGTTGCCCAAGCTGGAGTGCAGTGGCGCGATCTCGGCTCACTGCAAGCTGCGCCTCCTGGGTTCACGCCATTCTCCTGCCTCAGCCTCCCGAGTAGCTGGGACTACAGGCGCCCACCACCACGCCTGGCTAATTTTTAGTAGAGATGGGGTTTCTCCTTGTTAGCCAGGATGGTCTCAAACTCCTGGCCTTGTGATCCGCCCGCCTCAGCCTCCCAAAGTGCTGGGATCACAGGCGTGAGCCACCGCGCCCGGCCCCGAGGTGACCACTTTGAACTCTTCACCTCATTCTTTGCATTTTTAAATTTTGCTCTGTATTTTTATTTCTAACGTGAATTATTCTTGATTTTTCCCATTTTGTTCTCTCCCCTACCCCCAGTACATACGTGATATTCCCGTCCACCACCCTCCCTAGATCTTTTTTCTCCCATGATTCTGGTTGCATCAGTGTTGGTGTTTACATTATGATGTCTGTGTTTGTATTCAGAACTGAGTCATGGTAAATTCTGCTTGTTTTGTTCTTTTCTGCCCAAATTTTTCTTTTCTTTGGAATTATTAATTGCCTTCTTTTTTCATTTGCTTGGTTTTTTCTTTCTTTTTTTTTTTTTTTGAGACGGAGTCTTGCTCTGTCACCCAGGGTGGAGTGCAATGGCACCATCTTGGCTCACAGCAGCCTCCGCCTCCCAGGTTCAAGCGATTCTCCTGCCTCAGGCTCCCAAGTAGCTGGGACTACAGGCGCCCGCCACCACGCCCGGCTAATTTTTGTATTTTTAGTAGAGACGAGGTTTCACCATGTTGGCCAGGCTGGTCTCGAACTCCTGACCTCAGGTGATTCGCCCGCCTTGGCCCCCCAAAGTGCTGGGATTACAGGCATGAGCCACTGCACCCAGCCTCATTTGTTTAGTTTTCTATGTACTAGTCACTAATCAAGTCCTGAACTCTCTCCTCTAAATATTAGTGCACTCAATCCCTTTCATCCCCTTGAGGGTGTCTCTGCTGAGCCTTCTGTCTGGCTCAAGGTCCCCTATTCCTGTGACGCACTTCTGACTCTCCTAGATTTGGTCCTTCATGTAGTTCATGTCTTCCTTTTTCCTGGTCTCCACTCTCATTTTAGTAGTATTTTTGTGTCCACAGACACCAGATTCCAGGGTATCAAAGTCATCTTCCTCCCAGCCATGCACACACAGCACCCAACTCTTGCAGATACCCCTTTGGGATGCCGGGCATCACATACCTGCCTGTAATCCCAGCTACTAGGGAGGCTAAGGCAGGAGAATCGCTTGAACCTGGGAGGCGGAGGTTGCGGTGAGCTGAGATCGCGCCATTGAGCTCCAGCCTGGGCAACGAGAGTGAAACTCCGTCTCAAAAAAAAAAAAAAAAAAATTAGCCAGGTGTCGTGGCACACGCCTATAATCCCAGCTACTCAGGAGGCTGAGGCAGAGAATCACATGAACCTGGGAGGTGGAGTTTGCAGTGAGCCAAGATCATGCCACTGCACTCCAACTTGGGCAACAGAGTGAGACTCTATCTCCAAAAAAGAAAAAAAACAGTCCCTCCACCTACCTGCCTGCAGGACTGCCTGGTTAGGGCCAGTGTTTATTGCCTGGGTGAGTCCACCCCCTGCCAGTCCCCAACTCCACCCAACTCCACCAGCCTGCTCCAGTTCCCTTAGGGATGAGGGCGGGACAGAGGTGAAAGAGGACAAGGGCAGAGGGACTCGGGAATGGGGAGGGCTGTCAGGAGGTCCCAGGTGAGGGGCAGTTTCCCCAGGGCAGTCACCAGCCCTGAGCTCAGCTGGCATGAAGGAGAATGTCCACCTCCGTGTGCTGACTCGGAGCAGCCTCGTGCCCACACAGGCACCCGGGCATCCAGGGCTCAGAGGAGAGCCAGGACCTGAGGCCGGAGGGGCGTAGAGCTGGCCTGAAGCCTTAAGGTCTGAGATCACAGGCCTCCAGCAGGTGCAGCTCAGGGGACCGTCTCCTGGCCTTGCCGTCCCAATCACAGCAACCCCAGGGCCCCAGAAGGGTCCAGCCTTGCCTAATCAGCTCACTTCCCTCCCTGCTGCATGCAGGCCCTGTGGTGGGTGGCAGGGTGAGGGCCCCCCCAGGAGGGCCCCAGTGCCTGGCGGGTGAGTAATTCTATTTACCTTTCCTCAGAGGCCTCCTGTCCCCTCATTTGCCCCAATTAGTCCGGCTCTGCCTGAGCGGCTCCAGCCCACGTGGCCCAGGCAGGGGCTGTGAGCACCCCTTCCCCCAGGGCCCAGCAGCACTTCCCAGCAGCTCCTCAGAGCAGGGGCACCTGACTGGCTCCTTCCCCAGCCCATGCACACACCTCAGTAGGTCTCACAGTGCCTGCTGCAGGGACCCCCCGGGGGGCTGACCACAGGCCCCTCACAGCTTCTACCCTGAATTTGTCTCCACCCCCGCTGTGTGGTCCCTGGGCCCTTAGACTCAGGTTGGGCCCCACACAATGGGAGACCCCACCCTGAAGCACCTCCTGTGTCCAGCACGCAGGAGGCAGCTCTTTCCTGGTGCTCCCTGGCTGGCAAGCAGGGCGCCCACCCACCACGAGGTGGCAAGAGGACTGGCGTAGGCTGGACCTCTCTGTGTGGCACGAGGACTGGCGTAGGCCGGACCTCTCTGTGTGGCACGAGGACTGGCGTAGGCCGGACCTCTCTGTGTGGCACGAGGACTGGCGTAGGCCGGACCTCTCTGTGTGGCACGAGGACTGGCGTAGGCCGGACCTCTCTGTGTGGCACGAGGACTGGCGTAGGCCGGACCTCTCTGTGTGGCACGAGGACTGGCGTAGGCCGGACCTCTCTGTGTGGCACGAGGACTGGCGTGTGTGTGGCGCACCCCGGGTCCTGTGCAGAAGTTGGGCAACCTGCCCTCCTCCGTCGCCTGGACCCGCGGCAATGTTCAGGCCCATTTCTTCCCGCTTCAATCTGCTACGTGGCCTGTAAATTGCCCGAGGGGGCTGGAGCTGAGATGAAACGGAGGCCAGGAGGCTCAGAGGAAGGGCGGGCCGATGAGCCAGGTGCCAGTGTCCTCACGGCCTCCAGGGAGAAGACGCCCTCGGGTGAATCCAGTGCTGATGGGGTCGGTCAGGGGACTGTGATGCCTCATGCCGCCTTAGCCACTGTGCCCCTCACGTCTCTGCTGGTGAATGGTGACCCTCTGGTGGCCAAAGCGTCCAGGGGGACTGCCCGCCAGAACCAGGATGGGAAGGTGGCCAGGACCTGCTCAGATGGGCACAGGCTGGCTGCCTTCGGGATCCTCCGGGGTTCCAGTGCCAACTCTGAGTGAACTGGGACAGCAGGGGGACCCTTCAACAGCCCGCACTGGCGCTGACCACCCACCGCTGTTCCATCCCCCACTGCTTCGGCCCCAGCATTTCCAGCCCTGCTTTCCAGGACATGCACGGTGACCACTTGAGCTCTTTATTGTTGGAGGACATTTCCATGCACATGGGACGTGCCGACATACGTGGGGACACTGGCACGCAGTTCACGGCACAGCCCCCACTCCCGCCCTGGACTCCTCTGCTCACCTCTGCACCAGGGACAAGGCAGGTGCAGGGAGAGGAGGCCCAATCTCGCAGACAGCCACACTGGGGGTGGGGGGTAGGTGGGGGCTGCTGTTGGCTCCCCCGCCCCCAGCCTCAGCTGGGCGTCCAGTTCTGGGTTGTCCAGCGACGCCCTCTGGGTGCCAGAGTCCAGCCCTAGCTGGGGTCCCAGCAGGGTTCAGAAGGGGCTCTCAGCCAATCTAGGGAGGCCACCAGCCAAGGGGGTCTCCGCAGATGAATCCTGGCTGCCACCACCCCTCCCAAACTGCAGCTCCTTGCTGGGAGGGCCGTGGCCGGGCGAAGATGAGGCCCTGTGGTTGCTGGTGTTCCGCTCCTCCCATAGCACTTTGCCCAGGCGCCAGCGGTGCCAACGCCGCCGCAGCTCCGACTGCACCTGGGGAGGGGGACGGGGCAGGCCAGTCCTAGGGCCTGCCTGTCCTCTCCACCCCACCGGGACCTGCTGTGGGCCTCATCGGAGATGCCCAGTCTCCGCTCTGAGGGGTGCAGAGCGACACAAGCTCCCTGCTGGGCACAGCTATGCCACCCAGCATCGCCACGGAAAGCAGTCTGCAGACACCTGGGGACCCCCACGGTGGACACCGTAGCGATGGGGCTGAGGCCAACCTGTCCTGGGGGCCTGACACCCAGCGCCATGGCAACTGCACCCAATAAGAGCAGGGGGAGGGAAAGGCTTGGGCCCCACGTGTTCCAACCCCCGGGCAGGGGTGGGGCTGGCATCCCTGTGCCTCTCTCTGCCCCTGACCCCGACGGCCAGTGCTGATGGTCTCAGATGCCCCCACTCCCACCTACCTCCTTGTTGAGGAAGCAGTAGAGGACAGCCACCAGCAGGCCCTGGAGAGACAGGGTGGTCAGGGGTGGCACACTGCGCCCCGGGCGGGGGAGCCGGCGGGCGGGCGGGCACCTGGAAGGAGCTGAGGAAGAGGTCGAAGAAGAGCTTGGCGGAGCGCAGGGTGCCCTGGGCGTGCTCGTCCGTCACGAAGGCGAAGACCACTTCGTGGACGCCCAGCAGAGGGATGAGGGTCAGCGTGGACTTGGCCAGCCTGCAGAGGCAGCGCCTGAGTCACCCACCGCCCCCACCCTCGGCCCGCACCATCCACGTGGAGCTTGGAGTCCCCACCCCCAGCTGCCCTCTGGCCCTGAGGGTCTCCAGGTCTCGAGACGCCAGCTGCCGCGGCACCCACCGGAACTTGTAGTCTGTGTGGTGCATCTGCCGTGCCCGCAGCTTGGCCACGAGCAGCTGAACGATGCGGACGAAGATGAAGAAGTTGATCTGTGTGAGAAGGGTGCGAGTCAGGGGCATCCCGAGCCCCAGGGAACAGCTCTGTGCCCTTGGAAGGCCCCACCTGACCCTCCTGCAGGTGGGCCTGGCAGCAAGATAGGCCCTGGGCCACATAGCCCTGGGGCTGGTGGGCACACAGCCAGGGAGGAACAGCCTGGCTCAGTGTCCAGGGTGCTGGCCAGTGTCCTGGTGTCCTGTCTGGGTGCCGGCTCCCTCCCAGCGCTCTCAGACAGGATGCTGCTGTCTCCTGGGGCAGCCTCAGGACGCCAAGGGAGGAGGGGCCTGGGGTGCGCTCCTGGCTCTTCATTTCCTCACCAGGATGGCCAGGAAGACGGGGAACCGCAGGATCCACCAGAAGCCCATGTTGTCATTGCTGGTCCAGCACCTGCGAGGCCAGGCCACTCACATACTGGGGCACAGCCCCCAGCCCCTCCGCCCCTCAGCACCCCCGTCCCGATTTTGCCAGGATCTAATTCGGGTCTCAGAAAAGGAAGGGAGAAGGTCACAAATGACCCCCTCCCCAGGCACCAGGCTCATCCCCGGCCCCTCCCTGCCTCAGGCCAGAGCGCCGCACCCCAGCCCCCCGGTCCCTCCCCAGGCTGTCCAGCCGCTCATACTCACTGGACGTTCTCGAACAGACACTTGACCACTGCCCAGGGGACGACGAACAGCATGGGGGCACCTGTGGGGGGCAGCAGCTGTGGTCCCAAAGGCTTGGTCAGCCTGCCTTAACCCCCTCTCATGCCAGCCCACTCACCCCAGCCGATGCCCAGGTAGAGGCTGAAGAAGCTCCTCTCGGGGAGGGTGGCCAGGCCCAGCAGGTTGTGCAGGTACAGGCCCTCCACCAGCAGCCAGCAGTAGTTGGCCACGATGCCATATTGCATGAACACCGCGGCCACACGGCAGCCAGCCACCGCCTGGTACAGGTGCAGTGTGAGCGCGGCTACGTGGCCACCTGCCTGGCTGCCCACCCACCCACCTGCCTGGGGCCGCCGAGGGGGGCTCACTCCATCACTGAGCCAGGTGCTGACACTGAGGTCGTCGCCAATTTTCTGGCTGTAGCGGGTCCTGAGCAGCCCATCAATGACCAGCACGGAGCTGGCTTTCAGCACGAAGGACGCAAACAGATTCGCGTGGATGGCATTGCGGGTGCAGTGCAGCTTGCTGTGGGCACAGCCAGTCAGCGCCCGTCCTCCTCCCTGTCCTCTGCGGCCGCCCCGGGCGCTGGCGGAATCCTACCTGAGGCCCCCCAGGATGGCCAAGGCGAGGAGCAGGGCCCCCAGGGACAGGCTGTAGCCCACTGTGTACATCACCTGGAAGCTGCTGTACATCTTGGCCACCTCCTTCTGCGAGTTACAGTGGCCTGTGAGGGCCAGGCAGGGGCCCCCATGCCCGTTCCCATCCAGCCCCACCGCGCCTGCCTGCCGCCCACTGACCTGGACCTCAATCTCCTCGCCATCCATCTGGCACTGGGAGGCATCACGCCAAGGCTGCCCCCGGGGTCCACGCACCCACTGACCGTCGGGCCCGCATCTCTTGAACACGAAGCGGTGTTGCACTGGGGGTGTGGGGGGAGGCTGGGGTCAGCCCCACCCTGGGCCCGCCCCCCCCACAGTTCCTCCCCTCTATGGGTACCTTTGTGGTGCCAAGGCAGGTACCAGGGGCAGGAGATGTTGGCCGTGGTATTGGCGGGGGTGTCCGGCCAGCAGGAATACTTGTCGAAGGTTCTGTTGCACACCAGCTCTGCAGGGTAGGGTAGGGCAGGGCAGAGCAGGGCAGGGCAGGGTGGGAGAAGGGGCTCCCTCAGCAGGCCTCTCTCCTCTCTCTGGAAGCCTGAGCTCGGCCGTCACCTCGCCCAGGACATGGCCTGGGCTGCTCCCTCCCCCACTTGACCTCCACCTCCCCCATCTGACCTCCACCTTCCTCACCTGACCATCCACCTCCCCTGGACCAGCCTCCGCTAGCACGCCCAGCCCAGCCCTGAATTGCAGCTCTGCAGGACACCTTCCCTTGGAGACCCCCCATCTCAAATGTGCCCCAAACCCACACTGGGGTCCCCCATTCTCCGTGACCTTCTCTCAGCACCTCCCTCTCTGGGGGCTGAACCCCAATGCCATTTTCATCCTTCCCAGGTGCATCGCCAAACCTGTGGCTGCCACATCTGCTCCCTCTGCCCAATGGAGGCTGCCACACCTGCCCCCCTCTGCCCAGTGGTGGCTGCCTCCCTCATCCGAACCCAGGCACTGCCTCCCGGGTGAGTCCTCCAGCCCTATCCTCTCCCTGCACCCCAAGTGTCCAGGCCATGATATACACTCTCCACCCGAGCCCTCCCAGGCCCCTGGGTCCCAGCTTCCACGCCCTGGCACTGTCTGCCCACTGAAAACTCCACGGGGCTGTAGGTGGTATTACCCATCTGGGCCTGGGGGCAGCAGCAGCAGCCGGTTCTGGGGCAATGCCACCGTTCTGTTATTTCCTGGCTCTGCGGCCTGAGGCAAGTCCCCAGCTCTGTGGCTCAGTTACCTCGTTACCTCACCTGCCCACGGTGGTGGGGGCCTGAGGAATGACAGGGCCCCTTGGCGGGGTCCTCAAAGGCTGCATAAGCACCCAGGAACCTTCCCATGAAGAGAACTCAGGAAGTGCTGAGGCCAGGCACAGGCTGAAAGGCTCTGGGTGGGGGGCTCACCCGTGGGAGGGGGCAGCA
Organism: Homo sapiens; assembly: GCF_000001405.40. Taxonomy (NCBI): domain Eukaryota; kingdom Metazoa; phylum Chordata; class Mammalia; order Primates; family Hominidae; genus Homo; species Homo sapiens. Next base: position 81,809,866 of record NC_000017.11, on the reverse strand, counting down.
GGCTCAGGTTGTGGTGACACTGGTCACCGTAGAGCTTCCACTTCTCAAACAGGAAGTCCATCACCTGAGCGGAGGGGACCTGTGGCTGGGGGACACATGCACAAGCAACCAGACAGACAGACAGACAGGCAGGCAGACAGACAGGCAGACAGACAGGCAGACAGGCAGGCAGGTAGATGGATAGGCAGATGGACAGACAGGCAGACAGACAGGCAGACAGGCAGACAGACAGGCAGGCAGACGGACAGACAGATAGGCAGGCAGATGGATAGGCAGATGGACAGACGGACAGACAGGCAGACGGACAGGCAGACAGACAGGCAGACGGGCAGACAGGCAGACAGGCAGGCAGACAGGCAGGCAGACGGACAGGCAGACGGACAGGCAGGCAGACAGGCAGGCAGACAGACAGGCAGGCAGGCAGACGGACAGGCAGACGGACAGGCAGGCAGACGGACAGGCAGACAGGCAGACGGACAGACAGGCAGCAGACAGACAGGCAGGCAGGCAGGCCGACAGACAGGCAGGCAGATGGATAGGCAGATGGACAGATGGACAGGCAGACAGACAGGCAGACGGACAGGCAGACAGGCAGGCAGATGGATAGGCAGATGGACAGATGGACAGACAGACGGACAGGCAGACAGACAGGCAGATGGGCAGGCAGACGGGCAGACAGACAGACAGGCAGGCAGACAGGCAGGCAGGCAGGCAGGCAGACAGAGAGCCATCAGTGTGCAGTCCTCACAGGAGGGCCCCTGGGTGCTGAGGGTGCTGTGAGTCCTCACCTGGCAGGCCAGCAGCAGCAGCAACAGCAGCAGGGGTCGCTGTGGCTGGCAGGGGGGCATGCCTCTGGGCAGCTAGCTGCCTCCCACATCTGGCAGGGGCTGCACAGCTGGGGCAATGCAGTCCTGGTGGGTGTGTACGCTCCTCCGAGGGCAGCTGAGTGGCAGAGCAGCAGAGCCTGGGGCGTCCTGGCCAGTGGGGTGTCCTCCCCTGAAGCTGCCCCTCTGAGCCTCAGGGTCCTAGGGATAAAGAGGGAGCTGGGGGCCGGGCGCGGCGGCTCACGCCTGTAATCCCAGAACTTTGGGAGGCCGAGGGGGGTGGATCACGAGGTCTGGAGATCGAGACCATCCTGGCTAACACAGTGAAACCCCGTCTCTACTAAAAATACAAAAAATTAGCCAGGCGTGGTGGCGGGCGTCTGTAGTCCCAGCTACTCGGGAGCTTGAGGCAGGAGAATGGCGTGAACCCGGGAGGCAGAGCTTGCAGTGAGCGGAGATCAAGCCATTGCAGTCCAGCCTGGGTGACAGAGCGAGACTCCGTCTCAAAAAAAAAAAAAAAAAAAAAGAGGGCGATAGGAGGGAGGAGACCCCAGGAGGAGTCACTCTTGCCACCCAGGGCTGGCTGGCTGGCAGCTCTGAGGGTCGCAGAGCCCCTCGTCTCATTGCTGGTGGCAGCCACCTTCCTGCAGGTTGACCCAATGCTCTTGGGTGGGGGACCAGCCTCCCCAGATGGTGACCTCCTCCCTCAGTTGACAGCCCCCGGCTGCTTCCTCACCATCCTCCTCACCTATTCTTAGCCCCTGGGAAAGCTGGCTTGCCAGGCTGACCTGAGCCAATGTGCCAAGCGTGAGGGTGGCGGTGCCTGGACCTTCCATCACTTGGCCCCAGTGCCACAGCGAGCAAAGTGGCTGGGCTGGCTTGCAGCTGTGCCAGGCCAAGTGTGTGGGGCCCACACTCAGGGGTCTGTGTCACATGTGTGCCCCCTGCCCAGCACCGGGGTGCCTAGGTGCCTCGTGGGTGCCGTGCAAGGCTCGGTTGGGCTTCCTGGATCCCATGGGACGCCACAGGCTGGCTGCACAGTCCTTTGAGGTTAGCACTGCGGGCGTCGACTTGGAGGAGGAGCTGGCCTAGGGTGGGGGCACAGGGTGGGGAGGACATCCCCCGTGGTGCCTGCCAGGGCTGTGGGAGTCACAGCCCCTGGTCCCCATGCCACAGCCAGCATCTGAGCTGGGAGTTCGGGGTGGCAACAGCTACACAAATCGGCCTTTCGTTGCTACAGAGCCCAGTTTCTGCACCAACTGAATTCTGTGGGAGAAGCAGGGAGGGTCTTCCTGTGGGTCCACGTGCATGTGCGGGGTCCCGCGAGTGGCTGGCTATGAGCCCCCGGGCTGTTACGGGCTCTTCTTTGGGGCACCCTCAAATGGAATAAGAGGTGTGGATGGATGGCTGGGCAGATGGAGGGCCAGCCAGCTGGAAGGCAGTGCCAGGGGGAAGCCGGGGAGAGGGGCAAGGAGATGGGCGAAGGCTGCAGCTGGAGCAGAGGGTTTCCGGGCAGGCCTGGACTGCTGGCTGCCACGGGACAGCCTGGATTTTAGCCTCCTCCAGGTAGCGGCTGGGTGAGCCCGCGTGGGGCCAGCTCCACCCAGGGCTGCCCCGCTAACGGGGCCTGAGATGCCCCAAGCAGTGTGACAGCTGAATGACAGGGACAGGCACCTGCGTCACAGACTGCTAAAGAGCTCCCAACCGCAGCCCTTGGACCCTGGGCTCATGTAGGGGCCGATGGGAGGCAGGACCCGTGTGTCGCTGATCCCCAGTTCCTGAGCCAGGTGAGCAGCCATGCAGGCTTGGTGCTGGGGCGAAGGACCCACAGAGTAGGGGCCTCTCCCTGGCGGAGACAGCGGCAGGCGGGTGGGGGAGGAGGGGCAGTTTTGGCGTCCCCAGCTCTGGGGTCACGCAAGGGGCCTTATCTTCCCTGATCCTGATCAAACAGCCCCATCTACTGCCACTGTCCTGGGCGGCTCCGGCCACTGAGCCGGGCTGGGTGAGGAGCAGCAGGAGCCGCCTCTCCCCACTGTGTGCACCCCCAACCCAGAGGGGCCCTGGACGAGGGGCACTGCTAGGTGGGCAGGCTCAGGGGTGCAGGGGAGACCTGGGGCTCTGGGCAGGGGACGGGGAGAGGGACAAGGGGCAGCTGGAGCAGGGTGGATGGTGGAGATGCAGGCGGGGGACAAGGAGGAAGGACACTGGCCAATGAGCTGTTCCCTGCCTGGGCGCCTCGAAGTGGGGGTGGGGGGGGACGCGTGCTCACCCTGGGGGGAGGACCACCCAGCCAGGAGCTCCCTGGGCAAAATGACAGCCCCTTAGAGCCCAGCGTGGCCAAGCCTGGCTCTGCCCCAACTCTGCCAGAGAAACAGGAGCCATTCGATGCCTGTCATGTTGACTCTAGAGCCACTGGGAGCACCCCCCAAGCCAGTGCCTCCACACATGAGGTCCTCGCGTGCCAGGGCCCCACCTTCCAGCCGGGCAGCCAGTCTGGAGACCCCAGCGAGCCGAGGGAGGGGTTGGCTGCCCAGTCCCCCAGGCCTTTCTTTGAAACAGTCAGGACCCAGGAGTGGGGCTCTGTGTCCCCTCAGCCTCAACAGAAGGTTGGGAAGGTGGGGCTGGGGATCCTGGAGGATTCCCCCGACAGCTCAGCATCCACAGGCCACAGGTGGGCTCCCCATAGGGCACCCCTAGTCCCGGATCCCTAGGGGTCAGGGCCTCTGAATACAAGAGGTGAGGTGGGAGGCAATTCTCCACTGGGTCTCTGATAGTGAGGCAGGAGGTGCAGAAGTGTGAGCGTCCTCCGTTCCCTGCGGGTGGTGGGTCCCATATGGGTAGGGAGACTCCAGCTCCTCACCCCAACAGGGGTGGGTGGAGCCGGGGGGGGACCAATTTCCAGCTGAGCACCCATGAGAGAGCCTGGCCTGGAGAGCAGGGCTGAGGCTGCTGTGGTCCTGGGACGGGGACGACGATTTAACTTCCCAAGTGGGGACCCTGCCCCATCACTGAAGGTGACACCAGCCTGAAGGGAAGAAGGGAGGCTCCTCTGTTGATCTCACCCAGCCCTCTCCCCCGAGAGGAGACACTGACACCCCCGGGCCCCGGTCAGCCCAGGATCAATGTTTGTTGACTGAAGGAGTGGACAGAAACTCCCAGCTGTGGAGCTGCCACTCGGGGCTCCCCGGGGCCACAGTGCTCCGTATTACCCTTCCGGCGACACAGCTGGTAGGTGGGACGACCCACCAGGGACCCCACCCTCCACCTTCACAGTCCAGGTGACCAAGCTCCTTCTCAGGCCTTGGAGTCAGCTGAGAATTAGGGGAGGGGTTCCCAAGGTGCCCAATAGGGGGGGTTCCCGAGGTGCCCAATGTGGGGGTTCCCGAGGTGCCCAATAGGGGGGTTCCCGAGGTGCCCAATGGGAGGGTTCCCGAGGTGCCCAATGCGGGGGTTCCCGAGGTGCCCAATGTGGGGGGTTCCCGAGGTGCCCAATGGGAGGGTTCCCGAGGTGCCCAATGTGGGGGGTTCCCGAGGTGCCCAATGGGGGGGCTCCCGAGGTGCCCTGCCCGCCTTCTCTAGACCCCCACCGCATGCCACCCCCTTCCTCCCTCCCACAGCTGCCTGCCGGGCCACACCAGCCACCACCAGGGCTTAGGGCCACCTGAGCTCCACTGCCCCGGCCGCTTTGCAGGGCTGGCACCCCGTGTCCTGTCCCATGTCCTCCCTGGCAGAACACGTGACTCTTGGGCGCTCCTGGCTGCGTCAGGCTCCACCGATTCCCACTGGGGGCGGCTGAGGGACCCGCAGACCTGGAGCTGGGCCCCCAGGATGGGTGGAGCGGCCACTGGTCCAGGAAGGCAGCGGGGCTCCCAGGGCGTCCGCAAGGGGCCTCTCAGACGCTTTGAGGAGCTCCGGGATGGGAGCCGGGATGTTTTTGTGAAACCAGAGAAGGTAGTGGAAGGTCAGGGCACCGGGGCGGGATCAGGGGCCACAGGCTGTTGACAAAGCCCTATCCCTGCGCCCTCACCCCGTGGGGGCGGGGCAGGCGTGGGTGCACCCAGACCCCCCAACCCTGATGTCCCCAATACCAAGGGCAGAGAGCAGCCCTGGCCGGTCCTTGGAGGATGCGGGCGCCGAGGGGGCCGGGGTCAGTCGGTTCAGAGTCGGAGCATAAGCCCGGTGGCCGAGTCGGCCGGGTGGTGGGGCGCCGGGGGGGCCGGAGCCGGGCAGGGCAGTGACCCGCTTGCCGGGGTCAAAGTCGCCAGTGTGGGCCGCGGAAGAGGAGCGGCCAGGCGGGGCGCAGACACCCCTCACCCCATCCTGGGCCGCGCCGGTGCCACCGGGCAGTCCTCGGGGCAGGAGCCCACCGAGGGGAGACAGCGCTGGTGAGACCCCGCGCCTCGGGGACGCGTCCGCGGCGCTTTGTGCGCTCCCCAGGGCGGCGGGGCCCGGGGCCCTGAGTGGGGAGTGTGGCCGCTGCAGTGTGGCCGCCGCAGGGCGCCAGGCGGCCAGCGACACCCCCGCCCCCAGCCGCGCCCCCCAGGACCAGAGAACGGGGGAGGGGCTGAGACCCCTGGACCTGCCCGACGGTGCAGGACCGGGTGGTGTCCGAGCCGGGGTTGGGAACGGGGGTGTCTGACGGGACTGAGGAGCGCACCAGCCCGGACCCCGGAGACCGCCCGGCCGGCTCCCCGCTCCCCGCGCCCCCGGCCCCGCCGCGCCCGCCCCGCGGTCTCTGTCCCCACCGGGTCGACTCCCCAACGTCCCCTCGGGGCCGCGGCCCAGGTGCTCACCGCGCGGCGCTGCTCGGGGGTCGGCTTGGCTCCCCGCCGTCCTCTGGGCGCGCTCGGGTCGGGCGCCGGTGACCGCTCGTCTTCGCGGCGCTGCCAGATCGGGGTCGGTGCAAACTTTCCGGCGGCGACGCAGGGCGAGGGCGGCGGCGGAGGGCGGGCTCGGGGGCGGCCCCGCGGGGGTGGGAGCGGCAGCCGAGGGTCCCCGCCCGCCCTCCGCGCAGCCTCCCGGCGAGCTTCGGTCCTGCCCACCCTGCGCAGGGAGCGCCTCGTACCCCGGCCATACGCAGACTCGGCGCGCTGAATTCCACCCCGCGGACCCGCGCCCCACAGACCTTTGTCCCACGGGTCCTGGTTCCGCAGACCCTAATCCTGCAGACCCCTGAGCCCGCGGACCCTGGCCCAGCAGGTGGTGGTCGCGGTGGGTCCCAGCTCCGGGAGGGGACGCCCTGGGACGCGGAGGGGCGCGCGGGCGTGGGGGCCGTGGCTCAGCCCCCCTTCCTCTCGCTCCCTCCGCCTCCCTGGGCGCCCCCTCGCCCCCTTCCTCTCGCGTCCCCGGGTTCTCGCCCCTTCTTTCCTGATGCCTGCCTGATTTTCTGGAAAGACCGACACCCCCAGTCGCCCCCACCGCGGCTCCCGGTTCCTTCCCCTGCAGAGCAGACGGGGGCTGGAGTAGGGGCCAACATGGGTGACATGGGTGGACCGGCAGGGCGGTCCCTGGGGTGCCCTTTAACTCTTTCTGTGCCACATCCCCGGTCTCTGGCCAGTCCTGTCGCGCTAAGGCCCCTCCAGCAGCGCTGACCCTGGTCCCCCACCTGCTGGTCCTGCGGCCGCGGGGCGCTCTCTCCTCCGTCCCACCCGCTCCTTCCACACCACCTCCTTTCCTGGGAGTGGAGAAGCCCCAGCCAGAACCCCTGCCTTCCCCAAGAGGCACGCTCAGAGGGACATTCTCCCCTTCCTCACTCCCCCTAGAGCCACATCACACCTGGCTTTGGGGCCCTAGAACCTCAGCCCGCGCCCCTCCCCTTCCACCCCCAGCCATCCCTGCTCTGTGCCCAGTGATCTTGGGGTCACCACAACCCCATGGCGCCTTGAGGCCTCACCTTTCCTGGCCTCTCAGCATCCTGGGACACTGATGGTCATGCCTTCCTTCTAGAAAGTTCTCTCCGAGGCTGTGGCTTCCAGGATGAGCACTCTCCTCCTCCCACTTCCTCCCCTTCTCCTTCCCCCTCCTCCCTTCTCCCTGGAGAGGTCTTCCTCCAAGTCCCAGTCTTCTTCCCCACCCAGAGCCCCTCCCGCTGACACTTGTCTGCAGTGCCTGTCTCCGCTCCCGCTAGGAAGCCTCCCCTCCGGCATCTCCAATCCATCTCTGGGTCCTGCTCCACCTGCATTTCCCTAGACCTGTCCTGGCCACCCTCACCCTGGGACACCTCCTGCCCGTGGAGAGCTCCTCTGATAGGTGCCGTCCTTGGTCTTGGGGGTCCTTTCTCCCTAATTCTACTTCTGTTTTGGGGGCGTGGGAACCCAGGGTCTTAACCCCAGCCATTCCCCCTCCCAGGGGCCACTTCCCTCTGAAGCTTAGCCCAGCTCTGTGACCCCCACAGGCCTGCCCCCACCTGGTCCTCACTCCCCTGCATAGCCACACTGTGGGGGCTCCATGCTTCCCAGCCCATAGGAAGCCCTGTTCCCAGAGGGGGCCATTCTGTTTTAGTTGGAGCAGTGGCCAGAGGCAAAGGTCAGAAGGCAAAGGTCATAAAAGTTTGTCTCTACCTGCCAGCATCTGCTCCTGCTACTGCATCTTCTCCCCTCTCCACCCAAACCCTCCCTCAGCTCCTGCCCCCACCTCTCCAGAGGCACAGACAACAGGGTTCTGATCTTGGGTCATGGTGCTCCCCCTGCCAGCCTCAGTCCGAGACCTCTGTGAATGGCGGTGATGGCTAATGGGATGAGGGGGACCACCTCCTGGTGGCTGCAGGGACTGGGGTGAGGGTGCTGTAGGCTCTGCCTAAGTCAAGTGCCATGGGGCTGAAGAGACGGCGCACCGGCCCTGGAGAAGAGTCCTCCCTGCCCTCCTGTGTCTGGCCTTGTTTCCTGGAGGACAGGTCCCCACGGGGCAGAGGCCCAGCAGTCCCAGGTAAGCGCTGGGTGGCCGGAGTCTGGTACCTGCAGGAAGAGAAGTAGAAGAATAAATTTGGAGTGTGTGAAGGGGGCAAAGCCTGAAAGGTTCGGACTCAGTGTGGGGAGGGAGAGGGAACAGATGGGGTGGGGCACCTCCCCTGGGCTGGGTGACCCTTATTTATATGACTGAATCCATGACAAGATTGTTTGCTTGACCAAACTGTAGTCCGGCTTCAGAACCTTCTCACAGGCTCATCTGCATTCTGCCTTATAAAATCCAGATTCAGCAAGAACTCTGCTAAGTCAGTTTGGCAAGAAGCCTCCATCCCCCCATATCTGATCAGGGTCCTCAGCCTCCGCCACCCCCAGGCGATGTCTGCTTACCTTGCCTGCCTTCAGCAAGCTTCCTTTTACCTGGGTAGGGTCCTCAGCTTCCACCACCCCCAGGCGACGTCTGCTCACCCTGGCTGCCCGCAGCAAGATTCCTGTTATCTGGGTAGAGTCCTCAGCCTCCGCCACCCCCAGGCGATGTCTGCTCACCTTGCCTGCCTTAAGCAAGATTCCTGTTACCTGGGTAGAGTCCTCAGCCTCTGCTACCCACAGGCAATGTCTGCTCACCCTGCCTGCCTTCAGCAGGCTTCCTTTTACCTGGGTAGGGTCCTCAGTTTCCGCCACCCCCAGGCAATATCTGCTCACCCTGGCTGCCTTCAGCAAGCTTCATTTTACCTTGGTAGGTTCCTTAGCCTCTGCCACCTCCAGGCCGTGTCTGCTAACCCTGTCTGCCGTCAGCAAGCTTCGTTTTACCTGGGTAGGTTCCTTAGCCTCTGCCACCTCCAGGCCGTGTCTGCTAACCCTGTCTGCCGTCAGCAAGCTTCATTTTACCTGGGTAGGGTTCTCAGCCTCCGCCACCCCCAGGCGATGTCTGCTAACCCTGCCTGCCCTCAGCAAGCTTCCTGTTTCCTGGGTTTAGCCAGAATCCTCCAGACAGGTGTTTCGTGCCAGTAATTTTCCACCCACTGACCCCGCCCTGCTCCTCAGATCTAAATCCCCACTTGCCTGTGCCACATTGAGAGTTGAGCCCAGGTCTATACTAAAATCTTTTTTCCCCTATTACAATAGTCCCGAACAAAATATGTGTTTCAACTGCTATCCAGTTCTGGTTTCCCTTGACATTGGTGAGACATATAAACAGAGGGCAGCTGGGAATGGAGGGGGCAGGGCCTTCCCAAGCAGCAGTGGGGGTGGGGGGACCTGCCCTCCATCCAGTCCCCAGGGTCCTACTCATTGCAGGGGGCCCTCCTGGAGGTGTGCTTGGTCCTGGGGCGGGCTGCAGCGGGGCTGGGGGCAGGTCTGCACCCCCCACCCCTGAGATGTGGGTTTGTCTATCTGTGCTGGGGATTCTGGAGACGGCACCTGCAGAACTTAATTTCGGTGTCCAGCAAGACTTATGGAGCCCATACTGCCAGCGAGACTCAGAAGCCCCACCCTGGAGTTCTGCAAGGGGCTGATGAGGAGGAGGGATGAAAGCGACAGCCGGAAGCCAAGGCGGAGGGACCAGGGGTGGGAGGGGAGGCTGCATCTGGGCCCAGAAAAACGTGGAAATGCAGGAAGGGAAACAGGAGGGTGGTGGGGCTGCCCCTCGGAGAGACCTTCTGTGAGCATTAAAGGGCATTTTTTTTCCAGGTGTCTTTACTGTGCATTAATACATTTTTACTTTGATATAGTTTTGTAACCAGCGTTTCTCACCACAACCTATAACACAAGCATTTCCTCACATTAATAAGAAGGCCCCTCCACATCACTACCCAGGGGCACTTAGTATTTGAGGGTGTGGGATGGTCAGGTTTTACTCAACCACTGCAGGACTAAGAAAGGCACAAACCTTACGACAAAGCGAATGGACCTCCGCACTGCATCCTAGCGCCTTTTGCCCTTAGATGTGAATGCAAAGCAAGACCTCTAGGTATATGAGACAGACCAATCACTTGGGAAAGAGGAAACTGGAGGAAACAGAGCTACTGCAGGGAACAGAAGAAAACTTCAAGAACATTTTAACCACTCTGATTATCCTTAGAGACATGAAAGGATGATGCTCCCATAAAAACTAGAACGGAATGCTTTGGAAAACAAGCAGAGCGCAGGAAGAGTCCTTGCCGGCTGCAAATAGAATATCTGGAATTTAAAAAATTTAATAGAAGGGTTGGAAAATTGAGTTGAAGAAATCTCTCAGAAGAAACAACAAAAAGGCTGGGTGTGGTGGCTCATGCCTGTAATCTCAGCACTTTGGGAGGCCAAGGCGGGCTGATCACCTGAGGTCGGGAGTTTGAGATCAGCCCGACCAACACGGAGAAACCCTGTCTCTACTAAAAATACAAAATTCGCCAGGCATGGTAGCACATGCCTGTAATCCCAGCTACTTGGGAGGCTGAGGCAGGCAAATTGCTTGAACCCAGGAGGCGAAGGTTGCAGTGAGCCAAGGTTGTGCCATTGCACTCCAGCCTGGGCAACAAGAATGAAACTCCATCTCAAAAAAAAAAAAAGAAAAGAAAAAGAAGAAGAAAAAGAAAAGAAACAACAAAAATCCAAGAGGAATAAAAGATAACAGAGCATGGAGGGTTCACTAGAAGGTTGAGGCTGGGCGCAGTGGCTCACGCCTGTAATCCCAACACTTTTGGAGGCCGAGGCCAGTGGATCACTTGAGGTCAGGAGTTCGAGACCAGCCTGGTCAACATGGTGAAACCCCATCTCTACTAAAAAATACAAAAATTAACTGGGCGTGGTGGTGGGCTCCTGTAGTCCCAGCTACTTGGGAGGCTGAGACACAAGAATCACTTGAACCATAGGAGTGCTGAGCAATTTGACTTCTGAATTATTGCTCCTGGGGAGCTTAGAGTAAGTGGGGGATTGGGAACAGGGAGAATGTGAGGGCTATTTTCTAAAGCATATTAGCAGTGTCTCGTTTTCACTGAGAACACCCAATTAGGAGGGCCAAGTAAGAATC